>NC_000007.14:64931021-65234051 GCF_000001405.40 Homo sapiens
GGCCTCTTTGCCTGCAAACATATAAAGACTCAGTTTTGATTTACATAGAGTTAAATATACATATATTTTACTTTAAAGATAAATCTTAAGTGTAAGAAAATTGTAGAGTAAGTGTGCTTGTGTGAGTATGTTTGTACCTGTTTTCAAAAGAAAACAGCAATATTGGAACAAAACAAATCATTTTAATAAGGTGACTAATTTATTAGAAAACTAACAACCTCAAAAATGCTGAAAGCAAATCTATACTCTCTCTGCTTTGTACTGAATTCATTACTGTAAAATATTATGGCTTATGGTTCAGAATCTCCCCATGCAGATGTTCTGTTTTTACTTGCCTGGTACTCATGGTAGAGCCATACATTTCTTTTTTCTTACAATTTCTTTTACAGTTTATGAAGTATTATATGAGCTGGTCAGGGATTACAACAATTATTTTTTTTATAAAATTTAGTAGTGCACAAAAAGTAATTTTTAGATGTAATTTTACTATTAGTCTATTAAGTTATATTTTATTTATTTAGTTAAAACATTGCCCTTTGTTCTTTTAATTGGAGAACCCTATGTAAGCCGACTTTTTTAAAGTTATTCTTTCTTTCACTTTTCATAATTTTCATAAGTAAATTTATTTATTTATTGAATTTGTTCAGGTAAGTACTAGGGAGGCTTCCTGAGTCATGAGGATGCTGTTCTATATAAACATAGCAGACAAACATGACAGTGCTTGATCTATAACAGATGCTCCATAGTAAGACATAAATATTCCTGTTGAAGTTAGTTTGTAACTTCAAGTCAGAAATGGAATATATCAATGGTGAAACAGTAACATTGATTTTTCATGTGGAGAGGACATTTTTTTTCCAGGCTGCGAAGCTGAATTCTGCCGAATTTAAAGAGAAATGCTGGTTATTTTCTAATTATATTCAGTTTTGTTTGTCTTATGTGTATTCCAACAATGTGTGCATCACAGCTCTTCTTTTTCTGTGTTATGGCTACAGTTTTCTTGCTGTTGTCTTTATGCCATGTCATTTCACATGGTAATTTAGTAAGTTTTGATGAGAAATTTGATATTTTTAGTGCACTGAAAAATTGGTTTTAATTGGTGAGTTTGCTTACCAATATAACTGTCAGATTGTTAAGATAAAAGGCATACGCTGTCCACAGGTGAGAGGATTAAATCACTTAGCATTGTTTTTAACTGTTTGTAAAAAAAAAAAAAAATATCTTACTAGATTCTTATACAAAGTGTGGCAAATATAAAATTTGCTAGAAAATATGTTAGAAATTTATTTATTTATTTATTTATTTAGAGATGAGGTTTCACTCTTGTTGCCCAGGCTGGAGTGCAATGGCGCGATCTTGGCTCACCACAACCTCCACCTCCTGGGTTTGATTCTCCTGTCACAGCCTCCCTAGTAACTTAGATTACAGGCATGTGCCACCACGCCTGGCTAATTTTGTATTTTTAGTAGACAGGGTTTCTCCATGTTGGTGAGGCTGGTCGTGAACTCCTGACCTTAGGTGATCCGCCCACCTCCGCCTCCCAGAGTGCTGGGATTACAGGCGCGAGCCACTGCGCCCGGCCAGAAATTAAATTTTTAAGAGAGCTAATGGTAAATCTGACTCGGCACGGTGGCTCATGCCTGTAATCCTAGCACTTTGGGAGCCTGAGCTGGGTGGATTACTTAAGGCCAGGAGTGCGAAACCAGCCCGGCCAACATGGTGAAACCCTGTCTTTACTAAAAATACAAAAATTAGCCAGCTGTGGTCGTGTGCATCTGTAGTCCCAGCTACTTTGAAGGCTGAGGCAGGAGAATCATTTGAACGCGGGAGTAACGTTTTCACACAGAATCTATTTTTAAGTGTGACTGTAAAACATTGCAAAATAATAAAATGACTTCTGTTGACTTGAAATTTGGAATAGTATTTCTTTTCCCTATTAATATTACAATTTGGAGGAATTCCTTTTTTAGATGCAGTCTCACTCTTGTCACCCAAGCTGGAGTGCAGTGGCGCCATCTCGGCTCACTGCAACCTTCGCCTCCCAGGTTCAAGCTGTTCTCCTGCCTCAGCCTCCTGAGTAGCTAGGATTACAGGCACCTGCCACCACGCCTGGCTAATTTTTGTACTTTTTAGTAGAGACAGCGTTTTGCCATGTTGGCCAGGCTGGTCTCGAACTCCTGACCTCAGATGATCCACCCACCTCAGCCTCCTGAAGTGTTGGGATTACAGGCGTGAACCACTGCGCCCGGTCTCACTTTTCTTAATATATATTTTTTTGGTTGGTGAAGTTCAGTCTACAGCTTTTATTCTTAGTCACCTATCTGTAGCCAACTCCTTGGTCATTTTCTCTGGAAAACTTTTGGAGATCAGGGCAACTTTTGGATTAAAACGTTTTCTATTTTTTTGCATGCAAATTTGTGTTCTGCCTTCACAGAATGGTGTCATGGGACCATAAGCAACACCTGCCCTTTTAGTGTCTTTCATACCATTACCATCTGTACCAGAAACTCCAGGTACCCCAAGCTTAAAGTAAAAACCCTAAAGTACATTGGCTTTTCCCACAGACTGTACTGGGTCCAGAACATGCTGTTAAATATCAGAGTTTCTGTGATTATGACAGATGACAAAAGCCACACAAGAACTAAGTATTTTTGATACTATTCAGCCAAGTTTATGAAACAGACACAGTATTTGAAACATTATTATCTTTCTATAATGTTTTAAAAATGAATTTTTTGATGTGACATAAAATGCATTTTTTTCTGTAAAACATGATGTTTTGAAGTATATATACAATGTCAAATGCTTAATTCCAAGTTAATGCTTTACCTCACATAGTTAACATTTTATGGTGAGAGCACTTCACATTTTCTTAGCATTTTTCTTAGCACTTTTCATTTTTTCAGTATTAGCATATACAAATACATTATTATGAACCATAGTCACCGTGCTGTACAGAAAAATCTTTTGAACTTATTCCTCTTATTTAACTATAATTATGTACCTGGGATTACAGGCACCCACAACTATGCCTGGCTAATTTTTGTATTTTTAGTAGAGATGGGGTTTCACCATGTTGGCCAGGCTGGTCTCTAACTCCTGACTTCAAGTGATCTGCCCGCATTGGTCTCCCATAGTGCTGGAACTACAGGCATGAGCCTGCAGCCTGGCCAAGTTTCTTACATTTTTTTTTATATTAAAGTCTTGTCACATGTATGGTTTGCAAATATTTTGTCCCATTTTTTACTTTTCTTGTCCTGTTTGTTGTATCAGATTTTTTTCAACAGCTTTTTATTAATAATTTGAAGTAATCTGACATCAATTTTGCCTTTGATTCTCTGGGATTTTGAGGTTAAATCAAAAGAATTACTGCCTAGACCAATGTAATGGGGCTTTTACTCTATATTTTTTGTAGTAGTTTCAGAGATTCAGGACTTACATTTAAGTAATTAAACTATTTGAATAGATTTTTATATATGGTGTGAAATGAGGGCCTCATTGCTCTGCATGTTGCTATAATTTTCTTAGCACCATTTATTGAAGATAATGCCCTTTCCCTAAGAAAGTGTTACCTATATTTAAATTGAGTTAGCTGTAAATACGTGGATATATTCCTGGTTTGTCTTTACTGCTCCACTGGCATATGTGTCTGTTTTTATTCAAGTACCATACTGTTTTGAGTACTATAGCTTGGTAGTATATTTCAAAGTCAGGTAGGGTAATAACTTTAGTGTTTTTTTTTCTTGATTGCTTTGGCTATACAGGATCTTTTGTGGGGTATCATATAAATTTTAGATATATTTAATTTTTATTAAGTATGTCACTGGTATTTTGATAAAGGTTGTGTTATATCTGCAGATTATTTTCTGTAATATGGATATTTAACAATATTAATGCCAATTCATGAATTAGTACTATTTAATTGGTTTAGTATTTAATTTCTTCCTTTAATGTTCTTTAGATTATAATGTAAGGTGTTTTAACTTTTTGGTTAAACTGATTTCAAAGTGTAGTTATTACATTTATTGTAGATGAGATTGCTTTTAATTTCATTTTGAGATAGTTAATTGTTCTTGTGTAGAAATGCTACTGACTCGTGTGTTGATTTTGTATTTTGCAAGTTTAATAAATTTGTTTATTAGTTCTAAGTGAAGTCTTAGGCTTTTCTATACCTAAGAGTATGTCATCTGTAAACAGGGATAATTTAACTTTTTTTCCAAGCTGGATGCCTTTGATTTTATTCTCTAAATTTTCTGACTTGGACATTTAATACTATGTTTAATAAGACTGATCGAAGTGGGCCTTCTTGTCTTGTTCTAGCTTTTAGAGTAAAAGCTTACAACATTTCCTTGCTTAATATGTTGTTAGCTGTGCATTTTTTTTGGTATATCTGGTGTATATTGGCTTGAGGTGCATTTGTCCTATACCTGTTTTATTCAGAGATTTATCATGTATTTATCATGTATGTTGAATTTTGCCAGCGCTTATTCTCCACCTATTATTTATTTATTTATTTATTGAAACAGAGTCTCACTCTGTCACCTATGCTGGAGTGCAGTGGTGTGATCTCAGCTCACTGCAACTTCTGCCTCCCGGGTGCAAGCTATTCTCCTGCCTCAGCCTCCCAAGTAACTGGGATTACAGGTGCACGCCACTATGCCCAGCTAATTTTTACATTTTAGTAGAAATGGGGTTTCGCCATATTGACGAGGCTGGTCTGGAACTCCTGACCTCCAGTAATCCACTCACCTCAGCCTCCCAAAGTGTTGGGATTACAGGGGTGAATGCATAAACAGTTATGTAGATAGTTTCTCTTAGTTTAACAAGATAAAAGTAACAGTTAAAACATTTGAAATGGGATAAAATTAATCAAAAATTGATAAAAAATCAATAGCTTTGCATAATTGCCATGCTTTTTGAAATGACCAGATTACTAAAAAGAAGCAAAGACAAGATTTTTGCTTTGCTCAATTATTAAGTTATGGATATTTTGAAATCTAAAATCCTGGCTAAACAACTTGAAGGGAGAATTCTTCAGGTAGCTTCCTAGGGTTTCCAAGGCAATACAAGAAGAATTTTGATAGGCAGGAAAATGCATGCTACATACACATATTATTATTCTCTGATTTCCTTTCACATGTAAAAATTGAAAATTGCAAATCTGGTCTTTCAATTAGCAAAAGATTTATTTTTCAGCAAAGCAAATAACTGTAGAAAACTGATGGGGGAACAAATGCCATTAGCTGCCAAAAACAGTATGACCAGATTCAGTAAGTATCTAGTCATGCAAATCACAGCCCAATTAAATTAAGACCCCATAGGTGCATGTGGACAGCATTTCCATGCAATGTGGTGCACCTCCACTGGGCACCTTCTTCTGCCTGCTTACAGAGATACCAATTTCCCCTGAGTGACTCAAGGTGAATACTGGGAACTGAGAATTCTGTGTTCAGAGGGATTACTGGGAACATGGTTAACACACTTTTACCATATTATAATAAAATTTGATGTATCCTACTCTGCCTCAGAAAGGCTTTTGGTAAAAGATTGTTTATTTATAGTACTCAACCTGGATTCATGAAAAATTATAATATATTCCAGGTAAGTCAGAGACACTTAAATGTCAAACAAATTTTATAAAACACACTTGAATGAGATAAAAGTCTTCTTAGCTAAAAATTTTTTCAGTAAATTTAGGGAAAAATAGAAAACCGGTACTTTGTGTTAAATAACAGTGTTTTGCACACAAGTGCTACTCAAATGAGTGCTCTTCATTGTCATTAAAATGGCAATAGCACCATGTGCTTTCCTGGCACCAGCTGGCTTGTTTTTTATTGGTGTAAAGTGAAGAAGGCATTGAAATAGAGAAGAAAGGTGACAGAAATTGAATACTTGTATAAAATGCAATTTTTAATAAAAAGCATTTGATGTTGTACAGCTACAGGTAAGACTATGAAGTCATGTTCTATTGACAGAATAACTTTATTCACAATATTCTTATTTCAAATGATATTACTTTTTTGGCTATACATTTGCTAGCCTTTGGTGAAATATTACCTGGCGCAATAGAAATCAACAAAATGAATCTTTATTTTACCAGAAGCATTTTACTATGATTCATATGCTTATTTTGCCTAAAATACATTAGCTTTTTATGAAAGACTTATACTTTTCTTTCAGTGATTTCTATATTGCTAAGAAGTGGCTGTCCTGCCAGGAAACTGCTATTCTCAGCTCTACCCACATTGACTAATAGTGAGTGAAAGTGATGTGTGGATAAGAAGCAAATGTGTCTTCTCTGCATCTCTTTTTAAATGTAGTCACTGAAGAAAAAGAATGCGGAAGATAGTAGATAAAATATAATGTGATTCCTGAAAGATCACGAAGAAGTCCTCTTAACCAGAAAGAAAGAAAGAAAAAGAAAAAGGAAAGAAAAACCACAGGGGATGGTGATGTGAGCAGAAGATATGTTATTTTTCTAAGCCTCTGAAATTTCAGTATACAACCTGCATTGCTTTAACAAATACATAACTCCTTCAGTTTTGCTTTTCAGGATATAATTCCATTCCCTGGTGAATCAAAACAGAGAAGAATAGCTTATATGTTAAGGTAAGAGACATAAGGAAGACCCATTACTTTGGACCAACATCTCCTCCACCCCCAATTCCAGGCAATCATCATTCTACTCTCTGCTTCTATGGTTTAAATTTTTTGTACACTCTACATAGAAAATAATATTATGTGGCCGGGCAGGTGGCTGTCACCTGGAATCCCAACACTTTGGGAAACCCAGGCGGGCAGATCACCTGAGGTCAGGAGTTCGAGACCAGCCTGACCAACATGGAGAAACCTTGTCTACTGAAAATGAAGAATTAGCCAGAT
The DNA here is from genome assembly GCF_000001405.40 of Homo sapiens. Lineage (NCBI taxonomy): Eukaryota > Metazoa > Chordata > Mammalia > Primates > Hominidae > Homo > Homo sapiens. Next base: position 64,937,904 of record NC_000007.14, read on the forward strand.
ATGGTGGCGCATGCCTGTAATCCCAGCTACTCTGGAGGCTGAGGCAGGAGAATTGCTTGAATCCGGGAGGTGGAGGTTGCGTTGAGCCAAGATCACGCCATTGTACTCCAGCCTAGGCAACAAGAGAAAAACTCCGTCTCAAAAAGAAAAGAAAAGAAAAGAAAAATAATATTAAGTGGGTTCTTTTCTCTGCTGACTTATTTTACTTAGCATAATGTCCTCCAGGTTCATTGATGTTGCAAATAATGAGAGTTGCTTCTTTTGAAGGGCAGAATAGCATTTCGTTGTGTAAATATACCACATTTTCTATATTCATTCACCTGTTGATTAACACTTAGGTTTAATCCATACCTTAGGAGTAATTGTGAGGAATCCACTTCCTTTTTTTAATTTGTTTTTGTTTTTATAACTCTCCTTTTATTTTTATTTCTAGAAGTATTTTAATTTAATAATATAACTTATGACTGTTACATATCTTCATTTGAGCTTGATTTGGGACATGAGCTATGTGCCCAGGAGAAATTAGTTTACATCCTTGGAGCTTCAATCTACATTATTAATAAAAGATACTATTTTTCCAAGGGCTGTTTTAATTTATACATAGTAGCTATAAGCATTTTTCACTGAAAGGCTCTTCTAAATATAGCAAATATTTAAGAATAAGAATTTATATTTCAAAGATTTTTAATAACTGGGTATATTTTGTCATATTTAGTGTATTCTTTTGAAAAATGCCAAAATAAGAATTTTATTATTTTTCCTGGAATAACAGCCTAAGGGATTCTGCATTGTGGCTTTGCTAATTTTAGCATATGGTTTTGACTGCTACAATTGAAATTAGGTTGAATTTTAAACTCACTATTGTTTAGCTTGTGTGGTTTTTGGTTCATTTGCAGAACCAAATATATTGGACATGAAGTGCGTGGGGTGACTTGGTTTCATTTCTACTCTCTTTTGTTATTACATTTGGAACTTTAGAAATGATTGGGTTCAAATAAGGTTGGTTTTGAATCAAGCAACAGAAAATCCCAGAAATCACTGAGAGAAATAGCTACTGCACAGTGCTTTTCAATGAGATTTATACATGAAACAGAGTTTATTGAAAGTTTGTTGAAATTAGAAACTAATTACCTGTAGGCACATATTAGGCACTTGTCTTAGTTTGTCTATGGCATCCCTAGCTTGGGGAAGCTGACATTACAGAAAAGAATATTGCTGCGGTAATAAGATTTGGAACAAATACTTATGTGTTTGTAAACCTTTGCCTTAATAATCCTTAGATAAATGTCATTCTGACTCAATCCTTTTGGCACAACTGCTTAAAATTCTACAGTCTCCTTCCCACCAAAGTCAACTCATGGAATTTTCAGCTTTTTATGTTTTGATTTTTTTTTTAACCCAGTAAGCTTTATAGTTGACATCATTATATTGAGATTCCCCAGGCAATTCCTGAGCCTTAAGAGCTGACCATCTTACCTCATCCTTCTTGTTTCACATTGTCTGTTGCTGGGTCCCTCTCACTCCATATTTGAGCCTTAATGAGGCCTCAGTTTGGAGGAACCAAAGGAAAGCGTTGCCATATATGTTGGGTTGAGAATCAGGATCCTCTTGAGGAAAAAGACTTTTCATTATTCATAGTACAAGGCTGTATTTTTGAGATGTGGACATGAATCACTCAAATAATTTTATCAGGATGCCAATATGCTCAAAATAAATATCAAGTTCACCAAATGTTTTGCTTTGGACTCCCACAGCACAAAGATCACTATATAAGCATTGACTAGTTTTTTTTGGTGTAGGTTTTTGTTTTTAAGATATTTTCCTACTTTATGCTGATGTCAAGCTACACAAAGCTTACCAAAAGCTTTATTTTACCAAATTTTTTATATCAAAAGTTCAAATACTTAAATATCGAAAGTTAAATTCTGGATTACCATTTTCCATGTGATGTAGTTTGCATTTATTAGTACTACCTTTCAGCTTTTAGTTATGTGGTGCAAGGTTATAAAAATGCCTTCCAGTTGATTTATTTTATTTTTTTCTCCCGAGACAGAGTTTTGCTCTTGTTGCCCAGGCTGGAGTGCAATGGCGCAATCTCTGCTTACTGCAACCTCCGCCTCCCAGGTTCAGGTGATTCTCCTGCCTCAGCCTCCTGAGTAGCTGGGATTGCAGGCATGTGCCACCACACCCAGCTAATTTTTGTATTTTTAGTAGAAACCGGGTTTCACTGTGTTGGTCAGGCTGTTCTCGAACTCCTGACCTCAGGCGATCCACCTGCCCTGGCCCCCCAAAGTGCTGGGATTACAGGCATGAGCCACAGCGCCCGGCCGGCCTTCTGGTTGACTACCTAGGTAACAGCAGAGTCTGTTTTCTCAGACAGTAGCATAAGAATTCTTGATATACCACCTTTAGAGGTACTGAACACAACTGGATATATGTGCTGAAATATAGATTTATCTATAAACTCATTAGAGACTAAGTCATGGCAACCTGTTACAGTTCAATATTTTTGTCTAAATTCTTGTTGAGCCACATCCATCTGTATACGTAATACTGAGTTGCTAACAGCTTCTTTATACTAAGTCATAACTCATTTTACCTTGTAGTTTCATTTGAAACATATGAGCTGTATTATATAACATTCAAAGAAGTAACACAAATTTAATTCAAAGACTATGGAAAGAAGAGTCATACAGGCACAGACAGTGATTTGGAATCTGGCAGGAGACAATGATTAACAGGTTGAGCATATTCAACTAGGCCTAAATCCCTGAAACAATACTGAAAGACATTTTTTAATTAAAAATATATTGACACTTTAATAGATCTATGAAATTTGAAAGAAAATGATTTGTTTACTCATCAATCAATAAAATTTTTGAACACCCCATAAGAAAACAAAATAAAATTAGTCAACTATCCCCAGACTTACTAAAACAAGACTTCAGCATGTTTGAAAACACAAATTATTAATTAAATATCCATTTTTAGGCCAGGTGCGGTGGCTCACACCGGTAATCCCAACACTTTGGGAGGCTGAGGCAGGCAGATCACCTGAGATCAGGTGTTCAAGACCAGCCTAACCAACATGGTGAAATCCCGTCTCTACTAAATATACAAAAATTAGCTGGGCGCAGTGGTGCGCCCCTGTAATCTCAGCTACTCAGGAAGAGGAGGCAGGAGAATCACTTGAATCTGGTAGGTGGAGGTTACAGTGAGCCGAGATCATGCCATTGCACTCCATCCTGGGCAAAAAGAGTGAAACCTTGTCTCAAAAAAAAAAAAAAATTAAAAAAAATTTTTTTACTACGTGCCATTTTATAAAATAAGCCTGAATTTGTGGAGTCATTTTTTAAAGAAGCCAATCTTTTCTGTAGGAAGATTTATACATCAAAAACTAGAGATAAAAATGTCATTATATACATCATTTGCTGAACCCTACAGTAATCTGTAAAGTTTGTGTACACCAATCTTACATTACCTAAAACATAACGTTTTTTATGTTACACTTAACATACAAAAGTTCAAAATATATCTAGACAGGAACTGTGGCTGCCACTTTTAAAAAACAAATGTGGCTGGGCGCGGTGGCTCATGCCTGTTATCCCAGCACTTTGGGAGGCCAAAGCAAGTATATCACCTGAGGTCAGGAGTTCGAGACCAGCCTGGCCAACATGGTGAAACTCTGTCTCTACTAAAAATACAAAAATTAGCTGGATGTGGTGGCAGGCACCTGTAATCCCAGTTACTTGGGAGGCTGATGCAGGAGAATTGCTCAAACCTACAAGGCAGAGGCTGCAGTGACCTGAGATCATGCCACTGCACTCCAGCCTGGGCAGGAGTGAGACTCTGCCTTAAAAAAATTAAAAATATATGAAAAACAAATGTTTGGCCAGATGGGGTGGCTCATGCCTGTAATCCCAACACTTTGGGAGTCCGAGGCAGGTGCATCACCTGAGGTCAGTAGTTTGAGACCAGCCTGGCAAACACGGTGAAAAACCGTCTCTACTAAAAATACAAAAATTTGCCAGGTGTGGTAGCACACGCCTGTAGTTTTCAGCTACTGGACAGGCTGAGGTAGGAGAATTAATTGAACCCAGGAGGCAGAGGTTTCAGTGAGCTGAGATTGCACCACCATACTCCTGCCTGCGTGACAGAGCGAGACTCTGTCTCAAATAATGAAAAACAAATGTTTTAGCACAAAAAGAACAAAATAGTAAACTAAACTGTGACAGTTTAGATTAAAAACATGATAAATGACTTTTTATTTGCACTTGTGATGAGAATCACCTTTATTCATTTTGGAACACATGGGAAATGCTGCGGTGGTAACTTGCTGGGTGATGACTGGGATGGTATTTACTCTCCCAGGGATGGTGGGATCCAGTGGACCAGAATCATCAGCACCTGACCGTGTTCACTGCTGTCCTTTCTCTCAGTGACTAAGATTCATTTCTCAGACTCCTTCATCAACTCCATTTCTGTTGTACTGTGGAGGGTTTTTTGCTGCTTTAGCATCTGCCTTTGATTTCTTCTAATTTTCTTTGAAATTTTATTTTTCTTGTCTATTTCTGGTGCTGACTTTGCTGTTCCAGTTTGAGGAGTTACCGCAGCTTCACCCTCAGCTCCTCCAACAGTCCATCCGTTTGGCACAAGTTTCTCGGGCAGTTTCTCTGGGTTCTTCTGTTTCTGGCGTCTGAGATTTGTCAGCAGAGCCTGGTTTTCGGGGACCATGGCTAGCTAGCACCTCCTCCCGCCTGCGGGATGGCTCCTGCACTTCTGGTGGGCGCTGGTATCAGCCGCCGCCCAGCCGAGCACAGCAGGAACCGCAGCAGCAGCCGGAGCACCCGCACCCAGGGTCGCTCAGCCCCGGGACGCCTCGGCTCCAACGTTGGGTCGAGACCCAGCTCGGTGCACAGAAAGCCAAGGTCAACCAGAGCATTTCCCGCAGCTGGGCGAGCCCTCCTCAGCCTGCGGCCAGTTCCTCCCACCAGCTTCAAGCTGCCACCGCCCCTTTCATCAGAGGGACGCACAGGAAGATGCAGGGGCACAGAGACACCCACCGTGGAAGAGTCCAGGGGAATGAGGAGGAGCGGGGCCTGGCAGCCTTAGGCCCAGGGCATCGCGGCGCCCCTCACACCTGAGCAGAGATCAGCGACTGCCACCTCGGGGAGGACAGAAGGGCCCAGAGTCCTCCAGCCAGCCTCCCTCTCCACCAGAAGAGAGAACTGTTTCCTTAAAAGAAGCACAGAGGGCCGGGCGCGGTGGCTCACGCCTGTAATCCCAGCACTTTGGGAGGCCGAGGCGGGCAGATCGCTAGGTCAGGAGTTCGAGACCAGCCTGACCAATATGGTGAAACCCTGTCTCTACTAAAAATACAAAAATAAATAAATAAATAGCACGGAGGCTGCGCGGTGGCTCATGCCTGTAATCCCAGCACTCTGGGAGGCCGAGGCGGGTGGATCATGCGGTCAGGAGTTCGAGACCAGTCTGGCCAAGATGGTGAAATCCCGTCTCTACTAATAATACAAAAGTTAGCCAGACATGGTGGGCGCCTGTAATCCCCGCTACTCGGGAGGGTGAGGCAGAGAATTGCTTAAACCCGGGAGACAAAGCAGAGATAGCACCGCTGCACTCCAGCCTGGATGACAGAGCGAGACTCTGTCTTAAAAAAACAAAAAACAAAAAAAAACAAAAACAAAACCAGCACAGAGTAGAACTTGCGGATCTGACCCGGTCAGGTTTTCATTTTTTTTTCTTTTTTTTGCCTTTTCCTCTAAATTATGCTTGCCTTCAGTCAGATTTCATGTTTCATACTCATGTGGCAATTTAAATGTAATTATAATGGTCACAAATTTAGGAACTAAGAGTTTTAATTTACCCAAGAGTGCTACTTTAACATTAAACTTTCAATAGTGCTTTCTGAATCCTATGGTTTATTACCTTCTATTTGAATCTATTAATTAACTATAGTAACTAATAATAATAAAGTCTTGATCTGCGTAGCTTGACCGCTTACAAGGTCGTGTATTTATTCATTTAACTGAAAAGTGTGTGTTAGCAGACACGATGTGCCATCCTTTTTGCTAGGCTTAGGAAATAAAATGAAGAAAAAATATTGGTCTCTACTCTCATGAAACTTTCAGTCTGGCTACATAAAACCCTCACACACTCCTGAGAAGTGGATACCTCCGAAGTCTCCTATTAACCTCCTATTCCAATGTAACCACTATCTGAATTTTGTGTTATCATTTACTTTATGCAATTTTATCTATAAACAATATACATTTGCGTGTTGCCTGTTTTGGGGGTTTATATAAAGTCTACCATAAGTTTTCATCTGTGATTTGCTTTTTTTTTATAATTGTACTTTTCTATTTTTCCATGTTGTCTAGAAACATAGCACATTTTCATAAAGAGGGAAGGGGGACATCTCAAGGTCTCCTGGCAGTGCAGCGAAGGCTGGTGAATTATCATTAAAAAGGCTGAGATTATCATTAAAGAAAAATCTCTGAATTGTGACACTGCACTCCAGCCTGGGTGACAGAGTGAGACTCCATCCCCCCGCCCCCCCGAAAAAGAAACATTTGAAGCACATTTTTAACACCAAATAGCAACAGGATTATCAGGTTCAGGATTCTGAAAGAAGGGGTGTAGATCACTTTATTTCATTTTTTCATTTTTCTTTGCTTTTTCTTTTTTTGAGACGGACTCTTGCTCTGTCACCCAGACTGGAGTGCAATGGCATGACCTCTCCTCACTGCAACCTCTGCCTCCCGGGTTCAAGCTATTCTCATGTCTCAGCCTCCTGAGTAACTGGGATTACAGGTGCTCGCCACTATGCCTGCCTGATTTTTGTATATTTAGTAGAGACCAGGCTTTGCCATGTTAGTCAGGTTGGTCTCGAACTCCTGACCTCAGGTGATCCACCCACCTCAGCCTCCTAAAGTGTTGGGATTACAGATGTGAGCCACTGCACCCAGGGCCACAAAGGTGTGGACACCTAGGAGCCAGGGTCATTTTCTGAGGACAATGAGTCATTGAAAGGCACAAGTAGGTGAGGGATGGATTGGGCTGCTGGTTTGAAAGCGCAACATGGAGCTTCCTATGGCACAGGCAGCTTGGGGGCAGAGAGGCCAGTGAGAGGCAGGAGCAGCAGCCCAGGCTGTCACCAAGGAGGGGACAATGTGGTAAAAATGGAGAAATGCACATGGGTCTGAAAGGTTTAGATAAATGTGGATTTCAGCACCTCCTCTCCCACACCCCACTTATCAGCTGTGAACATGGGGCAAGGCACTCCTTTCTGTGTCTTTATGACTTAGCTGAGGTGACCACTAAGTAGGAAAAGTGCCTGGCTGGTGACACATAATAAGTAGCTGCAAGTGGTAGCTTTCTTCCCTACCCACTTGAAGCAGAAATTGGTGACCAGTTTTTCTCTCTGAGTCGTCCAGCTGGCACCAGAGAAATTCTGAGGCTGCTTCTTCAGACAGGGCCACCAGGATGTCTGGGCAGCATGGCAAATCTGATCCTTAGATCAGTTTGGAAAAGGTGGGGAAGACAGAGCCAGAAAAACTGGGCCAGATGCCTGGATTCCAATCATACCCAGGCCCTGCCCCCTCTGGTTCTGGCTGTGCTGTGCCTGTCTGGGTCCTGAGTCAAGTGACACCTGGTCCCTGCCCTCTGCCCTCAGGAAGGTCCCCATAGACCAGGGAAAACTCACAAATACAGCCATTGGGTAATGCCAGAGAATATGCATGCCAACTCCTAAGGCTGATGAGTTACTAAACACCAATAGCTACGGTGGGAAAGAGATGTCATTGTCACCATCTTAAAGATAAGGAAACAGAAGCTTAGAGAGCAATGTGCCCAGAGTCGTTCAGCCTAGGAGTGACTGAGGCAGGACAGAAGTCATAACTTGTCCAGCTGCAAGGCTTGAGTTTCCAGTCTAGCCCAGAAGATATCACCCTGCCCAGGTTGGGCTGCAACCTCACTCACCTTTGGGACAATAGGCTCTATCTGGAAGAGAAGGCTCTATTTTGAGCAATGAGGAGCCCATGCCAAGCACAGCCACCTGCCCCTGCAGAAATGAGTGGGGCTGGAAGCTTCATGGATTCTAGTTTTTAATGAATATCTCCCCTGAGCCCACACAAGCTTGTGACTGTTGGTCCCAAGGCATATTGTCCAACCTCCAAATGGAGCAGAGCAATGGTGAAGGAAGCCTGTCTGGTCAGCTCAGCCACTTCTGAGCTCTATAGCTTTGCACAGGCCTTTGCTCCTCACTGTGCCTAAGTTTCCTGCCATAAAACGGGGACATTGATACAAACCACACACACAATGAGGATGAAAAGAGATAATGGGTAAAATGACCTCACCTGCCAGGGAGTCCATGCTCAGAGAACTCTCATGCTCTTGGGTGGAATATTTCCTCAGAGACATAGAGCTTGGAGGTCAGGGACACGGGCCCTGCCACTGACCTGCTCTGTGACTCTGAGACAGTGGCTTCCACTCTCTGAGTTCAGATCCACACTGAACAGGCTGCTCTGACCTGTGCCCCTGGGCTGGGAAGGGAATTCTTCCTCCCCAGCTTGTCAGGGAACCCTTGGCCATGGCTGAGGGCAATCTGGCCCCAGTGCCCTGGCTTAATGGAACAGCAGGAAAAGGCAAACACAAAACCCAGACAGCAGCTGATCACGGAATCTGCTCTCCTTGACCCACAAGGATTTGTTGTGATCCAGCCAGCCTGTGACTCTGTCCACATGCTGCTCCTCTGCAGGGATGCTGCTGTTCACTCTTACTCTACTGAGACACACAGATGTCCTTGAATGAAATAATTCTCTCTCTCTGTCTCTCACACACACACAAACACACACACACACACACACACCCTAACTCTTCCTCCAGGCTCGCAAGTCAGCTGTCCAGAAAAACTGCCTTCAGCGGCCCCTTAGCCTGTGAGCTGCCCTCATTCCCCTTCACAGCCCTGAGTGAGGATGCGCAGCCTCCTTGGGCAGGAGGAGGCAGCTTCTGGGAGGTTGGGTCTCACAGCTCCAGTGCCCCCTGCTGGGCCTCTAGCCGGCTCAGGCAGTGACCCTGGGTAGGGAGCACCTCAGTGCTGCTCATAATTGCAGAGGATGGCCTCACCAGTCAGGGGGTCCTGGAGGGCCTGGGGGGGCTTGGTCTCTGACTGCCAGCAAAAGACGCTGGTCACATCTAGGCAGCAGGAGGCAAACACTGAGTCAGCTGACTTGCCTGACTTTAACCCTCAGGTTTTTTAAAAAAATTAAAATACAGGTGCAGGGGCTTGGGCTCGGGACTCCTGGACCCACGTGGGGCTGAGCGTGGATGGTGTTTGGTGTCCGGCTTCACTCCCAAACCGCACCCGGAGGGTTTGCGGGGCGGAGGGGCCTCAGGGCGACGGTTCCAGAACAGACCCAGGCTGCTCCGGTCAGCAGCAGCCCCGCCGCTCTCCCACCTAGCGGGGACCCCCAGCCCCGCCAGCCGCATCGCTCTGTCCCTCTCATGTCAGGCAAGCCAGTTCCGGACCGCGTGGCACCAGGAGCCGCCAGGAGCCGGGGCGACCCAGAGGTCTCCAGCGACCTGGCGTCCGGCGAGGACACAGCCCCCAGGAGGGGTTAGACCACGGGAGCCGGAGCCCGAGTCCCAGGGCCGCCGAGCCAGTTTAGAGTGGTCTCCAGGCCCTAGTGGGAAGGGGCTCCGCGCTTCTGGGCGTCCACAGGAGCTGCATGGCCCTGCCCGCTGACGCCCGGTCGGGACGCTCCACACCCTGTGTGGGGGCGGAGGGGACGCGGTGGGTGCGGCCTGGGCGCGGGTGGGCTAGAGCCTGGAGACCGCCGGGAGCCCGACTTCCTGGCGCTTTGCCCTTTGGGGAGCGGAGCCAAGGAACAGCGCCAACCTCTCTCCACAAGCCAGGGACCCTACGACCCACCGCCGCAGGTGAGCTCCGCCCGGGCGCCCCCTCCCCCACCACGCCTGGATCCCTGCCGGGCTCCCCGAGCCGAGACTGTGCCTTCTGCAACAGGGCTGTGCTCCAGGTGGGAGAAACATCCTTTGCTCCCTGCTTTGGGGTCCCTGGGCTCCTTGTAGGGTCTAGTAATGGTAAAACTTCTTACTCTGGCTGGAAAGGTAAAATTTTTCAGATCCCCTATGCTTCAGCTCAAAAAGCAGAGCTTATAGCTGTAATTGAGGTATTGGCTGCTTTTACTATGCCTATTAATGTGATTTCTGATTCTTCATACGTGGTTCATTCCACACAATTAATTGAAAATGCTCAGTTACGATTTCATACAGATGAACAACTGATGACTTTATTTACCCAATTGCAAATAGCAGTTAGGAGTAGAATGCACCCTTTTTATATCACTCACATTAGGGCTCATTCACCTCTTCCAGGACCTTTAACTGGAGGGAATCAAATGGCTGATCGCCTAGTTGCTACTGCAATATCTAATGCTAGACACTTTCACAATTTAACCCATGTTAATGCCTCTGGTCTCAAACGCAGATACAGCATTACCTGGAAAGAAGCTAAAGCTATTACCGAGTGATGCCCAATTTGCCAAATGGTGCATTCCTCATCTTTTACAGGAGGAGTTAATTCTCAAGGATTGGAACCTAATTCTCTTTAGCAAATGGATGTCACACATGTTCCCTCGTTTGGGAGTCTAGCTTATGTACATGTATGTGTGGACACCTTTTCCCACTTTGGGCTACATGCCAATCAGGAGAGTCTTCTGCCTGTGTTGAATGTCACCTTTTGCAATGTTTTGAGGTGATGGGCATTCCAGCCTCTATTAAAACAGATAATGCCCCAGGCTGTACTAGCCAAGCTCTAGCTACATTTTTCTCTATGTGGAATATTAAACACATTGCTGGTATCCCATATAATTCTCAAGGACAAGCCATAGTAGAAAGAATGAATCTGTCCCTGAAACAGCAGTAGCAAAAACAAAGGGGGCGGGGGGAAACAGGGACTATGGGACACTGCATATACAATTGAATCTAGCATTATTGACTTTAAATTTTTTGAGCCTGCCTAAGGGCCAGATGCTATCAGCAGCTGAACAGCATCTACAGAAACCAGCTGCAAAGACAGAAGCAGAACAACTGGTTTGGTGGAGAGATCTGATAACAAAAAGTTGGGAAATAGGTAAAATAATAACTTGGGGTAGAGATTATGCTTGTGTTTCTCCAGGCCAGAACCAGCAGCTGATTTAGATACCATCAAGACACCTAAAACCTTATCATGAGCCAGATGCTGTGGAAGAGATTCTGGGAGAATCCTGAGGACCCCCCAGTTGCAGCCATGTCAAGACTGATGCTGAGGAGGACCCCAACTGTCACGAGCAACACCCGTCGAACACAGCCACCTACTTGGGGAAAGATCAAGAAGCTGTCACAGATGGTGGAAGAAAACCTGAGGAAAGCGGGACAACCAGTCACAATGAGTAATTTAATGATAGCTATGAGAGCGGTGATCACCATTGCTGTGAGTATTCCTTCAGCAAGCGCTGACACAGAGAACAATTATACTTATTGGGCATATCTATCAATCTTGGCTGGCAATAATGCCTGGATGTAATCACTCTATGACCCAGTTACACATGCTTTCTGATCTCAGTATTTGCCATAATGAATCTGCTCCTATAATTAAGGCATACCACCCTCAAAAACCTATTTGTAAACAGAATTGAACCTGGCCAGAAAAAATGAATGTACTTGTTTGGGAAGATTGCATTGCAGAACAGGCAGAGGTGCTGCGCAATGATTCCTATGGAATCATTATTGATCGGTCTCCTAAGGGGATGTTTAGCTTGAATTGTACCTCTGAGTATGTGTGCCATGGCCACACTATGTTCAGCTGGTCAGAAGAAAACAGTCAGATGGTAGAAATGGTAAGAAGTATGGCAAGAGTTCTTATTATCTGGAAACATGGCGGTATAGTGGCACCTCAACCTCAAATGATATGACCCGCCGTAGGAGATTAACAAAAGGATTTGTGGAAACTATTAATGGCTCTTAATAAGATCAAAATTTGGGAACGAATAAAAAACCATCTAGAAGGACACTATACAAACTGGTTTTTGGATATTGCAAAGTTAAAAGAACAAATATTTAAAGCATCCCAGGCACATCTGACCTTAATACCAGGAACTGGAGTGCTTGAAGGAGCTGCAGACGGATTAGCAGCCAGTAACCCATTAAAATGGATGAAAACACTTGGAAGCTCTGTGATTTCAATGATGATTGTGTTATTAATCTGTGTTGTTTGTCTTTGTGTAGTCTGCAGATGCAGATCCTGACTCCTGCGAGAAGTAGCTCACCGTGATAAAGCTGCCTTTGCTTTTATTGCCCTGCAAAAACAAGAAGGGGGATATGCTGGGGAATAGGCCCCCAAATCTGGACATAAACTGGCCCCAAAACTGGCCATAAACAAAATCTCTGCAGCGCTGTGACATGTTCATGGTGGCCATAACGCCCATGCTGGAAGGCTGTGGTTTACCGGAATGAGAGCGAGGAACACCTGGCCTATCCAGGGCGGAAAACCACTTATAGGTATTCCTAAACCACAAACAACCTATGCCTTAAGGACATGTTCCTGCTGCAGATAACTAGCCAGAGCCCATCCCTTTGTTTCGGCCCATCCTTTTGTTTCCTGTAAGGAGTGCTTTTAGTTAATCTATAATCTATAGAAACAATACTTATCACTGGCTTGCTGTCAATAAATATGTGGGTAAATCTCTGCTCATGGCTCTCAGCTCTGAAGGCTGTGAGTCCCCTGATTTCCCACTCCACATGCTATATTTCTGTGTGTGTGTCTTTAATTCCTCTAGTGCTGCTGGGTTAGGGTCTCCACGACCGAGCTGGGCTTGGCAAACGTAACTCTTTCTGGGTACTTCCTGTTGGAAAGGAGTGCTGTGGGCCGGGCGCGGTGGCTCACGACTGTAATTTCAGCACTTTAGGAGGCCAAGGTGGGTGGATAATGAGGTCAGGAGTTCAAGACCAGCCAACATGGTGAAACCCAATCTCTACTAAAAATACAAAAATTAGCTAGGCGTGATGGCATCTGCCTGTATTCCCAGCTACGCAGGAAGCTCAGGCAGAAGAATTGCTTGAACCTGGGAGGCAGAAGTTGCAGTGAGCTGAGATCATGCCATTGCACTCCAGCCTGTGTGACAGAGCAAGACTCCATCTCAAAAAACAAAAAAAGAGAGAAAAAATGAAAAGAAAGAAAAGGAGTGCTGTGGCAGGGGGACAGCAGTTGGGGCTCCTTCTGAGGTTGATCTAAGGGTTCTCAAAAGAATGGTGTGTCCATGTGTGGCTCTGTTCATAGCACCATTTAAGGTTTAATTGTTTCTAGGTGAAAAGAGAGAAATTTTTCAAGAAGGCTTGAAATATAGGGTTAGAATATGAGTATTTAGCTTACCATTGTTAGTAGAGATCCTATAGACCATAACTGTGACAGCAGAGTTTGTTAGCTGTTAGCTACACCAATGGATTGTAATACCAGTTTGCCTCCACTAGATGTTGCTGTACATTGCCAGAAATGTTAATATGAAAGTAACATTTGTTTTGAGAAAACATACATTTCCCCCATGACTTGCCATTAGGGAATACTATTAGGTTTAGGCCATCTTTTATAACTTACAATATCATTGGGAGAATACGTTATTGGGTGGCTAAAATAACTTTAGTGTTGATCTTAGCAATTTCTTTCCTTTAATTATTAAATTCTTTCATGACAGGCCCTCTTACAAGATTCTTAAAATTTCTGACTTGTCCTAAACATCCTTCCTTTAAACAGCCAGTCATTTCCTTTCAGGACAAGAATTTACCATACAAGATATTTTCTTATATAAAATCTTTTTATAACCTTCTTTCCATAGCTTAGAGTGCACCATAGTACTAATCTTTAATACAAAGTCCTATCAAACTTAACGATAGTAAAACTTCCATGCTTACTTCCTATCCATAACTCTTACTCCTGCTATAAGCAAAACAAACTTGACTAAATCTTTTCTGCAACTGCTAATCCTTTTACAAAGATAATAATTAGGCAAATTGTTTCAGCAATTAGAATTTTACAACCAGAATTCCACATTGTGGGTGCCACAGTGTACAGTTCTATTGCAAATAATAGCGTGAATATAACAATTCCTGCAAAAGTGGTGTAGTAAATAGTTTCTGTTTAAAACTTTACTTGCCAAGCTATAACATTCTCCTTTGGGAATTTATGAAGTTACAAATGCAATTCTATGTATAATTGAAATTTCTGGCAAATATGCATTAAAAAGAAGGTCTAATATTTGGCGGTGAATTTTGAGAGGAAATGTAGAATTTTTTTAAAGTATCTGGTGAGGTAGATGGGATTGAGTAAGATGAGTAGCTCTCACTCAGTTACTTATCTTTTACGATTTTCAGGTTAAGATCTTCTATTTCTCCACACTGATATTCAGGACATTCCTCTGGGCTGTCAGAGGTTGCTCCCTCAGCTCTTCAGGCTTTGACTTGAGTGTGATGCATTCAGAATTTGATACCTGTAACTTTTACTGCCAAGGGGCTTGAAAGAAAATCAGTGTAGGGCTCTTCCCAGTTTGAGTTTAGGAAAGGAGAGAGTTTTCACTAATGCCAAATCTCGAGTTAAACAAAGGTGTTCCTATTTCCTGGGGTTGGGCTTCTGCCAGTTGTGTCAATTCCTGTTGGAAGTGAGCTAGAGAGGTTACATGCTTAACCAACTTAGAGGTTTTCTGCCTGAAAAGAATCTCTGAACACAATGATAAGATTTATCCTTTCCTAAGTGAAAAACTTGTTGAAGGATTTTAAGGACTTTCCATTGGCTTGAGGCTGGCAAATGGAGTTTGCCATCCTCTGTCCTCTGACTGTAGCCATCCTGAGAGATGAAAATATACCCTCAAGAAGCAGCCCATTCTATTTCCACAGAGAAATACTGAGGTTTATTTTCTCTTATGGAGCCTTCCTATATTCGAAGGGCTTGAAGTGTGTTAATTCTTTGAGGCTTCCTCACCTTTGACTTAGCTGTCTGATCAGATAACCTGTTTCCTTTGGCTACTTCATCTGTTCTCTTTTGATGTTCCTTACAATGTGTCCCTGCCATTTTTCATGGAAGGAAAACTGAGGATAATAACCAGTTAATTTCTGGTGATATTTTATAGGAGAAGCATTAGTGGTAAGATTTCTTTCTGCTTTTTATTATAAGTTGTATTTCATACAGGTATTCAATTTATATCACCCTCCTTCATTATTTTAATATAAAGCCTTCTCCACTTTATATCAGTGGAAAACAGGCCACCTGGTGCCAGGAAAGCACATGGATTGCCATTTTAATGATGATGATGAAAAGCACTTGTTTGGGTGGTACTCACGTGCCAAACACTGTTATTTGGCTCAAAGTACCAGTTTTTTATTCTTCTCTAAATGTAGTGATAAAATAAAATAAAATTCTTAGTTAAGAAGACTTTATCTCATTCAAGTATGTATTATGAAATTTTGTTGACACTTAAGTGTCTCTGACTTACCTAGAATATTGAAATTTTTCATGAATTCAATTTGAACACTGTAAAGAAACTTTTTTTTACTAAAAGCCTTTGTGAGGCAGAATAAGATTTATGAAATGTCTTTATAATATGGAAAAATGTGTTAATGATGTTTGTAGTAATCCCTCTGAACACAGCATTCTCAATTCCCGGTATTCACCCTGAGTTACTCAGGGGAAATTGGTATCTCTGTAAACAGGCAGAAGAAAGTGCAGAGTGAAGGTGCACAACATAGCACAGAAATGTTTTCCACATGCACCTATTAGGGTCTTAATGTAATGGACTGTTATTTGCGTGGCTACATACTTACTGAATCTAGTCATGCTATTTTCTGGCAGCTAAAGGCATCTGTTACCCATTAATTTTATATAATTATTTTCTTGGTGGAAAAATAAATCCTTTTTAAATTTACTGTAAATTAAGAGATTAGATTTGTAATCTTCAATTTTTTAATGTTAAAGCAAATCAGAGAAAAGCCATGTGTGTATATTGTATGCATTTTCCTACCTATCGAAATTCTTGTACTGCCCTGAAATATCAAGGACTTAATAACGGAGCAAATCCTAAATCTGGTCTTTGCTTCTTGTTAGTAATCTGTCCATTTCAAAAATCATGGCAATTATGCTAAGCCATTGAAAAGATGTGGTTTTGACTAATTTTATCTGATTTTAAATGTTTTGTTACTTTTATTATGTTAATCTAAGAGCAAATATCCACATAACTGTTCATGCTTTCAAGAAATACTCATATTATGGACAGATGCAGTGGCTCATATCTGTAATCCCAGCACTTTGGGAGGCTGAGGTGGGTGGATTACTTGAGGTCAGGAGTTCGAGACAAGCCTGGCAAACATGATGAAACCTCATCTCTACTAAAAATACAAAAATTAACCAGGTGTGGTGGTGCATGCCTGTAGTCCCAGCTACTCTGGAGGCTGAGGGAGGAGAAGGGCTTGAATCTGGGAAGTTGAGGTTGCAGTGAGCTGAGATCACACCACTGCACTTCAGTCTGGGTGATGGAGTGAGACTCTGTCTCCAAAAAAAAAAAAAAGAAATATATATGTTGGATTACAGTATAGTAGAATCCTCTAAAATTAGCAGAAGTTCATTATTAAATTTATTGTTTTCAAAATTTTTCAATTGTGAAAATGAAAAATTAGGTATGCTTTTTCATGATAATTTTAATTCTAGGAGGGTACCTAGGATAATGTAAAACAGGGTCATCAGAATGGTGCAGACATGCTGATTTAATTAGAATGAGTTCAGCCTTTTTGGTAGACTATTGGTATCCCAGAGGCTGACCATTCACTACAGCTTACTAAATGTTGCCTCATAAGGCTGATACAAGAGTGCTTGGGTGGCTCACGCCTGTAATCCCAGCACTTTGGGAGGCCGAGGCGGGTGGATCATGAGGTCAGGAGATCGAGACCATCCTGGCTAACAAGGTGAAACCCCGTCTCTACTAAAAATACAAAAAATTAGCCGGGCGCGGTGGCGGGCGCCTGTAGTCCCAGCTACTCGGGAGGCTGAGGCAGGAGAATGGCGTGAACCCGGGAAGCGGAGCTTGCAGTGAGCCGAGATTGCGCCACTGCAGTCCGCAGTCCGGCCTGGGCGACAGAGCGAGACTCCGTCTCAAAAAAAAAAAAAAAAAAAAAGTGCTTGGGAAGGGAAGAGCATGGTCCGTTTAAATAATATGGAAGTGGGGAAGGGAACTGCTGGGTAGAGGAGGGCGCTGTCACTGGCCAGGGCTCCACCCCCACGGACCTAAGTGAGGACAGGCACTTCTGCCCTTGTGCCCAAATGTATTTTCCAGGACCACCCTGGCCCACCATGCCCCCATCCTGGGCCTATAAAAACCCGGGACTCTAGCAAGGCAGAGACACAAGTGACCAGATGTGGAGAGGAGCACATCGGTAGAGGAAGATGCAAGTGGCTGGTCCTCAAGAGGACGTCGAGAGGAGCACGCTGGCAGAAGAGCACACCCGCAGGCACCAGCACACCAGCAGGCTATCAACTGGTAGGACTAGGCTGAGTTTGGTCCGGGCAGTCGGAGGAGAGCCAGGGCCACCAAGCGGCCCAACTCCAGGGAAAGAACATCTCCCTTCTGCCTCCCCCATTGGCTGAGAGCTATGCCACTCAATAAAACTTTACACTCATTCTCCAAGCCCACGTGTGATCCGATTATTCTGGTACACCAAGGCAAGAAACCACAGGATACAGAAATCCCCCTGTCCTGGTGATAAGGAAGGGGGTCTAATTGAGCTGGTTAATACGAGCTGCCTATAGACGGCAAACTAAGAGAGCGCCCTGTAACACATGCCCACTGGGGCTTCAGGAACTGTAAACATTTACCCCTAGACACTGCCGTGGGGTCGGTCTGCCTATCTGTATGCTTCCCTAGTGCAGTGGAGCACCAAAGAAGTGAACCACACCCGCATCACACACTTTGTGAGGGGAACAAGGGAACCTTTCCCGTTTCAATGCCAGTGGGCTCTTTCTTTTCTTTTTTTTTTTTTTTTTTTTTTGAGGCGGAGTTTCGCTCTGTCGCCCAGGCTGGAGTGCAGTGGCGCGATCTCGACTCACTGCAAGCTCCGCCTCCCGGGTTCACGCCATTCTCCTGCCTCAGCCTCCCGTGTAGCTGGGACTACAGGCGCGCGCCACCATGCCCGGCTAATTTTTGTATTTTTAGTAGAGACGGGGTTTCACCGTGTTAGCCAGGATGGTCTCGATCTCCTGACCTCGTGATCCGCCCGTCTCGGCCTCCCAAAGTGCTGGGATTACAGGCGTGAGCCACCGCGCCCGGCCGCCAGTGGGCTCTTTCAACCAGACTGCCTTTTTCCTCTCATTGATGTGGTTGTGTTGTGGTCTCCTCTGTTTATCTTAAGCTATCTCAGATAAGGTGATTATTTATTGCATGACTAAGACCCCCCTTTTTTTCCTCTGCAATGGGATTCTCCTTGTCCTC
Organism: Homo sapiens; assembly: GCF_000001405.40. Lineage (NCBI taxonomy): Eukaryota > Metazoa > Chordata > Mammalia > Primates > Hominidae > Homo > Homo sapiens. The sequence continues at coordinate 64,956,440 of NC_000007.14, forward strand.
CCTACTGGAAGCAACATGTGGGAGGCAGAAATGATGACAATATACAAATATATTTCCTGCCATGTGTCCTCCATAAGCAGCTTACAGCATGGCCCATGTAGAAGTCACTTATTTCCAGGCCAGCTGGGATGTTTTTCTATCATGTATCCCTTTCTCTTAAAAGCGCCTCTGATTCACTTTAGCCCAATCAGGATAATCTCCCTTTTGATGAACACAAAAGCAACACATTAACAATCTGATTTTATGAATGATTTTCCAACACAGTCACACATTCTTTTGCAATCAAGGAAAAAGGATTCCACAGCAGGTGTGCAACAGACTGGCAATCCTGGGGAATATCTTAAAATTTTGCCTACCCACCTGAATAGACCTTTAAAATCATCTTTTAGTTGCTTTTGTTAGCAAAGCAAAGATATCTGCAAATAATAATTAACTACTTTCCAATTTTATTCATTAAAATATTAACTAACATTTTTTCTGGCTTATTTCTTATGTACCATTTGATACATTCACAAACACGCAGAACAATGAAAATGTATCTAATTATTCAATTTTTGTTAATTTTTATTAAAAGTGAGTGTTAATTATTTCCTTTCTGGTTAAAGAGGGTTTTTATTGTTGTACTCAGAAGTGCTATCTCTGGAGACATATTTGCCTGTGTTTTAATATTCTACTATTATGAGCAAGTCATTTCTACCCATAGCTCTGGTTCTTTCTCTGCAAAATAAGGATAAGTGTAATGCCTATGTTATCCAGTTACTGTGAGAATTAAATTTATTAACACATAAGTAGTATTATGGTTAGTGCTCAGTACAAATTAGCTATTAAGATATGTGTATACTGAATTATATTAACATGTTCTTTAACACAGAAATATCCTTCCATGAGTTTTTCAATCAATAAATATATTTAATTTTTTTTTTTTTTGAGATGGAGTTTCACTCTTGTTGCCCAGGCTAGAGTGCAATGGCACCATCTCGGCTCACTGCAACCTCCACCTCCTGGGTTCAAGCAATTCTCCTGCCTCAGCCTCCCAAGTCACTGGGGTTACGGGCACCTGCCACCACACCCAGCTAATTTTTGTTATTTTTAGTAGATAGGGTTTCACCATGTTGGCCATACTGGTCTCGAACTCCTGACCTCAGGCGATGCACCCCCCTCGGCCTCCCAAAGTGCTGGGATTACAGGTATGAGCCACCACACCTGGCCTTTTAAATTCATTTTTTAAAAAAAATATTGGATACACAATGGAATATTGTTCAGCCTTTAAAAAGGGGTAAATCCTATCATTTGAAACAATATAGATGAATTTAGAAGACATTATGCTAGATGGAATAACTGTGGCACAGAAAGACAAATACTGCAAGAATAAAGTTTAACTCAAAAAAGTAGAAAGTGGAATAATCTTTACCAGAGGCTGGGTGTGGTGGGAAGAAAACAGAGAGTTGTTGATCAAAGAATGCAAAGTTTCACATAGACAGGGTAAATATGTTTTGATATCTATTGCAAAGCAGGGTGACTACAATAAACAATAATTACTGTATATTTTAAAATAACTAAGAGTAAATTTCAAGTGTCTCACCACAAAAATGATAGGTGAGTTCATGTGTTATTTAACTCAACATAATCATATTATGTACATATACTCAAACTTCACATTGTACCTCATAATGTATATAACTCTTATTTGCCAATAAAAATATTAATAGTTTTTAAAAAAAGGATAGTATCATAAACATTCGACTACTATTACAGCCCCGGACTGACTAGAATAAACATGAGTTACAAATCACTGATGTGGCCACCTTGTTTTCAGGCTTAATATTGATCATGATCTAACAGAATCAACAAATAAGAGCTAATAAATTTCCTGTACACTTGTTATGTGCTGGGCAAACTTTGGGTACCCTTATTTGTACTAATTGCTTTAATTTTACCAAAACCCTAGGATTTAGGCAGTATGATCCTCACTGTACGGATGAAGAGTCAAGCACAGAGAGGTCAAGAAACTGTATTCATATCGTACAGCCCATAAATGGCAGAACTGGAATGCAATCAGGAACCACCTGATTCTAAGTTTCAATCTTAACCATATGCCCAACACCCTCTCATCCAATTATTATTCCTGATCTAACATTTTGGCTTTTAATTTTCTAATTTAGTAGAAATAAAGAGGAATTTTAAAATCAGTTTTTTGACAAAAATAGCAGACAGGAGGCAGAAATAGATTGCAGCTCCCACTCAGAGCAGTGTGTGGAAACTCGCATCATGAACTTTTGCTTCAGAACTACTGCAGGAATGAACCAGGAAAGCTGAGAGAACCCACAGACTTTCTGAAGGAAGCAAATTTCTCCTGCAGGATCTCAGAGACAGCCCAAATACTATGAGTGCCCAAGATGTGAAAGTGGGAAAAAGGAATCATCTGCTCTCATACACACACCCTCACTTGGGAACCTGAAAGTCTAGATCATGGGATAAGGACCTGACCTTACCTCGAGCTGAGTCAATTTAGAGAGATGAGCTAAATACAGAGGTAGAGGAAGCAGAAGAAGCCCTGTGGGCTCTCTGGGTCTTCAGGAAAGCTTTTAAAGACTTGTTTCAAAGGGGTCCTTGGAGAGGGCTGTCAAGGGAAGTGGGAAAAGACCACAGGGAGAAGGAAACTTCCAGCTGAACTTTCTAACAATTCTAACCAAACATGAATTCACCTGGCCAGAATTTGCAGGAGGGCATGAATCAGGTGTGCAGACTGCAAAGTCAGCAGGCACAAAAGGCCTGCTCGCTTTTGCAGCTAGGAGGCTGGTAGCCTTGGGCAAGTTCTCAGCCCTGCTCACCCACTGCCTGAAAGAAAACTCGGTGCTCTTGGTGCAGAGCATGGTGGGAGTGAGTCTGGTCTTTCAGGTTGTGTGGGAGCTGGGTGAGGACTGTAACTGCTGGCTTTCCCCACATCCCTGACAACCTTCATGACAGCAGGGGCAGCCATAATCCTCCTGGGAAAATAACTCCATTGACCTGGGAACAATGCCACCATTTCCTGCAGCAGCTGCAGCAAGCCCCGCCCAAAGAGAGTCTAAGCTCAGATATGCCTAACCATCCCCCACCTGATGGTCCCTCCCTACCTACTCTGGTAGCTGAAGACAAATAGCTTATACTCTTGGCAGTCTTAGGGCCCCACTCACCACCTGATCCTCCCTATACTACCAAAGCCATGCTCCCTTGAAAGCACCTCCTCCTGGCAGGTGGCCAACCAGCACAAAAATAGTGCATTAAACAACCAAACCTAAGTACCCTCAAGAAGTCCATTTCACCACCTGCCACCTCTACTGAAGCAGGTGCTAATATCCACATCTGAGAGACCTGAAGACAATTTACATCACAGGACTCTGTGCAGACAACCCCCACTACCAGCCCAGAGCTTGGTAGACTTGCTTGGGGGCTAGATCCAGAAGAGAAATAACAATCACTACAGCTCAGCTCTCAGGAAGCCACATCCCTAGGAAAAGGGGGAGAGTATTACATCAAGGGAATACCCCATGGGACAAAATAATCTGAACAAACAGCCTTGAACCTTAGAACTTCCCTCTAACATAGCCTACCCAAATGAGAAGGAACCAGAAAAACAATTCTGGTAATATGACAAAACAAGGTTCTTTAATATGCCCCCAAAATTATGCTAGCTCACCAGCAATGGATCCAAACCAAGAAGAAATCTCTGATTTATCTGAGAAAGAATTCAGAAGTTCAGTTATTAAACTAATCAAGGAGGCACCAGAGAAAATGAAGTCCAATTTAAGGAAATCAGAAAACATACAAAAATGAGGGAAGAAATCTTCAGTCAAATAGATAGCATAAATAAAAAACAATCACAACTTCAAGAAATAAGGAACTCACTTAGAGAAATGCAAAATGTTCTGGAAAGTCTCAGCAATAGAATCAAGCAAGTAGAAGAATGAACTTCTGAGCTCAAAGACAAGGTTTTTGGATTAACCCAATCCAACAATGACAAAGAAAAAAGAATAAAAAAAAAAAAAACTTCCAAGTAGTTTGGGACATGTTAAGTGACCAAACCTAAGAATAATTGGTAATTATTAGAAATAATTAGAAAGAAGACATATCTAAAAGTTTGTAAAACATATTTGGAGGAATAATTGAGGAAAACTTTCCTGGACTTGCTAGAGACCTAGCCATCCAAATACAAGAAGCTCAAAGAATATCAGGGAAATTCATCTAAAAAAGATCATCACCTAGGCATACTGTCATCAGGTTATCTAAATTCAAGATGAAGGAAAGAATCTTAACAGCTGTGAGGGAAAAGCACCAGGTAACTTATAAAGAAAAACTTATCAGATTAATGCCGATTTCTCAGCAGAGACCCTACAAGCTAAAAAGAATTGGGGCCCTATCTTCAAGCCTCCTTAAATAAAACAATAATTAGCCAAAAATTCTGAATCCAGTGAAACTAAGCTTCATAAATGAAGGAAATATACTGTCTTTTCCAGAAAAACAAATACTGAGAGCAGTCACTACTACCAAGCCAGCACTACAAGAACTGCTAAAAAGACCTCTACATTTTGAAACAAATTCTGGAAACACGTCAAAACAGAACCTCTTTAAAACATAAATCTCCCAGGATCTATAAAACCAAAATACAATAAAAAAAGGTATATAGACAACAAATAGCAAAATAAAAGGAATAGTACCTCACATCTCAATACTAACATCAAATGTAAATGGCCTAAACGCCCCACTTAAAAGATACAGAATTGCAGAATGGGTAAGAGTTCACCAGCCAGTTATCTGTTGCCTTCAAGAGACTCACCTAACATTAAGGACTCACATAAACTTAAGGTATTGGGGAGGAAAAGGATATTCCATGCAAATGGACACCAAAAGCAAGCAGGAGTAGCTATTCTTATATCAGATGGAACTTTAAAGCAATACCAGTTAAAAAGGACAAAGAGGGACATTTTATTTCGATGCAAGACTTTTTCCAACAGGAAAATACCACAATCCTAAATATGTATGCACCCAACACTGGAGCTCTCAAGTTTATAAAACAATTACTATTAGACCTAAAAAATAAGGCAGACAGCAACACGATAATAGTGGAAAACTTTAATACTCCACTGACAGCACTAGACAGGTCATCAAGAGAGAAAGTCAACAAAGAAACAATGGACTTTAGCTACACCCTAAACCAAATGGACTTAACAGATATTTACAGAACATTATACCCAACAACTGCAGAATATACATATATTTTTAATAGACACGTGGTTTCACCATGTAGGCCATGCTGGTCTTGAGCTTCTGACCTCTAGTGATTGTCCTGCTGTGGCCCCCCTAAGTGCTGAGATTACAGGCATGAGCCACAGGGCCCAGCCTATAGATGCAAAAATCCTTAACAAAATACTAGCTAACTGAATCCAACAACATATTAAAAAGATAATCCACCATAATCAAGTAGGTTTTATAGCTAATGATTCAGGGATGGTTTAACATACCCAAGTCAATAAATGTGATACACCACATAAACAGAATTTTTTTAAAAAATTACATAAGTATTTCAATAGATGGAGAAAAGCATTTGACAAAATCCAGCATCACTTTATGATTTAAACCATCAGCAAAACTGGCCTACCAAGGACATACCTTAATATAATAAAAGGCATCTATGACAAACCTACTGCCAACATAATACTAAATGGGGAAAAGTTGAAAGCATTTCCTCTGAGAACTGGAACAAGACAAAAATGCTTACTCTCACCACTTCTATTCAACATAGTACTGGACATCCTAGCCAGAATGATCAGACAAGAGAAAGAAATAAAGGGCATCCAAATCACTAAAGAGGAGCTGAAACTAATTGTTTCCTTATGATATAATTGTATACCCAGAAAACACTAAAGCCTCCTTCAAAAAGCTCCTAGAACCAATAAATAAATTAAGCAAAGTTTCAGAATACAAAATCCATGTGCACATATTAGTAGCTTTGCTATATACCAAAAGCGACCACGCTGAGAATCAAATTAAGAACTCAACCCCTTCTACAATAGCTGCACAAAAAATAAAATACTTAGGAATATACCTAACCAAGGAAGTGAAAGACCTCTACAAGAAAAACTACAAAATGCTGCTGAAAGCAATAGATGACACAAATAAAAACACATCCCATGCTCATAGATGGGTAGAATCAATACTCTAAAAATGACCATACTGCCAAAAGCAATCTACAAATTCAATACAATTCCCATCAGAGTACTGACATTATTCTTCAAATAACTATGAAAAAACAATCCTAAAATTCATATGGAACCAAAAAAAAAGCTTGCATAGCCAAAGCAAGACTAAGCAAAAGAAACAAATCAAAAGGCTTCGTATTACCCAACTTCAAACAACACAATAAGGCCACACTCACCAAAACAGCATGGTACCGGTATAAAAATAGGGACATAGACAAACAGAACAGAATGGAGAACCCAGAAATAAACACAAATAGTTACACCCAACTGATCTTTGACAAAGCAAACCAAAACATAAAGTGGGTAAAGGACACCCTATTCAACAAATGGTGCTGGGATACTTGGCAAGCCACATGTAGAAGAATGAAACTTGATCTCATCTCTCACCTTATACAAAAATCAACTCAAGATGGATCAAGGACTTAAATCTAAGACCTGAAACTATAAAAATTCTAGAAGATAACATCAGAAGAACCCTTCTAAACATTGGCTTAGTCAAGGATTTCATGACCGAGAACCCCAAAGCAAATGCAATGAAGACACAGATAAATAGCTGGGACTTAATTAAACTAAAGAGCTTTTGCATGGCCAAAGGAAGTGAGCAAAGTAAACAACAACCCACAGAGCGGGAGAAAATCTTCACAATTTATATATCTGACACAGGACTAATGTCCAGAATCTGCAACAAACTGAAACAAATTAGCCAGAAAAAAAAAATCTCGTCAAAAAGTGGGCTAAGGACATAAATAGACAATTCTCAAAAGAAGATATAAAAATGGCCAGGAAACACATGAAAAAATGCTCAACATCACTAATGATCAGGGAAATGCAAATCAAAACCATAACGTGATACCACCTTGCTCCTGTAAGAATGGCCATAATAAAAAAATAAAAAAATAATAAATGTTGGTGTGGATGGAGTGAAAAGGAAACACTTCTACACTGCTAGTGGGAATGTAAACTAGTACAACCACTATGGAAAACAGTGTGGAGATTCCTTAAAGAACTAAAGGGAGAACTACCATTTGATCCAGCAGTCCTACTATTGGGTATCTACCCAGAGGAAAAGAAGTTATTATTTAAAAAAAAAAAAAAAAACTTGCACACGCATGTTTATAGCAGCATAATTTGGAATTGCAAAAATGTGGAAACAACTCAAATGCCCATCAATCAACAAGTGGATAAAGAAACTGTGGATATATATACATATATATATATATATATGTATGTGTATATATATATATATGTATGTATATATATAATTGAATACTACTCAGAAATGGAAAATCAAACATTGTATGTTCTCACTCATAATTGGGAGCTAAACTATAAGGATGTAAAGGCATCAGGTAAAAGACTACAAATTGGGTTCAGTGTATACTACTCAGGTGATGGGTGCACCAAAATCTCAGAAATCACCACTAAAGAATTTACTCATGTAACCAAATACCACCTGTTAAACAAAATTTATGGAAATAAAAAACTTAAAAAAAAAAAAAAGACTGAAAGCGAACTCAGTTCATCCAGCCTTGTTTTCTCATTTTGCAGGAGAAAGGTTGGAGACAGTGCCAACTTCACATAGCCTTTAAGAGATCAACTCCAGACCTCAAATCACACCCTCTGACCCCAAGCCAATGGTCCTTTTTTGCCTCCCAGTATTACTCTGTCTCTTCAAACAAGAAGAAAGAGCCAAGTTGAGAAGGAGAGTGGTCACACCCACACCTAGATTCTATTCTCCTGGGCACTGCCTTCCCTGTGGGACCTACCTATTTAATTCCAGTGCTCATGTTATGCCCAAACCCTGGAAGAATGTGACCTTTAAATCTCTGTGCACCCCAGGAACTAGCAGACATTAAAAGTAATAATAATGGGCTGGGCACACAGGCTTGTGCTTGTGGTCTCAGCTATTCGGGAGGCTGAGGAGGGAGAATATGTTAAGCCCAGAAGTTCAAGGCTGCAATGAGCAATGTTTGCGCCATTGCACTCCAGCCTGAGTGCAGAAAAAGTAATAATGACAAAATAAAAAGAGAAATTTACCAATTACTAAGGAAGTCTAGAAAGGCTAGGTGTACCCCCTCTAAATCTAAAATAACAGTTTAAAAATAAAAATATTTTATTGGTAAAAATAAATAAGATAAAAACCACTTTCTTTTTACCCTGAGATAGTATGTAGAACTTGATTTTTGGTTGAAAGCACTTATTACTAAGCCTAACACAAATAATTTGGCAAATGGGTTCTAACAATAATATGTCTCTCATGACTTAAAAAAGCCACTAATTTTACTTTTGAAATATATTTAATTTTTATATTAAAGCTAAGATGAACCTATTATTACATAGAAAATTTGTGGTCTGCATATGCCTCCCCATCCACTGAGTGGTCTACAGTTTCTGAAAGTTTCAGAAACACTAATATAAGAATACTTTTTCTGATTGAATAATTTAAGGATATTGTTTTCTCAGTGACTAAAATGAAATAGATTGGAATTACAAATCAGTCACTTACAATGTAATTTTAAATGTTATTTAATGAACACGTGAAGTTTTTTAAAACTCATCTGAATAACTTATTTCGATTGACTTTTTTCTATTAGAAAATATATTAAAATTTCTGTTACTACAAGCCTATGAATTTTATTCAAATCTAAATATAGTGCTAATCTTAAAAGATCTCTTTGTTTAGGATTATGAAAGCCTATTCTCTACATACACTCAGAAGATAAATAACCGCTTTCCAGTAAACTCAATGGGGCAACTGTGACTCACAATCATAACCTATTAAAATATTAATACTATTATCTAGGTAAAACTTTTAGGTATCTGCATGTTCAGGTTGTTTAACTTATATAATTCAGAAACTATAAATTTTTATAATCTATAAAAACATTTAAAAAGATAAAGTATCAATTTCTTTTTGTCAGTTTTGAAATACTGACATTATTTCTAGTTGACATAACACTAGAATTCAGATGCTGTGGCTGTAGAAAATAGAAATGTCATGGTTTACTTGGTTTTACTTCCTACCTTCCTATTTCACACAAACAAAGCAGCACAAGGGAAGCCAGAAATGCTACACCTTGATTGCAAAAAAACCAGAACCCTTCTAGAGACAATATATGTGTCAGCATAATAACTTGAAATTCATGGCATCTTTTGTTGAAGTAGAGGCTCCAACAAGAGGCTGAATTAATCAACAAAAGGCTGAATTAATTTGCATTCTCACAAAGACTGTGTAAACATTCCCTATTCTCCACAACATGCTATTTTTTTTTTTACTTTTTAATAACAGCCATTTTAACTGGTGTGAGATGGTATCACATTGTCATTTTGATTTAATCTCTTTAATGGCTTGAGATGTTGGGCAACTTTTTGCATGTTTCTTGACAGCTTTTATATCTTCCTTTGAGAAGTATCTATTGATATATTCTGTGCTTTTTTCCTATTACATTTCTTATAGATTTTGTATATTAATTTTTTTGTTGTATGCAGTTTGCAAATATTTTTCTCCATGCTGTAGCTTGTCCATTTACTTTGTCAAATTTCTTTTGCTGTGCAGGAGATCTAGTTTAATTAGGTGTCAATTTATATTTTTGTTGCATTTACTTTTAAGGTGTTAGTCTCAAATTGTTTTCAGAGGCCAGTGTCCACAAGAGTACTTTCTAGGTGTTCATATAGGATTTTCATAGCTTGAAACTTCATGTTCAGTTTTTAATCTATCTTGAGTTACATTTTTTATATGCTGAGAGGTAAGAGTTGTTTTTTTCTTCTGCATGTGACTAACCATATAGTCCATTATTTATCAGTACCATTTATCAGATGGAAAGTTATTTCCCCTTTATTTCTGTTGACTTTGTCAAAAATAAGTTGGTTGTAGGAGTGTAGCTTTATTTCAAGTCTCTCTCTTCTGTTCCATTGGTCTACATGTTTATTTTTGTCCGAGAACCATGCTATATTGGTTACTGCCACTTGTAGTACAGTTTGAAGTCAGGTAAAGTGAGGCTTCCAGGTTTATTCATTTTGTTTAAAGATGCCTTGGCTATTTGGGCTCTTTTATTCAATATGAATTTAAAACCATTGTTTTTAATTCTACAAAAAATTGCATTGATAGTTTGATAGAAAGAGCATTTAATTTACAAGTTGCTTTAGGCATCATGGACATTTTAATTATATTGATTCTTCAAATCTATGAGCATGGAATGTTTTCCATTTGTATGTGTTGTCCCTGATATCTTTCAGCAGTGTTTTGTAGTTCTTTTTTTTTTTTTTTTTTTTTTATTGATCATTCTTGGGTGTTTCTCGCAGAGGGGGATTTGGCAGGGTCATAGGACAATAGTGGAGGGAAGGTCAGCAGATAAGTGAACAAAGGTCTCTGGTTTTCCTAGGCAGAGGACCCTGCGGCCTTCCGCAGTGTTTGTGTCCCTGGGTACTTGAGATTAGGGAGTGGTGATGACTCTTAACGAGCATGCTGCCTTCAAACATCTGTTTAACAAAGCACATCTTGCACCACCCTTAATCCATTCAACCCTGAGTGGACACAGCACATGTTTCAGAGAGCACAGGGTTGGGGGTAAGGTCACAGATCAACAGGATCCCAAGGCAGAAGAATTTTTCTTAGTACAGAACAAAATGAAAAGTCTCCCATGTCTACCTCTTTCTACACAGACACGGCAACCATCCGATTTCTCAATCTTTTCCCCACCTTTCCCCCCTTTCTATTCCACAAAACCACCATTGTCATCATGGCCCGTTCTCAATGAGCTGTTGAGTACACCTCCCAGACAGGGTGGTGGCCAGGCAGAGGGGCTCCTCACTTCCCAGTAGGGGCGGCCGGGCAGAGGCGCCCCTCACCTCCCGGACGGGACGGGGCGCCTGGCCGGGCGGGGGGCTGACCCCCCTGCCTCCCTCCCGGACGGGGCGGCTGACCGGGCTGGGGGCTGACCTCCCCGCCTCCCTCCTGGATGGGGCGGCTGGCCGGGTGGGGGCTGACCCCCCCCCCACCTCCTTCCCGGACGGGGCGGCTGGCCGGGCAGAGGGGCTCCTCTCTTCCCAGTAGGGGCGGCTGGGCAGAGGCGCCCCTCACCTCCCGGACGGGGCGTCTGGCTGGGCGGGGGGCTGACCCCCCCACCTCCCTCCCGGACAGGGCGGCTGGCCGGGCGGGGGGCTGACCCCCCCACCTCCTTCCCGGACGGGGCGGCTGGCTGGGCAGAGGGGCTCCTCTCTTCCCAGTAGGGGCGGCTGGGCAGAGGCGCCCCTCACCTCCCGGACGGGGCGTCTGGCTGGGCGGGGGGCTGACCCCCCCACCTCCCTCCCGGACGGGGCGGCTGGCCGGGCGGGGGGCTGACCTCCCCACCTCCCTCCCGGACGGGGTGGCTGGCCGGGCAGAGGGGCTCCTCACTTCCCAGTAGGGGCATCCGGGCAGAGGCGCCCCTCACCTCCCGGACGGGGCGGCTGGCCGGGCGGGGGCTGACCCCCCCACCTCACCTCCTGGACGGGGCGGCTGGCCAGGCGGGGGGCTGACCCCCCCACCTCCCTCCCGGACGGGCGGCTGGCCGGGCGGGGGGATGACCCCCCCCACCTCCCTCCCGGATGGGACGGCTGGCCGGGCGGGGGGCTGACCCCCACCTCCCTCCCAGACGGGGTGGCTGCCGGGCGGAGACGCTCCTCACTTCCCAGACGGAGTGGCTGCCGGGCGGAGGGGCTCCTCACTTCTCAGACGGGGCGGTTGCCAGGCAGAGGGTCTCCTCACTTCTCAGATGGGGCGGCCGGGCAGAGACGCTCCTCACATCCCACACGGGGCAGCAGGGCAGAGGCGCTCCCCACATCTCAGACGATGGGCGGCCTGGCAGAGACGCTCCTCACTTCCTAGATGGGATGGCGGCCGGGCAGAGACGCTCCTCACTTTCCAGACTGGGCAGCCAGGCAGAGAGGCTCCTCACATCCCAGACGATGGGCGGCCAGGCAGAGACGCTCCTCACTTCCCAGACGGGGTGGCGGCCGGGCAGAGGCTGCAATCTTGGCACTTTGGGGGGCCAAGGCAGGCAGCTGGGAGGTGGAGGTTGTAGCGAGCCGAGATCACGCCACTGCACTCCAGCCTGGTCACCATTGAGCACTGAGTGAACGCGACTCCGTCTGCCATCCTGGCACCTTGGGAGGCCGAGGCTGGCGGATCACTCGCGGTTTGGAGCTGGAGACCAGCCCGGCCAACACAGCGAAACCCTGTCTCCACCAAAAAAATACGAAAACCAGTCAGGTGTGGCAGTGCGCGCCTGCAATCGCAGGCACTCGGCAGGCTGAGGCAGGAGAGTCAGGCAGGGAGGTTGCAGTGAGCCGAGATGGCAGCAGTACAGTCCAGCTTTGGCTCGGCATCAGAGGGAGACCGTGGAAAGAGAGGGAGAGGGAGGCCGTGGGGAGAGGGAGACCGTGGGGAGAGGGAGAGGGAGAGAGAATTACAGTTTTTAAAAAGTAGACTGTAGTTCTCCTTCTAAAGATATTTTACCTCCTTGAGTCAATCCATTCCTAGGTATATTATTTTTTGTTTGTGGCTATTTTAAATAGAGCTCTGTTCTTGATTTTGTTCTCTGCTTAAATGTTATTCAAGTGTTGAATGTTATTCAAGGTGTATAGAAATGCCAGTCATTTGTGTACATTGATTTGGTATCCTGACACTTTGCTGAATCATTTTTTAGGCTTGGGAGTCTTTGGGAGAAATCTTTAACGTTTTTCAAGTAGAGAATTATATCATCAGTGAAGATAATTTGACTTCCTCTTTTCTTATTTGGATGCCTTTTTCTTTTTTCATCTTGTTGGATTGCTCTGGCTAGGACTTCCAGAACTATGTTGAATAGGAATATTTAGAGTGGACATTGATCTTATTTTTATTTGTAAGAATGCATCAAGCTTTTTCCTGTTCAGTATAATGTTGCCTGAGGATAATGTTGCCTGAGGATGGCTCTTATTATTGTGAGGTATTTTTTTCAATGCCTTGTATGTCGCATGTTGAGAATACTTTTATGAACATTAAATTTCCTTTAATGATTTTTCCACATCTAGTGTAATAATTATATGGTTTAATCATTTTAATTATCTTTATATGGTGAGTCACACTTATTGACTTGCATATGATAAAACATCCTTGCATTCATGAAATGAAACTCACATGATTGTGGCAAAATAACTTTTTGATTTGTTTATGAACTCAGCTTACTAGTATTTCATGAAAGATTTTTGTTTCAATGTTCATCAGGCATACTGAACTATAGATTTTTTTGTTGTCTTAACTAAATTTTGGTATCCAGATGATGCTGATTTCATATAACAACTTAGGAAGGATTAGCACAAGCTCAACTTTGGATATGTGGTAGAATTTAGCTGTGAATTCATCTGATCCAGGGCCTTTTATACTATGTAGGGTATTTTTAATTACAAATTTAATTTTGTTATAAATTTTTCCTCTGTTCAAGACTTCTCTTTCTTCTTGGTTCAGTCTCGGGAGATTGTGTATATGAAGTTTATCTATTTTTTAAAAAATTTTCTAGTTTGCATGCATAGAGATATTTATAGTAGTATCTGAGGATGTTCTGTATTTATATGGATTAGTTGTGATTTCACAAATCTAACATTCAAATAAATACAGAATAAAAGTTTCAAAAAAATTCAACATTCCCTCACAATAAATCTCTGAAAAAAATAGGTACAGGACAAATGCATCTCAAGCCAATAAATGCCATGTATAATAAAAAAATGCAAAGCTAACAACATACTAAACAGGAAAGTGTTGTAAGCTTTTACTCTAAGAACTAGAACAAGACAAGGATGCCCACTTCCTTCAGACTTACTGAATGTAGTACTAAATATTCAAGACAGAGAAATTAGAGAATAAAATAAAAGGAATCCAGATTGAAAAAACCAAAAAGTTAAATTATCCCTCTTTGCACATAACATAATCTACAGTATAGAAAAGACTAACACTTCACTAAGAACCACTAGAATAAACAAATTTATTAAACTTGCAGAATTTAAAATCAACATTAAATAGTATCAGCTTTATACATTAAAAATTAACTACCTCAAAATGAAATTTAAAAACAATCCCATCTACAATAACTGTAGTAACTATACTTTGAAATCAATTTAATCAAAATGTTAAAACACCATATATTATAATCTAAAGAACATTAAAGTAAAAATTAAATAATAAACAAATGGAAAAATAGTACTTATTCACAAATTTGCCTTATTAATACACTAAATATCTTTATTACACAAAATGATCTACAGATATAGTGCAAACTCTATCAAAATACCAATGACATACTTAATAGAAATTTTTTAAAAATATCTAAAATTTGGCAGGGCATGGTGGCTCATGCCTATAATCCCAGCACTTTGGGAGACTGAGGTGGGTGGATCACCTGAGGTTGGGAGTTCGAGACCAGCCTGACCAACATGGAGAAACCCCATCTCTAGTAAAAATACAAAATTAGCCAGGCATGGTGGCACATGCCTGTAATCCTGGCTACTCGGGAGACTGAGGCAGGAGAACTACTTGAACCTGGGAGGCAGATGTTGCGGTGAGGTGAGATCATGACATTGCACTCCAGCCTGGGCAACAAGAGTGAAACTGTCTCAATAAATAAATAAATAAATAAATAAATAAATAAATAAACAAACAAACAAACCTAAAATTTATATGGTACCACAAAAGACCCTGAATAGCTAAAGCAACCAAACAGAAAAAAAATAAAAAAATAAAAATAGGCTGAAGGTATCACTATACCTGACTTTGAAATATACTACAAAGTATAGTAACCAAAACAGTATAGTACTTGAATAAAAACAGACACATAGGCCAATGGAGCAGAAAAGAGATCAGAAATATATCCACGTATTTAAGCTAACTTATTTTATAATTTCTTTTAAAAAGGACAGTCTCTTCAACAAATGGGGTTGAGAAAACTTTATATCCACATGCAGAGAAATAAAATGAGATCCTCTTCTCACACCACATATAAAAATCAACTAAAATTAGATACTTAAATGTAAGGCTTAAAACTCAGAAATTACCATAAAAATATAGATTGAAAGCCCATAACATTGATCTAGGCTGTGACTTTTATTATTTAACCTCAAAATCCAAGGAAATCAAAAGAAAAATAGATACGTTAGATTACTTGAAATTAAAAAGCTGCTTCATGGAATCTGATACAATCAACAAAATGAGACAACTGAAAAAAATGGGAGAAAATATTTGCAAATCATACGTGGGACAAAGGGTTAATAACAGAAACATATAAACAACTTAAATGACTATACAACAGAAGACAAATAACTATTAAAAATGAGCAAAAGGCTTAAATATTTTTCAAGAAAAGACAAATGGTCAAGATATATAAAAAATGCTCAATATCAACTATAATCAGGAAAGCAAAAAGAAAAACCAGGAGATTATCAACTCACTCCTGTTAGAATTACTCTTACTAAAAAGAAAAGAAAGTGTTAGTCAAAGTATGAAGAAAAGGAATGCTTGCACACTGTTGGTTTGAATGTGAATGAGGAGAGTCACTATGAAAAACAAAAATTTGTCAAAAAATTTAAAATTAAACCACAATACAGCAATTTTACTGTATATATCCAAAACAAGTGAAATCAGAATGAAGAAACATTTATGCTTCTATGTTGTTTGCAACACTCTTCACAATTACCAAAATACACAATCAACAGTTCAACATTTATGAGTAAATAAAGACAATGTGGTACATATACACAATGGAATACTCTTCGTCTTTAAAAAAGAAATTTCTATTATTTTCAATCACATGAATTAACCTGGAGGACATCATATTTGTCTACATGAGCCAGACACAAAGATTATTTTTCATGATTTTACTTACACAGGGATTCTAAGAAACTTAATCCCATTAAAGTAGAGAGTAAAGTGGTGACCACCAGACACCAAGGTATTTAGAAAAAAGGGGGGTTTTGGAAGATGTTGGTCAAAGAATACATAATTATAGTTTAATAGGAGGAATAAGTTTAAGAGATCTTTTTGTACAGCATAGTGACTACAGATCATAATAATGTAGTTGTGTTTTTGAAAAACATTGACAATGTCACATACTCTGACCACAAAAATGTTAACGATGTGAGGTAAAGCCTTAATTACCTAGAATTAAGCATTTGACAACATATACTTCCAAACATCATGTTTTGCAGAATAAAGTACACATTTATTTATTACAGATGGTAATGGCATGAAAGACACTAAAAGGGCAGCTGTTGCTTATGGTCTCATGACTGGCCACCCTGTGAACACAATAAATGAATTTGCATAAAAATAACAGAAAATGTTTAATCAAAAAGCTGCCATAATCTTCAAAAGTTTTCTAGAGAAAATGACCAAGAAGCTGACTATAGTTAGGTGACAAAAAGCAATAACTGTACACTCACCTTCACCCACTAAAAAAATAATGAGTGAAAAATTCCTCGGAATTGTAATATCAATATAAAAAAGAAATATCATTCCAAATATCAAATCCACAGAAGTCATTTTATTATTTTGCAACCTTTAAATTTCACATTTAAAAATAAAAGATTCTGCATGGAAATGTATGTTATGCTATATCATAGAAAATTAAATTTAAAATTCTTCACTTACCATTTGCTCTCTTATAACTTAATTTCTAAGATGTATTTTCTAGCAAATTTTATATTTGCCACAATATATTTGCACTCCAGCCTGGGCAATAAGAGTGAAACTCTGTTTAATAACTCCGTTTAAAAATTTAATAAGTTTTTCCTTTTACAAACAGAAAAAAATAATGCTAACTGATTTAATCCTCTCACCTGTGGACAATGTATGCCTTTTATCTTAATTAACTGATCAGAAAGTTATATTGATAAGTACTCTCCAATAAAAAGCAATTTTTGAGTGCATTAAAAATACCAACTTTCTCATCAAAACCTACAAAGTACTGTATAAAATGACATGGCATGAAGACAACAGTGAGCAAAGTGTAGCCATCACATAGAAAAAGAAGGAGAAGGGCTGTGATGAATACACAGAAGTCACATAATAAGACAAACAAAACTAAAGGTAATTAGGAAATAAAAGAACCAAAATTTCTTTTTAAATTCAGCAAAATTTAGCTTTGCAGCATGGAAAAAAAATGTTATCTGCACATGAAGAATCAATGTTATTTCTTCACTATTGGTATTTTCCATCTCTGACTTGAAGTTACAAACTAACTCCAGCAGGAATGTTTACAGGTTATTATGGAACATCTGTTACACAGCAAGCACTGTCATATTTGTTTGCCACATATATATATAAAAACATCCTCATGACTTATGAAGCATTCCTAGTTCTTACCTGAACAAATTGGCTCAATAAATAAATAAATTTACTTATGTCAATTATAACAAGAGAAAAGAATAAGAAATATAGGCTTATATAGGATTCTCCAATTAAAAGAACAAATGGAATGTTCTAACTAAATATAATTAATACACAATTTTGGAAATACATCTAAAACTTATCTTGTGTGCAGTACTGAATTTTATAAAAATCATTCTTATAATCCATGAACAGCTCACATAATACCTCATAAAGTATAAAAGAAAAAAATGGTAAGAAACAAGAAAATTATAGGTCTAGCATGACTAACAGGCAAGTAAAAACATAATTTGCATGGAGAGATTCTGAATCATAAGTCAGAAGATTTGGCAGTAATGAATTCAATACAAAGCAGAGTATACATTTACTTTCAGCATTTTTGAAGTTTTCAGTTGTCTAGTACATTACTTTATTAAAATATTTGTTTTGCTCCAATATTGCTCTTTTCTTTTGAAAATAGGTACAAACTCACACTCACACAAAAACAGTCCATAACTTTCTTGCACTTAACATTTATTTTTAGAGTAATATATGGGTATAGTTAACTCTATGTAAACCAATACTAAAATTCTGTTATGTTTGCAGGCAGAGAGACATGTTCAAAGAAAAATACATAACAAAATTTTTAAAATGTTTAAGCAGGACTCAGAATTTTAAGACTCAGGATTTTATTTATACTTGTATATAATTTTTATTATACCCATGAAAATGACCCTATAGTCAATAGCAATTTACTTGTACATTTTAAAGTAACTAAAAGTGTAGAATCGGTTTGTAATACAAATGATAAATGCTGGAGTTGATGGATATTTCATTTGCCCTGATGTGATTAATACCTATTCATATGCCTGTATCAAAATATGCCATATATGGCATAAATATATACACACACTATGTACCCACAAAAGTTAAGAAAAATATGTTTAAATAAGAAAAAGAATAAAAATTTAACCTATGGGAACAATGTTCTTTAATTAAGTTCTTTAGTTTAAAGTCACTGGCAAGAGAAATTATTAGAGATGTTAGTCCACTCTGTTATTAAATAGTACATTGTTACTATCTTTTACCAACACCCTTGAGTAAGGTGGGATAGGTTGAAGTTAGTGGCATGATAATACTTCACTGAATGCACAATTGGTCTTAACATGTTAAAAAAAAAGTTTAATTAAAAAATTAAGTTCACAATAATCTAAAATTTTTTAAATGTGCTGCATTTTATTACATAAAAGTACAGTTAGTAAAATGATATACTACTAATTTTAATTTAATTTTAACTAAAATAAAAGATATTTTCACTAGAATGCAGAATATTCCTCTGAACACTTCCCTCATACATCATTCAATATTATAAATTAAACACAAAGAGCCTCTCCACTTAGATTTTTATCATGCATCCTACATTGTAATGTCTTTACTCTTCCATAGAAAAGGTAAAAAATATTGCCCACCTAACAAAAAAGAATGTCTCATATCTTTGATGAAGCAGCAATTGATCACATGCTTTCACATGTGAATACAATAGAATGAAAAGCATGAAGTAATTTGAGTTGAATTACATCATTCACTTTTTAAAAATTTTGTAATTTTTTCAAAGAAAAAAGTATACTTTAAATGTAATTATAACTAAAAATATTTCTACCTCTTTTAAAGTTATATATAAATAATTTATCTACCAACTTTAATTTTGGATTATTTTCTGTACTCAGCACACTGATTAGTTCAATGTCTAAAATGTCAGTGCCTTAGATATTTCTACTGTGAATTCTCTGATATTTACACACACTTAATTTTGGATTAAATTTCTTTTATACTTACTGCATCTGCAAAAATATATTTTAGTATAAATCCCCTGGTGTTTTCTAAGCAGTAGTTTTTGAAAAATGTTTTTCCAAATATATTACATTTGCAGTTTTTCTCCAATATAAACTCCCTGATGTTGATCAAAGTTTGAGCACTGCTTCAGGATTTTCCTTTAGTACATAATGTGTACAATAAAATCTGTGATACAAATAAAGACACTACAACCCTCTTTATGTACCTAATGTTTGTCTTCAAAATGAAAACCTTCTTCTCTTTAAAGGCTTATATTTGTCAGGCACAGTGACTCACACCTATAATCCCAGCACTTTGGGAGGCAGAGGCATGTGGATCACTTGAGGTCAGGAGTTCAAGATCAGCCTGGCCAACATGGTGATAGCCAGTCTCTACTAAAAATAAAAAAATTAGCCAAATGTGGTGGTGTGTGCCTGTAGTCTCAGCTACTCTGGAGGCTAAGGCAGGAGAATTGCTTGAACCTGGGAGGCAGAGGTTGCAGTGAGCCAAGATCACACCACTGCACTCCAGCCTGGGTGACAGAGCAAGACTCCATCTAAAAAAAAAAAAAAAACTTTCATTTTCTGATTTTACACTAATTGCTTTTATAATGCTTTTATTAAGCACTAACTCTCTAATGTTGAGTAAGATGTAAGCAGATATTAATGGCTTTTCCACATTTATATTTGTACAATTTTTCTGAAGTGCTTTCCTGTGCTATAAGGTGTGAAAAATTAAAAGTTTTGCCACATTCTTCACACTTCTGGGAGTTTCCTCCAGTATAAATTATCTTACCTACAATCAAGTGTGACAACCATTTAAAGGCTTTGTACCATTCTTCATATTTTTAAGATTTCTCACCAGTATGATTTATTTTATGTTTAGAAAAGTTTGAAGGTGTTGTCAAAATCATTGTCACATCTTTCAGGTTTGTAAAGTTTCCAGTATTAATTTTCTTATGTTTAGTAAAGTTTGAGATTTAGTTACAAGCATTGCCACATTCTTCACATTTGCAGGGTTTCTCTCAAATATGAATTGTCTTATGTGGAGTAAGGGTTGATGATAGGTTAGCTTTGCCACATTCTTCACATTTGTAGGGTTTCTCTCCAGTACGATTTTTCTTATGTGCAGTAAGGTTTGAGGATAAGTTAAAAGCTTTGCCACATTCTTCACATTTGTAGAGTTTCTCTCCAGTATGAATTATATTATGTATAGCAAGGTGTGAGAACTGTTTAAAAGCTTTACCACATTCTTTACATTTGTACAGTTTCTCTCCAGTATGAATTACCTTATGTTTAGTAAGCGTTGAGGACAGGTTAAAGGCCTTGTCACATTCTTCACATTTGTAGGATTTCTCTCCTGTATGAATTTTTTTATGGTCTGTAAGGTTTGAAGATCGGTTAAAAACTTTGCCACATTCTTCACATTTGTAGCATTTCTCTCCAGTGTGAATTATCTTATATGTAGAAAGGGTTGAAGACTGGCTAAAAGCTTTAGCACATTTTTCACATTTGTAAGGTTTCTCTCCTGTATGAATTTTCTTATGTGTAGTAAGTTTTGAGCATCGACTGAAAGTTTTGCCACATTCCTCACATTTGTAAGGTTTCTCTCCAGTATGAATTCTTTTATGTATAGTAAGAGTTGACACTTGGTTAAAAGCTTTGCCACATTCTTCACACTTGTAGGGTTTCTCTCCAGTATGAATTCTTTTATGTATAGTAAGAGTTGACACTTGGCTAAAAGCTTTGCCACATTCTTCACACTTGTAGGGTTTCTCTCCAGTATGAATTTTCTTATGTGTAGTAAGGTTTACGTATAGGTTGAAAGCTTTGCCACATTCTTCACATTTATATGGTTTCTCTCCAGTATGAATTATTTTATGTGTAGTAAGAGTTGAGAACTGGTTAAAAGCTTTTCCACATTCTTCACATTTGTAGGGTTTCTCTCCAATATGAATTTTCTTATGTTTAATAAGGTTTGATGATCAATTAAAAGCTCTGCCACATTCTTCACATTTGTAGGGTTTCTCTCCAGTATGAATTCTTTTATGTGTAGAAAGGGTTGAAGATTGGTTAAAAGCTTTGTCACATTCATCACATTTGTGTAACTTCTCTCCAGTATGAATCATCTTATGTTTAGTAAGGGTTGAGAAATGGTTAGAAGTTTTGCCACATTCTTCACACTTGTAAGGTTTCTCTCCAGTATGAATTTTCTTGTGTTCAATGAGTTTTGAGGATCAGGTAGAAGCTTTGCCACATTCATCACATTTGTACTGTTTCTCTTCAGTATGAATTATCTTATGTGTAGTAAGTGTTGAAGATTGGTTAAAAGCTTTGCCACATTCTTCACATTTGTAGGGTTTCTCTCCAGTATGAATTCTCTTATGTCCAATAAGGGTTGAAGATCGGTTAAAGGCTTTGCCACATTCTTCACATTTGTAGAGTTTCTCTCCAGTATGAATTTTCTTACATGTACTAAGTTTTGAGGATAGGTGGAAAACTTTGCCAGATTCTCTACATTTGTGGGGATTCTCTCCAGTATGGATTATCTTATGTGTATTAAGGGCTGAGGACTGGTTAAAGGCTTTGCCACATTCTCCACATTTGTAGGGTTTCTCTCCAGTATGAATTACCTTATGTCTAGTAAGGTTTGAGAGTTGGTTAAAAGCTTTGCCACATTCCTCACATTTGTAGGGTTTCTCTCCAGTATGAATTTTTTTATGGTCAGTAAGATTTGAAAATTGTTTAAAAGCTTTGCCACATTCTTCACATTTGTAGGGCTTCTCTCCACTATGAATTCTCTTATGTGTAGTAAGGGTTGAGGACTGGTTAAAGGCTTTACCACATTCTTCACATTTGTACAGCTTCTCTCCAGTATGAATGTACTTATGTTCAGTAAGTTTTGAGGATCGGTTAAAAGCTTTGCCGCATTCTTCACATTCATAACGTTTCTCTCCGGTATGAATTAACTTATGTTCAGTAAGCTTTGAGGCTTGGTTAAAAGCTCTAACACATTTCTCACATTTGTAGGGAATTTCCCCAGTATGAATTATATTATGTGTAGTAAGGGTCGATGACTGGTTAAAGGCTTTGCCACATTCTTCACATTTGTAGGGTTTCTCTTCAGTATGAATTCTCTTATGTCTAATAAGGTGTGAGGTCTGGTTAAAGGCTTTGCCACATTCTTTACATTTGTAAGGTTTTTCTCCAGTATGAATTCTCTTATGTTTATTAAGGGTTGAGGACCAGTTAAAGGCTCTTCCATATGCTTCACATTTGTAGAAATTCACTCTAGTTTGGATTCTTTTATGTTGAGTTAGGTGTGAAAGCATGCAAAATGTTTTGCGACATTCTTTACATTTAAAATGTTTATTTTCAGTATGTCTCATCTTGTGTCTATTTGAATTTGAAATTTTATGGAAAACTTCTACATATTTATTACATTGAAATATTTTGCTCAAGGTAGTTTTCAAACATTGGTTAAGTCCACTATAATCTCCTTTGTGCTGTTTACACTCAACCACACTTTTACAGCCTTTTCTTAACTGTAAATTCTCATATCCACATTTTCTATATCTTCTTAGGGTCACTTTCTGGAAAGAATCTCTTATGTTCTGCTCTGGCCAAAGGTGTTGGGCAAAATAATAAAACATAACTGAAAGAAATAAAAGTAACAAACTACTTCACTTGCTCGACTCAGATGAATATACTTTACAAATCTAACCCATAAAGTTACAGAAACTACATAAGCAAGATGGCATAGCAAAATACCACAGGTTCTAATTCCTTCATAGACATATAAATGTAACAAGAGCATATTGACCAAAATGCATTTATAGAAAATTTATAAATGAGTTACGTGTGTGCAGTGTTCCAGGTTATCACAATTCCAAAAGCCACATGGAAGGAAGAGAAAAGTTGGTTACATTTACCCAACACAGCTCTTTCTGCTCCTCAGTATAACATAGTGTCTTTAGAAGTACATTACCAACTTTTGCTTTCTTTTTCAACAGACAAGAAAAATAACACACCCACATCTTTATTTCTGGCTTTATTAGGTGCTTTGGCGGACACTGGTTTCTGTCTCCAATGACATAAAGTGCTGAAATTAACAGTGGTATACTTTGGAATGACATTTTGAGTCTGCTGAGATCAAAGGTAAATGTTACAGCAGGAAAGAGACTGTACTACAGACAGGGAACAGTTGTGGCAAGTGATGACTATTAAGAAGAAACATGAATAAAGTCTTTTAACTAAAAAACAACTAGAACATTTCAGACAAGACACATCCTAAGAACATGTTTGAAAGACTCTCAGGATCTCTAGCTAAGACAAATGGTTTCAGACTTTGCCAGGACAAAGCTACATTATAGACACTGTGACAGGTAGCTTGTTTTTAATGTTCAAATTTCAATTAAAGATTACAATGCATACAAAATTTTAGGGCAACATAGCTCTATCAGATATTATAAAATTTTCAGAAAGCAACCATTAAAAAATTAATTTTAAAAAGTTAACATAAATTGAATAATACTCCATGAATGAAATAGAAACACAGACAACTATTAAAAATCATAAAAATTGGGATAACAAAAATATTAAAAATATCAAAAAACAGATATTGTGGAGGTAAAAAATATAAAAAAGGAACTGAAAAATTATAAGAAAAACTGATGTAAAAATTAAAAAGGTTAACAAAGAAACTAGAATACACACAAAGATATTTACAACAAGAACATATATAAGCACAATTTTAAAAGTCACAGACAAGAGAATATTGTGAGTTGCAAGATAAAAGTGATATGTTATTTATAAGCATAGTCTTATGAGGTAATGAGTGAATTTCTCAAGAAAATTTGCAGGCCAGAAGGGAACTAACTGTGTGACATTGTCCAAGTCCTGAAGAAAATAGCTGTCAAGTGAGAATAATACCAGCAGCAAATCTGTCCTGCCAAATAAAAAGAAAAAGCCAATCCAAAATAGCCAAATCCTGAAAAGGTATATTGGCACTGCATATGCCTTACATATGTAACTATATTTCAAAGCTATAGTAGTAAAAACAGAATGGAATATACAGAAAAATAAACAACAACAAAAAAACCAATGGAACAGAAATCACTACTCACACATTTCAGACTTGATGCAAAAAGAGAATTTAAAAAACTGTTTAACATAGAGTTTCTCAAAATTATGCATATTTGTGTGTCCCCCAAAACAACAACAAAAAAAAACCAGTCAGATTGTGCAGTCTTTTATATCCCATGAAGAGGATGTTGGCTTTCACTGTGAAATTGAAGACAGATCACTAAAGGGAAAGAGGAATCCTTAGAGAATTGAAAAACAATACAAAATATGTTCTATGTGAGAGAAAAATAAAAAAAAACTCGGGCTTTCCAGAAACTATTTCCTTTGGAACACAGCTTACCAAATCACATTTTAAGCTGTGGCCTTCTCCTTGGCCTTTGACCTCTTCTCTGTGCCATCTGTGTATTCACTCTCACTTACCTAAATGTTTAGCTACCATCTCATGTCTCTTCATATTCCAGGGCTCTTTTCCTTGCTCCAGACAGGTAATCAGGTCTGGCTTAGAGACAGCAATACCTGTTTTATTGAAAATAAATAACATAAATCTTGCACATATTCTCCAATTACCAACTTGGTAATGTGCTCAGTAAAGAGAATGCAATAGAATATTCTAGTAAATTAATCCCCAAATGCTAATTTATAACAAAAATTTCTAAAGATTTAGAAAATATTTTAAATTTGTAGTTTCTTAATTTCACTACCTGGTACTACTGAATCAAAACAATTGTTGTTGGGAGTTAGATTTTAAGGTGTGGGCAACAATATTTTATGCCAATAAATTTCTAAAATTACCACTAATCAAGACTGAATGATAAAGATCATCTCAGGAATGTGGAAAGTTATGGTAAAGATGAAACATCTTGAATAAACTATTTTCTACAATGACAAATCTAAAAGATTTTTTTGAAAACAGGGATCTGAAACTCAATTTATGCAAAGCATAAATCACCAAAAACATTCTACAAAAAAGAGAATTAAAACCTTTAGGGTATATTAGAAAATGTGTATTGAAGTTACCTTCACCCAAGAAAACCAGGTTTCTGTAGTTCTCTCACATCACATGCCTATATAAATTCTGCTGTGCAGTGTCCAGGCATTGCCACTCCTCCAAAGAGAATTCTATGGCCACATCCATAAATGTCAATGGTCCCTGAAAAACACAAAAACACACACATACACAAAATCACATACATTTACCAAGTGGCCATGGGCATAATTTTAAATTTCAAGGTAAAATAAAACAGTAAAGAAAACTGGTTCTGACTTATAGGAGTGAATGAAACTATCCATAAAAGAATTTTTAACACAGAAATATTTTCTAATGTATTATCTAACCCTGAGAAAAGAAAGTGGTATAAGAAGATCCACAACATCTGTGTATATATGGTACTTTTCTGGATAATAAAGTATAAATTAGGGCATAAACGCCAACATGTCTATTTTTAAATGCTATATCTGCATCATACAGAATGAGTTGTGTGTATTTTTGAGATGAAAAAGACATGTTGAGTTAAAAGGTACCTCGCAAGTTTTAATGTGTATGATAAACTTCAGATCTCGTTAATGCAGATTATTTTTTCAGAAGATCTGGAACAGTCTGATATTCTAAATTTCTAAAAAGCTCACCAATAATGTCAATGTTTTTGGCCCAAGAAGAGTATTTTGTCAAACATCTAGTAGGTGGGTGAGCCTGTGTTTTTCCCAGTTTTTCTGGCCTGTAAAAAGGGATGACAGCTTTCATTTTCCTAAGGCAGATATACGCACAGAAAACCTAAGAAAGAAAGGCAGCTGCCAGATTAAATGTGATGGTTTACATGCACATCAGCAGCATAAAGATACTTAATAATGAAGAGAAAAATAATTATAGTAAAGAAATCTGTCCAAGAGCTCTTTAACCAATTGAATCATTAACATCAACTGCACTAGGACAAATTTTTGTAATGTGCTGATGCACACAGAAAAATGCAGCTTCACTGCTGCGATATTGATCTCAAAAGTAAATTAGAGTTTGAATTTAACCATAAAAAATCAGTTTTATGGAAACTTCAAGATACAGAT
The DNA here is from genome assembly GCF_000001405.40 of Homo sapiens. Taxonomy (NCBI): domain Eukaryota; kingdom Metazoa; phylum Chordata; class Mammalia; order Primates; family Hominidae; genus Homo; species Homo sapiens. The sequence continues at coordinate 64,983,025 of NC_000007.14, forward strand.
AATTCATATGTTCTGTAATTTTTAATAGTGATTTTAAGTAGTTTTTCTTCAGCACCCTAAAGAGCAGGTATCTATCTCCTAATAATTTGTTTCAGAACTTTCTGGGTAATAAATGCCATTCTGTTTGAAAAAGCATTTTATTAATCGTGTTCTGCATAGAGCTAATGGAGAACAGAGATGGTACCTCAACGTTACATGTTCTCCTTCTTTACTAAAGACCCTAGCTTTTCCCCAATAGGAATCTTGAGTAGTCACACCTTCCCATGTTCAACAGCCACAGAGGGAACATTTTTCATGTTGCAGATTATAAATTCATAATGAGATTTCTACGTGGCATATAAAGAGCCGTGATGTAGAGATGTAGAGAAGCCTCTGGTATGTAGGAAAAAATATTTTTCAGAGACCCTTGACTATCATAAGAATTTTAAAAAGTAGTTGAAACAAACTCATTAGGGAGAAACAACACAATTAGAGAAGTAAAGGTTTGCAAGAACTAAATGCATGGCATTCCAGGAGGCAGAGTGGACACAGCTCTCTATCTGAGACATATTAAGCTTAAAAAAAGGTCATGTCTTCCTCTTTCTCCTGTTTCTCTGGGATTCCTTTTAAGATGAGATTCTATGGACAAATTACACCTGCATGCTGAGAATATGCTTTTAAAAGTGTCAGCACCACCTGTTTACCTGCTACCACCACACCCACAGAGATAGACAGAGATAGCTCTAAGAGCTCTGTGACAGCCCACCTCATTCACAGACACCATGGGATAGTAATGGGGCCTCTAAAACAGAAACCAAAAGCATTCAAGAGAAAAACAGCTCTCACTCTGAGAAAAATTGTATTGAGAGAAAAACAGTTAAAAGCATCTTTTAAAAACACAAGCTAGATATAAGTTTGATCAAGTCAGCCAGAAAATATTCTGCTAATCAATTTTTCTAAACACCCAAATTGCACAGCTACTCTCAGCATGAGAAACGTGAGCATTATGAAGAAAGGGGTCATATTCTCAGCAGAATTTTATAAGGATTCTCTTCCATCTCTGCTGCTCTCTCTTCTCCTAGCCATTAAATGAGAGATCTATAATGGAATATATTTGACAATTTCCAAAGAACACTTTTTTTTTTTGAGACGGAGTCTTGCTCTGTCATCCAGGCTGGAGTGTAGTGGTACAATCTCAGCTCACTGCAGCCTCCACCTCCAGGGTTCAAGGGATTCTCATGCCTCAGCGTCCAGAGTAGCTGGGATTACAGGCATGTGCCATCACGCCCAACTAATTTTTGTATTTTTAGTAGAGACAGGGTTTCACCATGTTGGCCAGGTTGGTCTTGAACTCCTGACCTCAAGTGACCCGCCTGCCTGGACCTCCCACCACCATAACTTTCCGATGAAGAATTAGAATATTACTTTATTCATATAGTGGAATACATTTGAGTTTGCATCATGGTGAACTGTAGAGCTATTATGGTTTTTGGGTGGCCAAATCATTCTTGTTTACTTTTCCCGTAATAGCACCATTCCAATTTAGTGAAATGATAGACACTAAAATCATGCTTACCTATAATTAACTCTACTGGATAAATTAGTAAGCATGTCATACTAATATTACTGTAATAGTTTGGTAGTAAATTTCCTTTGAATATTAGATATAAATATCTAAGTATAAATAATGTACTAGTCATAATGTACATAGGATTTTTAAAAATTGTCTACAACCATAATTCAATTAAAACAGTTTATATTTCAAAAGTATGAATATAACATTATTTTTTGTTTGTTTTTTTGTTTTGAAACAGTCTCGCTCTATTGCCCAGGCTGGAGTGCAGTGGTGCAATCTCAGCCCACTGCAACCTCTGCCTCCCAGGTTCAAGCGATTCACATGCCTCAGCCTCCTGAGTAGCTGGGATTACAGGCACGCGCCACCACGCCCGGCTAATTTTTGTATTTTTTAGTAGAGATGGAGTTTTGCCATGTCGGCAAGGCTGGTCTTGAACTCCTGACCTCAGGTGATCCACCCACCTTGGCATCCCAAAGTGCAGGGATTACAGGCATGAGCCACCACGCCCGGCCGAATATAACATTATTAAAATGACTAAGGGATTCAAAGTAAATATTGTAGTGTTATATTCACACTAGTATATAAAATACTGTTTATATGAATGCAGTTTGTCTACAAACACTACATATAACTATGCTAATTGTACTCAAGTAATAAATATAAACCAAAGCACAACTACAGACTCCACTGTTCAGTTCATACACTGAACCATGCTTTTGCAATAAAAGTACTTCGGCCTGCAAATATTACCTGATTACCTTGGATAATCTGTATTCTATCAAAGGAACTTAGTATCTTTTAGTCTTTAGCATTTTTTATTGCTAAATTTAATCCTATCTTCATGCTCAACTTTTGTGTGCTCTTAAAACAAACTTTAATCTAAACAAATCTGTGTCTACCTTAAAAGACAACAAATGGAGAAAATAAATCTTTGCCAAAGCAATGAACCTGAGGTCCTAGACAAAGACAATCCCAAGTCAAAAACAGTGACAAAAGGTTTAACTGTTAATATGATTTACATATCTTTCAAACAACAGAGAAAAAATATACATAAAATTTAAATGCTTTAAGGAAAAATAAATTAAGAAAATATACTCCTGGCAGGGTGCAGTGGCTCACACCTGTAATCCCAGCACTTTGGGAGGCTGAGGCTGGTGAATCATGAGGTCAGGAGTTTGAGGCCAGCCTAGCCAACATGGTGAAACCTCATCTCTACTGAAGATACAAAAAATTAGCCAGGTGTGGTGGTGTGTGCCTGTAACCCCAGCTACTCGGGAGGCTGAGTACACTTGAACCCAGGAGGTGGAGGTTGCAGTGAGCCAGATCATGCCATTGCACTCCAGCCTGGGCAACCAGGTGAGACTCCATCTCAAAAAAAAAAAAAAAAAAAAGAAAGAAAGAAAATATCCTCCCTTTTTTCATGTGGAGAATAAGGCTTCTTATTTCTAATTTGTATTTTCCACTATAACAGCCAGGTCTCTGGACATGTTTTTGAACTACTGGACATCTTAATTTTGCATGCCATGTGCACTTGAGAAATGTTTATGGGAAAAAAGCAGAAGAAAGAAAGGTGTTATAAAAAAAAAATCCATGGGTGTATCAATCAAGAAAAATGACAAGAAAAGTCTCAATCATTTTAGGAGATTTATTTCCCAAAGTTAAGAATGCACAGCTAGGAAAAAGGCCTATGTCTTTCTCCCAAGAAAATTTTGGGGGCTCCAAATTTAAAGGAGAAAGAATGAGATACTGAGAAGTACAAAACTGTTATGTAAGAGGGAGGTAGGGAAAAACAGTCATTCATGTCATTGTCTGTCAGTGAATCTGCATTTTTTTTAACATAAGATGATGCAGACAAATGGCACAGACAAAAAATGCAGGTAATCTGCATTTTTACATAAGATAACATAGACAAAAAGGGGCAGGGGAACAATCAGATATGCATTTATGTCTGGTGGAACGTGTAAAGATAAGCCATCAATTTATATTTCCATGGTATAATTTTAACAGAAACACCTTAGGGTAAAGATCTTGCAGCTCACTAGAAATTTTCTTGTGGGCAAAATATGAGGGAGTCATGTAACTTTTCATCTTGTAGCCATCTTATTTAAGAACCAAAAGGATAGGTGGGTTTGTGTGACCCAGTTCCCAGCCTAACTTTTCTTTTTGGTTTAATGAGTTTGGGCTCTGAAGATTTCATTTCCTTTCACAGGTACACATGAATAAGACCAGTTCTAAGAGATTTATATTTAGATTCTGACAGAATAATTTTGGGAGACTACAACACCCCACAGACACTATTAGACACATTTTTGAGGCAGAAAATTAACAAAGATATTAGGACCTAAACTCAATACTTGACCAAATAATCATAATAGACATCTACAAAAGTCTCCATCTAAAAGCAATATAATATACATTCTTCTCATCACCAAGTGGCCCATACTCTAAAATTGACCACACAATCAGAAATAAAACAATCCTCACCAAATTCAAACATCCCCAAATTATACCAACCACACACTCTGACCACAACTTGATACAAATATAAATCAAAACAAAGAAAACCACTTGAAACCATACAATTATGTGGAAATTAAACAACCTGCATCTGAATAACTTTTGGGTAAATAATAAAATTAAGGCAGAAATAAAAAAGTTCTTTGAAACAAATGAGAACAAAGTACAACATACCAGAATCTCTGCAACACAGCTAAGGCAGTGTTAAAAGAAGAATTTATAGCACTAAATGCTCACATAAAAAAGTTAAAAAGATCTCAATTTAACAATGTAATATCATAAATAAAATGAGAGATGCAAGACAAAACCAATCCCTAACTAGCAGAGGGCAAAAAGTAACTAATCTGATCTGTACTGAAGGAGATTTAGATGTGAAAAACTATACAAAAGATCAAGAAATCCAGGAGTTAAATCTTTGGAAAAAATTAATAAGCTAAATAAACCACGAGCCAGATTCATAAAGAAAGAAGATTCAAATAAAGAGAATTAGAAATGACAAAAGGAACATTAACCCTGACCCCACAAGAATACAAATAACTGTTGAAGTCTACTATAAACACTTCTATGAACACAAACTAAAAAATCTGAAAGAAATAGTAAATTCAGCTGGGTGCGGTGGCTCACATCTGTAGTCCCAGCTCTCAGGGAGGCAAAAGGTGGGAGGATAGCTTGAGCCCAGGAGTTTGAGACCTGCCTGGGCAATATAGTGAGACCCCGTTCTCCACAAAAAGGAAAAAAAAAAAAAAAAGACCAAAAAAATAGAAATAGTAAAGTCGTGGACAAATATATCCTCCCAAGACTGAACAAAAAAGAAATCGAATCTCTGAGTAGACCAATAACAAACTCCAAAACTGAATTAGTAATGAATAGCCTAGCAACCAAAAAAAGCCCAGGACGAGAGAGATTCACAACTGAATTCTACCAGATGTACAAAGAAGAGCTGGTACCATTCCTTCTAAAACTATTCCAAAAAATTGAGAAAAAAACACTCCCCTTCAACTCATTATATAAGAATGTCATCATTCTGACACCAAAACCTGACATAGGTATAACAAAAAAAGAAAACTTTAGGCCAATATCCTTGATGACCATTGATGCAAAAATCTTCAACAAAATATTGGCAAATTAAATTCAACAGCACATCAAAAAGCAAATCCATTATGATCAAGTAGGCTTTATCCCTGGGATATGAGGCTGGTTCAACATACACAAATTAATATATGTGATTCATTACAAAAACAAAAATAAGGATAAAAACCACCAGATTATCTCAATAGATGCAGAAAAAGCTTTCAAGAAAATTTAACATCTTTCACGTTAAAAACCTGCAACAAACTAGGCATAGAAGATACATACTTCAAAATAATGAATTCTGTATGACAAACCCACAACAAACATACTGAGTGGACAAAAGCTGGAAGCATTTCTCCATGAAAACTGGCACAAGACAAGGATGTTTTCTCTCACCACTCCTATTCAACATAGAATTGGCAGCCCTCACCAGAGCAATCAGACAAGAGACAAAATAAAAGGCATCCAAATAGGAAGAAAGGAAGTCAAACTTCCCATTTTTTGCAGATGTAATTCTATATATAGAAAACCCTATAGTCTCCACAGAAAAGCTCCTTAAACTGAAAAACTGAACCAAACTTCACAATACAAAGCAAATGTACAAAAATTAGTAGCATCCCTGTACATTAATAACATCCAAGCCGAAAGCCAAATCAAAAACACAATCCCCTTCACAACTGCCACAAAAAGAATAAAACATCTAGAGATACAGCTAACCAGGGAGGTGAAAGACCTCTACAACAAGAATTACAAAACACTGCTTAAATAAATCATATATGACACAAATAAATGGAGATTTATTTTATGCTCATGGATAAAAAAGATCAATATCATTAAAATGGCCATACTGCCAAAAGAAATTTACAGATCTAATGTAATTCCTATCAAACTACCAAAAACATTCTTAACAGAACTAAAAACAACTATTTTAAAATTCATATAGAACTAACAAAGAGCCCGAATACCCAAGGCAATGTATACACACACACACACACATATATACACATATACACACACACACACATATATATAAACGACTCATAGAACAAGAAACAGAATAGATAGCCAATAAATAATGCCACAATGCCACACACCTGCAACCATCTGATCTTCAACAAAGCTTACAAGAGCAATGCAGGAAGAATTCCCTATTTAATAAATGAGGTTGGAATAACTAGCTAGCACTATGCAGAAGATTGAAACTGGATGCCTTTCTTACATGATATATAAAAATCAATTCAAGATGAATTAAAGACTTAAATGTAGAACTTAAAATTATATATATATATATATATATATATATATATATATATATATATATATATATATATAAAACCTGAAAATAATCTAGAAAATAACCTAGAAAATTCTAAGACATAAAAACTGGCAAAGATTTTATGATGAAGATACCAAAAGCAATTGCAACAGAAGCAAAAATTGACAAATGGGACCTAATTAAACTAAAGAGCTATTTTGCAGCAATGGAAACAATCAACTGAATAAACAGACAACCTACAGACTAGAAGAAAATATTTGCAAACTATGCTTCTGACAAAGGTCTAAAATCTAGCATCCATAAGAAACTTAAACAAATTTATTTTAAAAAAAAAGAAGAAGAAGAATAAGCCAGGATCTGTGGCTCATGCTTGTAATCCCAGCACTTTGGGAAGCTGAGGCAGATGGATCATGAGGTCAAGAGATCCAGACCATCCTGGCCAACATGGTGAAACCCCATCTCTAATAAAAATACAAAAATTAGCTGGGTTTTGTGTCACGCACCTGTGATCCCAGCTACTCAGGAGACTGAAGCAGAAGAATCATCTGAACCTGGGAGGTGGAGGTTGCAGTGAGTCGAGATCATGCCACTGCACTCCATCCTGGTGACACAGCAAGACTCCATCTCAGAAAACAACAACAACAACAAAAAGAAAACCAAAAACCTAATTAAAAAGTAAGCAAAAACATGAACAGATACTTTTCAAAAGAAGACATACATGTGGCTGACAAGCATATGAAAACAAAATTCACGTTGTTAATTATTAGAAAAATGCAGAGAAAAACCACAGTGAGATACCATCTCATCCAGTCAGAATGCCTATTGTTAAAAAGTCAATGACAGATGCGGGCTAGGTTGCAGAGAAAAAGGAATGCTTATATGTTGTGGGAATCAGGAGGCCGGAGAGATCACTGGGTGCAACAGGAAGGTTTTATTTAGGTGGCCACTGGCCCAGCGGATTAACATCCAAAGGCTGAGCCCTGAACAAAGACAGGGCTTGACTTTTATACATGCATCAGGCAGGGGCAAGTCGGGTTTTTGGCGCAAAACCTGCGAGGTGAGAAAGCAGTCTTACAGAAGCAGAACAAAGGCAGTTAATCATACCGTGACAGGTTTTACAACAGGATTTGCAACATGAGCCTACCTTACTTAAACATGTCTTGTGACCTTGCCATGCTACAGAAAGAAAAACAAGAACTTACAAAATCTTTACAGACTTGCAGAAATAGTTACAAAAATAGTTGTGAGAGCAGAACAAAGAATAATGTTATGGGGAGAGAATTTCAAACAGGGAAACTGATAAGGAGAACTTGTTTTTCTCATCCCTGCTCCTGGAGCCCACTCCTTCGGAGCCCCTGCCTGGCCTTGCAGATAATTATCATAGCTCCAGCAGGACTTTGGAGTGAGTCAGACTGGTCAGGAAAGGACTTGTTTTCCCTTTACTTGTTTTTCCTTTTATATTTCCTGCTTCATTCCCCCCTTTGATGCTTTTTATAAGTAAAGTTTAAGAGAAAGCATCACTATCTTCATTTACTTCAAGAGGAAGTAGCTCTTTTCTTGGCAGGGGTTAATACTTAGTTAGGGCCATTAGTCGTGTGGTAGTCCGTCTGTCCACAAGAGCCTCTATGGCTGTTTGGATATTTTTGACAATGAGGGGTAAGAGACAAGGGAGTATAAGGCAAACTCCCAATATGGCTAGGACTATTTGTACTAAGGTTTTAAATCCTCCAAGGGATGAGAACCAACCTCTGAAAAGGGAATCTGGAGACTATCCTTTCCAAGTCTGAACTGGGATGTGAGCTAACTTTTGGATTTTAGCAGTTATTTCTTTGATGACCTTTCCTTCGTCATCAAGTTCCAGGCAGCAGTTAGTAAGGTTGAACTTTCCGCATACTCCCTCTTCCTGGGCTAGGAGGTAGTCTAAGGCCAGTCTATTTTGATAAATGACATTTCTCATTTTTGTGGCTTGCTGGGCAAGCAGATTCAAGGCCCCTGCAGTTTCATTGGTAATGATTTCTAGTACTGCCTGCAATCTTATAATGCGGTTAAGCATGTAAACTGGGGTGCGGTATCCCCACATTCCATCTTCTGCCCAGGTGGCTGGGCCATAATATTGAATTATTCTTTCAGGAGGCCATTCATTGTCCTTCCAATCTCCTATAGTTATGCCTCTTTTGCTTTTCCTTTTAGTTTCATCATAGATGGGGTATCCTAAGGCTTCTCCCTGTTTTAGGGGCATTAGGAAGAAGGACGGCCTAATTGTCCCCAGTACACAGGCCCCTGACCATTTAGCTGGCAGTTGTCGATATGCTTGTGGCCCACAGATCCAGTAGAGGCCAGAGGGTGCCTGCCAGGTATTTGGAGCTTCAAGTTGGTACCAAGAATGGTTTAAAGATGGGAAACGAGAGAATGGGCTTGGGTGTGGTGATTCAGAATTATTGCTTTTGCCCCTCCATAAAGTCTTTCCTAGTGTCTCGTTGTAATATTGTTGTCCTAGGCAAGTTAACTCTCCTACTGGGTCTGTAAAGGCCTTTCCCCAGCGAGCAATACAGAATTTTCCAATAATGGAGGTTTTTAAGAACCAGATGCTCTGACTTGATGGTGCAGGTTCGAGGGAAGAGGCGGTTAGTGTGAAATTATCTTGGGGCATTAGTTCCCTTGCTTCCCATGGCCATTGGTCTCCCATGTTCATTCCCCCACAGACATAACATGAAGCAACGTGCAGGCTGCTGGCTATGTTTTCAGCCAGTTGGGCGAATAAATTACTGGCCAAGGGAGGGGGCTCAGGCAATTTCTGGTTAACATGCTCATAGAATGACTCAAAAACTCGGAACTGTTGGGTTGAGCGGGTCCGAGTTTTCTTTATGATATATAGATAGACATAGGCTCCTGGGCCAATTTCTTCACCGCTGACTCGTGCCCCTAGCGGTGCTTTTAAACCTGTTGTCCATATGGGCTGATCTGGCTCTAAGATGGTAAGATTTACAGAATTGCAAGTGCTTGTTTTACAATCTGGTTCTAATGGTATTTTGGTAAGCATAATTGGCCCTAGTGATTGTTGGTTAGTGGACCACGTTGTGCAGTCCCAGCAAGTTGTTACTGGGGAATCGGTGGAACAAGCAGGGTGTGCATACCTATTTTTATGGCAGCTACTATAGTACTCCATGGAACTGAAGATTACGGGAAAGAGTGAGCCCATGGATACTATCTGGCAAACATCAAAGTATAAGGATACGACATCCTTGCCAGAGGGAAATACCTTGGTTTGGTTTAGAAGATCCCCTTCCTTTGACCCGACATGAATTTCAAACCAGGTCCCAGGTGAAGACTTAGGGTCATAACACACATAAGGCTGGCCCCTTCCTGGGTCACAGACTGAGTAGGTTGTCTGGTTGTGAGTACAAGTTCCTAGGCAGGTCCCAGCACACTCATAATAAGTGTGATACAACAGGGTTTTAGTCATGATGTTCCCCGACCACGTAGTGTGGGTGCAGTGGAGGCATCCCTCCCAGGGTTCTCCTTTTAACATGGATAAGGGGAGTAGCAAGAACAAAGTGATGAGTAGCATGTTCATACCCAGCATGGACAGAAAAGGCTTTTTCCTGGGGGGAGAAGGCTAAGCAAAGTGACAGCTTAATAGCAAAGTAATTAATATGACAAGGAAAATTACTGGACTTCAGATTTCTAACCACATTTACTTCCCTGATGATGACTCAAGCTTCGGCCGTGCATAGACTAGTCAGCTTCTGGGGTGACTAGAGCAGGGCTGTTGTCTCCTCAAGCTTCAGCCGTGTGTGGACTGGTCAGCTTCCGGAGTGACCAGAGCAGGGCTGTTGTCATCTCACTGGCACCTTGGTTCCATCGTAGGATCAGCTGGGTTGCATGGTCTAGGTCCTGTTGGCTGGTCCACTTGTCCTGGGCTGCTGGTTTCAGCTGACTGGATGGATGGATCCAAGGCACAATTCCTGCAACTTTAACAACAGTGGGAATAGACAAGATTACAGTATGGAGCCCATCCCATATGGGTCCCAGAGTGGTTGGGTTTTATTTTTTGACCCAAAGAGAGTCCCTGGGTTTAAAGGGGTGTATTGGATCTATCAGGCTTATGGGCATTCTTTCCTGTACCCAGCCATGGACACTTCACATGGCTATCCCTAAAGCCTGCATTTGCCTCCTTAAAGTTAATTCCCCTAGTTCACGGAGATTACCCTTAATTTGACTTATGATTGGGGATGGCTTGCCGAACAGTATTTCATAGGGCGAATACCCAGTTTGTTTGGTGGGGGTGCACCTAACTTGAAGGAGGACCATGGGCAGGACTTGATCCCATCTCAGAGGGGTTTCTTGGCAATATTTCTTCAGTAGCTGTTTGAGTGTCCAGTTCATGCACTCTACTTTTCCTAAGCTCTGCAGCCGGTAGGCTGTGTGTAATTTCCATTTTATTTTTAACACTCGTGTTAGTTCCTGAATTATTTCAGCTAGAAATGCCAGCCTGTTGTCTGACCCTAGAGTCACAGACAGTCCAAATCTGGGGATAATGTTTCTTAATAGTATTTTAGTCACTTCTCATGAGTTCTTGCTTCTGGTAGGGAAAGCCTTGGCCCATCCTGAAAAGGTGTAGACAAGTACTAACATGTACCGATAGCTCCCTGCCTGAGGCAACTCTGTAAGTCCATAAGCAGGTTTTCACAGGGCATGGTTCCTATTTCCTGAATTCCTGGGGGCCGAGTGGGCCATTGTCATGGGTTGTTCTGGGCACAGGTTAAATATTGTTCACAAACAGCTTGGGTGATGGCAGTGAGTCGCGGCACATAGAAATGGCGTCCTAGTAGCGTTTCTAGTGCTGTTTTTCCCACGAGTTCCATGATGCAATTACTTCACAAATTTGGGGGCCACCATTTTGGGAATGGCCGACCTCCCATCAGAAAATTTCCACCATCCTCCTTCAATATATTTTCCAGTTTTTTGGGCAAAACAGGCCTTCTCATTCGGAGAGTAACTTGAGACCTCCTGGAGGGGAGGCTCTGGGAGGAGGGGCATAGCTAAGGCTTCCTTTTTAAAATGAGGTGTAACCATTGCTGCCCATTTTGCCTCCCTGTCTGCCTTTCTGTTTCCTTTTGCCTCTGACGTCCCTGCCCTCTGGTGTCCCCTGCAGTGCATAGCTGCTACTTTCTCTGGGATCCATACAGCATCTAAGAGCTGTAGAATTCATTCTTTCCATTTTATTTCTTTGCCTGTGGCAGTTAAGAGTCCTCTTTCTTTATATATAGCTCCATGAACATGCAGTGTGGCAAAAGCATATTTGGAATCCGTGTAAACACTGATCTTTTTGTCTTCTGCCAGCTGGAGAACCCTCGTTAGGGCTGCTAGCTCTGCCTTCTGGGCTGATGTTCCAGCAGGCTGAGGCTACGCCTCCACCACTGAGTCTAAGGTCACCACTGCCTACCCAGCCCAGCAGACCCCTTCCAGCACAAAACTGCTTCCATCTATGAAGTATTCTACATCTGGGTCCTTGAAAGGCTGGTCTGTAAGGTCTCCTCGACTGGAGAATACCTCGTCCACTGTTGCCACAGTCACGGAAGGTGATTCCCGGTTTGACTGGGAGCAGGGTAGCTGGGTTAAGGGTGTTCACTGTTTCTAAAGTTATGCGTGGATTTTCACATAGGAGCCCTTGGTATCAAGTCATCGTTGGGTTTGATAACCAATGCTGCTCTCTCTGATCCATTAAAGTTATAACCGCATGTGGTACCTGGATGGTCAATTGTTGCCCCAGGGTCAGTTTGTCAGCTTCTTGTGTCAATAGGGTGGTAGTGGCTAGTGCTTTACAGCAAGGAGGCCACCCTAGCACCACAGAGTCAACTGTTTGGATAAGTACACCACTGGGCGATGCCATGATCCTATGATTTGAGTCAGGACCCCTATAGCCATTCCCTTTAATTCATGGACATATAGAAAGAAAGGCTTAGTAGTATCTGGCAGTCCTAAGGCTGGAGCCTGAGTTAGGGCTTCTTTGATTTGTTTAAACACCTTCTTCTGGTCAGCCTTTCAGAGGAGGGGTTCCTTTTCACCCTCCCTTGTGGCTTCATATAAGGGCCTGGCTATAAGTGAGAAATTTGGGATCCAGATATGGCAGAACCCTGCTGCCCCTAAGAATTCCCCTATTTGGCGCCAGGTGGTTGGAGTTGGAAGTGCACAAATGGCTTGCTTTCATCCATGGCCAAGCCAGCGTTCCCCTTGGCTTACTATGAAGCCTAAATATTTAACCTTTTCATGGCAAATTTGGGCCTTCTTTTTGGATACTCTATACCCTGCTTTCCATAAGAGATGGAGGAGGTCCTGGGTTCCCCAGTAACAGTCCTCTTGGGTTGGGGCTGCCAAAAGAAGGTTGTCTATGTACTGCAACAAGGCGCAGTTGTCATTTGGTGGGGTGTATGCCTTGAGGTCTGAGGCCAGTGCTTCCCCAAAGATTGTGGGAGAATTCTTGAACCCTTGTGGGAGACTAGTCCAGGCGAGCTGTCCCCCTGTGCCTGTGACTGAATTGTCCCATTAAAATGCAAAGATGGGCTGACTAACTGGTGCCAGGTAGAGACAGAAGAAAGCATCCTTTAAGTCCAGGACTGTAAACCAGGTGGCACTTGCTAGAATAAGTCCCATTAAAGTATACAGGTTTGGTACTACTGGATGTATGGTCACCGTGGCTTGGTTTACAGCATGCAAGCCCTGCACCGGTATATACTCATCAGATCCTGGTCCAGGCAATGGTTTTTGTACCAGCAAAAGTGGAGTGTTCCAGGGTGACTGGCATTGGATTATGATCCCATGGTCACAGAGCCACTTTAAATGCTTATAAATGCCCCAAATATCCTCTTGGGAAAGTGGGTACTGACAAACCTGAACTGGAGTTGCTCCTGGTTTTAATTCTACTACCAGTGCCTGATTTACAGCCAGCCCAGGTGGCTTGTCTTCAGCCCATACTCCAGGAATTTTATCAATTGGCCTAAATAATAATTTCTCTTCCTCCTGCGTACAAGGCTGCATTGGTGCCTGTACTTCATGTATAGTCTCCATTCCTCAGCCTGCGGGATGGTGAGGGTTAACACCATGGCCTTTGGTTGAGTTAGGCTTAAAGTAATATCTCCTTGTGACCCAAAGGTAATCTGTGCATGCAATTTTTGGAGTAGGTCTCTTCCTAGTAGAGGCACTGGATAATTGGGGAGATACAGGAATTTATGTTGGACCTCTCATCCTCCAAAGACACACCTCCTTGGCTGACAAAATGGCCTCTTCTCTGGGACCCCTGTAGCCCCAACAATAGTTGTATGATCTTTGGATGATGGCCCTATGGGCTGGGTCACTACCAAGTGTTCAGCCCCAGTGTCTACCATAAAGTTCATTAGCTGGCCTCCTACTTCTAATGTGACCATGGGCTCCTGGGGGGCTAAAGAGAAGGAGCCCAGTCTGGCCTAATCTTCATATTCTCCAGTTCCTGCCAGCCTGATCAAGTAGGTATCTGACTCCCTTGGGACACAATAGCCCTTGGCTGGCAGTTTTCCAGTTTTATAGTCTCTGTCATTTTCTTCATTGCCCTCTGGACATTCACCTTTCCAGTGTCCCCTCTTTTTGCATTGCGCACATTGATTCCTACATAGTCTTGGTTGACTTTCAGGTCTCTGCCTGGCCTGAACCCCTCCATGTCCATGGCTATGTCCACACCCACTCGCGATGCTAGTTTCCCTTCCTGTGAGGACTGCCACTAGCAGATCGGCCTTTTTCTTAAGTCTGATCAGCCTCTCTTTGTCTCCTGGTTACGGTTAACATACACCTTGGTGGCCACTTCTAAAAGCTGAGTGGCATTCATGCCCGTGAAACACTCTAGCTTTTGCAGCTTTCGCCTGATGTCTCCCTGGGCCTGTCCTACAAACTCTGCGTTCACCATGCACTGGTTCTCAGTAGCCTCAGTGTCAAACGGGGTGTAAAGCTAGAATGCTTTACAGAGTCTCTCATAAAACTGACCAGGACTTTAATTAGTCTCCTGCAGCACTTCCAAGATTTTCCCCGTGTTGACTGCCTTTTTCCCACCTTCCTTTAGCCCTTGCAGGAGTGCCTCCCAGTACCTCTGTAGGTACTGTAATTGGGCTGCATCATTTGGGTCCCAGTGTAGGCTGGCTTCTGGGAATTGGCCCTGAGCATATATGCCTGGACATTAAGTGTGCCTTCTGGTGCATTGTGTTCCAGCCAGTGGAGGGCTGCCTGGGTCACCCTTCGGCATTCCTCGGTGTTAAACAGTGTCAGGAGGAGCTGTTTGCAATCTGGCCACGTTGGATTTTGTGTCTGAAAAATGGACTGCATCAGATCTGTGAGGGCTTGGGGCTTCTCTGTGTAGGAGGGAGTAGGGAGTATGGTGTTTCCAGTTTAGGAGATCAGTGGTTGAAAAAGGCTGGTAAATAAAAGTCGGTTGCCCCCCCTTGAACCTGCCCCTGTTCATCATAATAGATAGGTCCCCGTGTTTCACGGAGGGGCATCTGCCACACTCTGGTGTGGCCAGGTCGAAGGCGGCCTGCTTGATCATCCTGACTTTCCTTCTTGACCTCCTGAGGTGGGGGCTCAGATTTCCCCCTTTGAGGTGTAGCCTGGAGTGTGTCACCATCTGAGTCTGGCTGCTCAGGGGCCGTCCTTGGTAAAGGGGGATAGATTGGCACATAGGGAGGAGGGGTTTCTATCTCCTCTGCTGGTTCCTGCAAAACTGGTTTTTCTTGTGGCTTTCCTTTTGTCTCTGTAGCTGACAGTGAAGCTGATTTTTCTTTTACTTTAGGCTTGGCTCGAGCTATGAGCGTTTTGCAATAAGAAGCCAGGCAAGGCTGCAGCCATGCAGGTTGAGTTTGAACTATATTTAGCCATGAGTCAATATAAGGAAATTGGTCTGGATGCCCTGGCTGTCCTCCGACCCCAGTCACCACCTTAAATACACGGCCAATTTTTTCCCTATCTATAGTTCCTTCGGCCAGCCATCCAACATTGAAAGAGGGCCATTCTATTTCACAGAGAGTTCTCAACCTCTGGGGGGTCAACTTGATCTCATAATCCCCTGTATAATCTTACTTAAAGTTCCTTAACATACATTCTAATGGGATGGGTTTTGATGACTTCCCTCCCATTTCCTCCCAGTTATGGCAGAACCCACTCACTCTTCCTTTCATTTCAGACTGATTAGACCGTGTCCCTTGCAGGAGTATTTCAGACACTTCTTAGATTTAATGGAGGGTTCATATGAGTCCTGAACCCGGACCACCACAATCTATAAGTTGTGGGGCACCTCCCTAAGCCATATGCCGTAGCCCCAAAGGATGTTTGCCACTAGTCTCGGTCGGTTCCACACTTCACTCAGATGGTACAGTCTATGCTAAGAGACCTGTGGCTCCACACACGTCACTCAGCATGTTGGTTCCTTTTGGAACCATCTCTTTCACATTTATTCACACACCTCCCCACTTCCAGTTTCCTTTCTTAACCAACTTAGTGAGCCACTCTCACGTCCTGGGTCAGTTGGGGTGTAGGTTTCTTCCAACTTTGCGAGCCCCTCTCATGTCCTGAGTCGGATTACTAGGTACACCCCAGGAGGTGATCAGGCTCCCCTTCCATCCTTATGGGACGGGTCCTGCCTTGGGCCCAAACCTTACTGCAGTCCTGTAGCGTGAAGTCCTGGAATCGTCCTGTAGCCCCTTAGGTTCCAATGCACTGTCAGGGAGGGGCGCCGGGTCATGGGAGAGCCAATCTCCCCTCCGGGTTGAAGGTCTCCCAATGGTGCCTTGGGTCACGGGTCTCCCCCAGCCCGGGGCTCCAGTCCCACAGCCAAAGGAGACAGTAAACCTGTAGTCTCCCCTCCTGGCTGGCTCGCCAAAATGTTGTGGGAATCAGGAGGCTGGAGAGACCACTTGGTGGAACAGGAGGATTTTATTTAGGTGACCACCAGCCCAGCCGATGAACATCCAAAGGCTGAGCCCTGAACAATGACAGGGCTTGACTTTTATACATGCAACCAACAGGGGCGGGTCAGGTTTTTGGCATGAAACCTGTGAGACAGGAAAGCAGTCTTACAGAAGCAGAACAAAGACAGTTAATCATACCGTGACAGGTTTTACAACAGGATTTGCAACATGACCCTATCTTACTTAAGCATGTCTTGTGACCTTGCCGTGCTACAGAAAGAAAAACAGGAACTTATGAAATCTTTGCAAACTTGCAGAAATAGTTACAAAAATAGTTGTGAGAGCAGAACAAAGAATAATGGTATGGGGAAAGAATTTCAAGGCGGAAACTGATAAGGAGAACTTGTTTTTCTCATCTCTGCTCCTGGAGCCCATTCTTTTGGGGTCCCTGCCTGGCCTTGCAGATAATGTTATCATAGCTCCAGCAGGACTTTGGAGTGAGTCAGACTGATCAGGGAAGGACTTGTTTTCCCTTTACTTGTTTTTCCTTTTATATTTCCTGCCTCATATACACTGCCTGTAGGAGTATAACTTAATTCAACCATTGTGAAAAGAATTGTGGCAATGACAGAACTAAAAACAGAATTACCATTTGACCCAGGCACCTCATAATTGGGTTTATACCCCAAAAAATATAAATTATTCTATCATAAAGATACAAAGACATGCATGTTCACTGCAGCACTACTCACAATAGAAAAGACATGGAATCACCATAAACACCTATCAATGGCAGACTGGATAAAGAAAGTATGGTATGGCACGGTGGCTCATGCCTGTAATCAAAGCACTTTCTTTTTTGTTTTTTTTTGAGATGGAGTCTCACGCTGTTGCCCAGGGTGGAGTGCAGTGGCTCAATCTCTGCTCACTGCAAGCTCCGCCTCCTGGGTTCACGCCATTCTCCTGCCTCAGCCTCCCAAGTAGCTGGGACTACAGGTGCCCACCACCACGCCTGGCTAATTTTTTGTATTTTTAGTAGAGACGGGGGTGTCATCGTGTTAGCCAGGATGGTCTTGATCTCCTGACCTTGTGATCTGCCCACCTCGGCCTCCCAAAGTGCTGTGATTACAGGCATGAGCCACTGCATCTGGCCAATCACAGCACTTTCATAGGCCAAGGCATGTAGATTGCCTGAGGTCATAAGTTTGAAACCAGCCTGGGCAACGTGGCAAAACCACATCTCTACAAAAAGTACAAAAAGAAAAATTAGCCAGGCATAATGGTATGCACCTGCAGTCCCAGCAACTTGGGGGGCTGAGGTAGAAGGATTGTTTGCACCAGGGAGATTGAGGCTGCAGTGAGCCAAGATCACATCACTGTACTTCAGCCTGGGTGACACAGTGAGACCCTGTCTCCAAAACTGAATAAAATAAAATAAAATATTTAATAAAAACAAAATATGGTACATAAATACAATGAATACCGTGTGGCCATAAAAAAGAAGATTGTGTCCTTTGCAGAAACATGGACAGAGTTGGAGACCATTATCCTTAGAAAACTAATGCAGAAACAGAAGACCAAATGCATGTTCTCATTTCTAAGTAAGAGCTAAATAATAAGAACACATGGACACAAAGAGAGAAACAACGGTCACTGAGGCCTAGTTTAGGGTGGAGGGTGAAAGGACAAAAAGGATCAAAGAATACCTGTTTGGTGCTATGCTTAGTACCTCAGTGACAAAATAATCTGCATGCCAAACCCCCCGTGACACAATTTCACCCACATAACAAATCTGCATGTGTACCCCTGAACCAAAAATAAAAAATTCGTGGGTGGGGGATAGCATAATGTACGTGTAAGGAATGGTTTGTGCTACAGATAGTGGTCCAGGTGGGATTGTCCTCTGATTTATTTCTGTGTCCATGCAGGCAGATGAGATTATGAACAGGTGGTCCAGAATCCTAGATTGGTGGAGAGAACAGGTTGCTGCTGCAGATTCAGTGTCTGGGAATAGGAATATGTCAGGAGACTCGTAGACACTTTTGTGGGTTTTTGGCAAGAAACACCAGGATGAAAAATGCTGTGGTGAAATTCCTAAGGTGGTGCCTAGTCCTGGGAGGTGTGAACACATCAATGTCTAGTGGGTATGTTTGTGAGTGGGTGGAAATCCTGAGGTGGCAGTGGTGGGAAAAGGAGGTCTGCTATAAGAGCTCCTTTCCTCTAAGTTTTCAGTCCTCTCTCACAGTGGGAGTGGGAGGAGACCTCAAATCCCAGGACAATGGGCAGTGTGACAGCCTGTGTACAGGAGAGCAGAGTCTCTCATTCCCAGACACCCAGAGTTCCATTCCAGGCCAGGCCTCTGAGATGTCTTTCTTCTGGCACCAAAACTGTAATGTTTGCTGAACACCAAGCAATTCTTCAAAACCAACACATTGTCTAAAATTTGAATTATGACCCCACTTAAGAGTCAGCACAGACCCTGATCCAGGGCTCAATCTCACAACACTGTCTTCACTGCAGACACCAGTCACAAACCCTATAGGTCCATCTATGCTTTTGAGCTACTGTTTAAAAATTCAGGACTCCCATAAATCTCTCAAGTTCAATAATTTTATAGAGCTGCTCACAGAACTCAGCAAAATACTGTAGTTATGTTTACCCATTTATTATACAAAATACAACCCAGAAAACTCAAGTGGAAAAAATGTATAGGACAAAGAAAAGACGTGGGGAAAGATGAAGCACATAGATAATCCTGGTAAATAGCGTTAATAAAATTCTCTATCCTTTGTGTTCTCCAGGAACAGTTTATGGAAAGAAACATCCTTTCATTATGACTTAGATGGTGCTCTCTTGTCTGACTTATCACATAACCAGACACTGACTCTGCACATTTTCTTCTTTTTTGTATTAAAAAATTAGCTAAATTTGTCTTCAGTGGTCAAAATAAAATGCTTTTTTGTTTGTTTTTTGAGATGGAGTCTCACTCTGTCGCCCAGACTAGAGTGTAGTGGCACGATCTTGGGTCACTGAAACCTCTGCCTCCAAGGTTCAAGCAATTCTCCTGCCTCAACCTCCAGAGTAGGTGGGATAACAGGCACATGCAACCATGCCTGGCTAATTTTTATATTTTTTTTTAGTAGAGATGGGGTTTCGTCATGTTGGCCAGGCTGGTCTCGAACTCCCGACCTCAAGTGATCCCCCGGCCTTGGCCTCCCAAAGTGCTGGGATTACAGGCATGAGCCATTGTGCCCAGCCTAAAATACTTCTTAATCAAACTTTACTTAAGTTTATCTCCTTTCCACAGGCTCCTGAACTTTGAGCTACTCTCAGTCTGAGCCAACATACAGCCCCATTTTATGTTCCTCCTAAAAACTTGCTGACTTCATGGTAAAACAATTTCTGATCTAAAATCTGATTTTTTTTCATCCTCCATTTGCTATTCCCCTCTGACCTTCTAATCTTTTTTGCTCCTCCCTAAGAAAGAAAGCCTTTATCTGTTTAAACTTTGCAATCCTTAAAGCTCTTATAGTTGGTACTTCGTTCTGTTGCAACACTCTTTTAGAATTCAATTTTTTTACATAAACCTAATTTAGCTCATTTTACAAAGTCTAGAAACTGCCTCAAAACAGTAACAATTTCATCTGCAGTAAGACCCTCCCAGTCCCATTCCATCTTAATGTTAACTGCATCTGTCTGTGGGTCCCCAGCTTTCCAGGGCTCTGTCACTTTTTTCAGTATAAAGGCTTCTTCCATGGCTAGAGTGAGCAGGCTGGGACATCTGCAGGGAAGGTTTCCTAGAAAGAATGAACTGAGCCTTTAATACCCTCCCTCCCTGGCTGGGTGCAGTGGCTCACACCTGTAACCCCAACATTTTGGGAGACCAAGGATCACCTGAGGTCAGGAGTTTGAGACCAGACTGGATAACATGGTGAAACCTCGTCTCTACTAAAAATACAAAAATTAGCTGGGTGTGGTGGCACCTGCCTGTAATCCCAGCTACCTGGGAGGCTGAGGCAAGAGATTTGCTGGAACCAGGAGGCAGAGGCTGCAGTGATCCAAGATCTCACCACTGCACTCCAGCCTGGGCAACAGAGCAAGGCTCTGTCAAGAAAAAAGAAAAAGAAAGAAAGAACCTCCCCGCTTTTTGCAGGCTCAATATTAGCATTAGCTTGGGGTCACTGGGCACAAGCTTTAATTTCCATGTCAGAGTTATTCACTTGGTTTTTGAAACTGAAAAATTCAGAAAAATTACTCAAACACATTGTTTATATAAGGGAAGGAAATTTTACGGTACTTACATTTCATACCTCAATAAGAAATACAAAAGCATTTATTCCTTTAAGACAATATGTTATTATTTCCATTAAAAATCATGTAGTAAACAATTAGTCATATGGGAGCACTTCTAGGAGATACCAAGTTTCCTCTCATAAAATTTAGCATTAACATCACATATCAAGATGATAGAGTACAGAACAGAGGTATTCCCTGTAACAAATGTACCCTGCAAAAAGAGGAACTGATGTTTTCATGAATGTAACTCACCAATTATCTACCACATTTTCTTATGGAAATGTATTCATTTTCTACAGCCAAAATGGAAGAGAGATTTTCCCTATTTTTTTCCTTTGTAGCACTCTAAAAACTAAGCCTTGGAATTCTGTTGGATGTCACCAAGTCATTAAAAAAACACACCTGGCTGGGCGCGGTGGCTCACGCCTGTAATCCCAGCACTTTGGGAGGCAAAGGCGGGCAGATCGGGCAGGTCACCTGAGGCAGGGAGTTCAAGACCAGCCTGACCAACATGGAAAAACGCTATCTCCACTAAAAATACAAAAAATTAGCTGGTGCATGGTGGCACATGCCAGTAATCCCAGCTACTTGGGAGGCTGAGGTAGGAGAATCACTTGAACCCAGAGGCAGAGGTTTCAGTGAGCTGATACTGAGCCATTGCACTCCAGCCTGGGCAACAAGAGCAAAACTCCGTCTCAAAACAAAACAAAACAAAAACAAAAACACACACCTGAGAAAATTTCTAAACTCGGTCTGGGAAAGAAAAAGGTAAATGAGTTTTGTTTTTGTTTTTGAGACAGAGTCTTCCTTAAATGAGTATTCTTAAGAATGGAATATAGGATTAGATATTTATTTTCTTCTGAGCCCCACCTCTTTTATGCCCTTTGTAAATATTTTCTTACCTTTTAAGCCCTACTAATAAAATGCAAGTTACAGTTAAAAAACTGTAGTCAAAATAAGTGAACAAACCTTTTCAAGGTGACAAACCCAGGGAGCTACGGTGCTCATTAAAAAACAGATGTGTTTGACTCATATGTCAAGTCAGGCCACCCAATCCCTTGAGAGATTCTCCCACCCCCATCCTGCTCACTTAAGTGCTCAGTGACCACCCTCTCCAGAGACACTGTACTAGGCCCCATTGAGTGCCCCAAGGTGCATTTCACTTTGCAAGTTGCTGCACCATCTCACTGGGGCCAGGTTTGATTTTTTTTTTTTTTTTTTTTTTGTCTTTTGGGATACTATTTTCTCTTTCATAATTCTTGGAGAATCCAGGTGGCAGTAATTATTTGTTTTTCCCTCATTACCACCATCTGATTGGCTGACCAGCAATGTGTCTTCGAGAAATGGAACCCGGGTTGCTTGAAGACAATCTTAACTTCTCTAAGGGTTTGCTTTTCAAAGGAAGAGTACCCCAGGAGACTCCTCTCAGCCTCAGGGCATCCACCTGCTCCCTTGAGAGGCTACACTCCAACTTCAGGCTGTCCTGTCTCCCATTCCCAGATATGCGAAGTTTCATTCCAGGCCAGGAGCTGAAATTTACTAGACATTGTAGCATACACAGCCACAGTGGATATCTTGATTTATCCCCAGACAGTACTGAAACCCAGAACCAGGGAAAAAACTGAAGGGTGGCTGAGGACACATTACCTTATAAAGTTTCCAAAGGGAAACCCTGACCCAAAAATATTCTGATAAGGTTTCTGTGGCTAGAGGCAATAAAAGGAAAGGAGGCACAGAACATTTTTTACAATACAGTGTCAGGGGATTATTCTTTGCTTTCTTCTCTTGGGAAATCTTTACAAACAGAAAACAAATCTTTTTTAAAATGCCAGCCAATGCTTTGTCAAAAAATGATTAATTAAAATATGGTACCTAAAATGTACACTAAAGTGTACATTAAAGGACAAATAGTTGATAATGTGAATTAGGGAGGGGAAATTGGCATTTGGGAATGTCAGAAGGAACTGGAAATTTAGTATTTTACTGCAAGCCAGAGTTAGGCTGGAGGAATGGGAAATGGGGAGAAGTCTTGAGACCCTGCTTGAGACAGAAGTGAAAAATGCAGAGGAAAATCAGTGCCCTGTGGAGTGTGAAAATAATTAAGTGGCAGGCAATTAGACTGAGGTGGCTCCAGTCCTAGGGTTGCTACTTGCAAAAAAATCTAACTCGAATGATTTTTTTCTAAAGTATTACATTGGGGGAAAATAAAATTCAGGCTTAACCAACTATAAACTGCCAATTAACCTCTCATTACATGACCAGGGAATTTCCACCTTGATCGTACAAATTAAGAAACTACATAACTTTACCTAACCAATTATTGAATTTGCTTTCCTTTATCATGCACTTTATAAAAGTGTTTTCTTCAAGCCCCTTCCATAAACCACAAACTACAAAACATAGCTTGGTGCTCTACAATTCTTGAATTACTCTTTAATTAAATTCTTTAATATTTCTGCGGAGACTTCCACAAATTTTTAATAGAAAAAAAGGGGGACTGGGAACCCCGCAGACCAAAGCTCTTCCCATTCATGAACTCTGCATCCTGAGTCAGTATTCTCCCCTGACGACCGTCCAGTGGTCCCTGCACAATCGGGGAGAGCTGCGGCAGTGGGGGCAGAGCTGCCCACAGAGGACTCCAGAACAAGGCACAGTCACTGCGCAGGGAGGAGACAGGATGCCCGGGGTCCGAGCTGTCAGCCCGGCCGCCATCCTATGGCTGAAGGGGACTGAGGGCCGAGCTGCGCCAAGGAGAACTCGGGGCCGCGGATTTTGGAGCCAGCTGCGGGGAGGCCAGAGTCCCGCCACAGCCACTTCCCACCAGTTCCAACCAGCCCCGCCCCCTCTCTCGGGATGTCGGACCCGGCACTCTCACCATTTCTAGGCTTCCAGTGGGTCCTGGCGTCTTAGCTGTGGATCTCCCAATACCTGCAGGTAACGAGGCCACAGAAGCTGGGCCTCTAGGAGCAGAAGACACAGAGCAGTGAAGACTACACCAGAAGCTCCGGCTGCCGCCAGAGACAAAGGCCCCACCAAACCCGGAAGCCGTCCTGTCTGCTCCAGCTGAGTGCCTGATTGGACGGGTCCCAGCCCAGCGTCCCTGATTGGATAATGTTTAGGGCCCCACCCTCTCAGGCCTTGATTGACAGAAGACGTGCTCAGATGCTGGGCTGAATGTAGAGTGAACCCTAAGCCTTTTCAGGCAGAGCTTCCTCCCTGAGCTGACCCAGGCCCTCCCCAGACGGCATTTGCCTTGTAAGGCAACCGTCTGAAATAAAATGTGAGCCATGTGTGAATTCTAAATTTTCTAGTAGTTAAGAAGAAAGAAGAAACAGGTGAAATTCATTCTAACCATTTAATAACCCAATATATCCAAAATATTATTTTAGTATAGGAGCAATATGTAATTATTAATGTAGTGTATATATTCTTGGAACTAAATCTTTAAATCTAACCCTGTATTTTACCTTTCTAGCACATCGCAGTTCAGACCAGCCATATTCCAGCTATCCTGTAGCCACACATGGCCAATAGCCACCACATTGAAGTGCAGCTCTGATTTCATACTTCCTCTCTCTCTCTCCTCAAACCTCCTGTGCTTCCTTCCCTCCCTCCCTTCTGCTAAGCTGATGCTCACTTCTCCAACGTTACTAGAAGCCCTCAGAGTGAATGTTCTTATCTTCCCACCATCCACCGACTGTGTCTCTGTTCCTTCCACTGTCACTGTGTAATAATTGCCCTTCTGCGGCTGGGCATGGTGGCTCATGCCTGTAATCCCAGCACTTTGGGAGGCTGAGGTGGGAGGACTGCTTGAAGCCAGGAGCTTGAGACCAGCCTGGGCAACATAGTGAGACTCCATCTCTACAAAAAAGTTTAAAAATTAGCCATGGGCTGGGTACGGTGGCTCACGCCTGTAATCTCAGCACTTTGGGAGGCTGAGGTGGGCGGATCACCTGAGGTCAGGAGTTCAAGACCAGCCTGGCCAACATGGTGAAACCCTGTCTCTATAAAAATACAAAAATTAGCTGGGCCTGGTGGCGTGCACCTGTAATTCCAGCTACTTGGGAGGCTGAGGCAGGAGGGTCACTTGAACCCAGGAGGTGGAGGTTGCAGTGAGCCAAGAACGCACCATTGCACTCCAGCCTGGGTGACAGAGCGAGACTGTGTCTCAAAAATAAAAATAAAAGTTAGCAAGGCGTGTTGGTGTGCACCTGTGGTCCCAGCTACTCAGGAGGCTGAGCTGGGAGGATAACTTGAGCTCACGAGTTCAAGGCTACAGTGAGGCATGATTGGGTCACTGCACACCAGCCTGGGTGATGGAGTGAGACCTTATCTCTTAAAAAAAAAATGTCCTTTTGATTTATGAAGCCTCGGCCCGGCCTGAGCTGTGGTTCCTATTCCTTCTGGCTTTCCCAAGCTTTTCTTGCCCACTGGAAGTTTCACTGGAGGGTAGAGGACTGGCTCTGTAGTTGGGGACCTAATTGATGCTCTGTTTTCTGTAAAGAGGAATTTTTCTAATTGTCACTTAGCAGGGAGCCTGGCTAGGAATGGAATCTGGGGGCATTACTATTGGTTTACCCTCCTGGGGACCCCTCATCTTTGGTCCATGCATATTCTCCTTGGGGTGGCATCCTGTAATTAATGATCTCTTACATATCACAGCACCTCGAAGCTCCCCCAGACACATCCTCATCCAGCCTCTCACTCTGATGCCATCATTGTCTAGGGACACCTCCGCATAGGTCCATACCATGTCTCAAGCTGCTCATCTCAACAACATTTGTGCTCTAGGAGGTGGAGGTGCCCTAGGGGGCTCCTCACCAAGGGAGTGGGCAGGTGATCCCAGCACTTTGGGAGGCTGGGGCAGGTGATCCCAGCACTTTGGGAGGCCGAGGCAGGTGGGTTATTTGAGGTCAGGAGTTCATGATCAGCCTGACCAACATGGTGAAACCCCATTTCTGCTAAAAATACAAAAAAATTAGCCAGGTCTGGTGGTGCATGCCTGTAGTCCCAGCTACTCAGGAGGCTGAAGAGAATCGCTTGAACCTGTAAAGCGGAGCTTGCAGTGAGCCAAGATCATGCCACTGCACTCCAGCCTGGGTGACAGAGTGAGATTTAATAAAAGTGTATGCATTGAATCCATTGGGAGGTTTATCTGTTGGGGGAATGGGAATAACTGGGAATCACACAGACAGAGAGACAGGAGTGGGGCCTTCCATGGGGCCATGATGCCGTGGCCCGTGGGTCTGGGTGGGGGAATGTGATGCACTCTGCCCTCCCCCTAGGCCTCATCCCTCCTGTCTAACTCAGTTGTCCTTACCTGTGGCTCTCAGGCTCCCCTGCAAAGGCACATTGTGGCTGCAGCTTCCAGCTTCCTCAGAAGCAAACATACTTTGGTAATAGCCAAGAGGTCAGGCCGGGCTTGGTGGTTCACTCCTGTAATCCCAGCACTTTGGGAGGCTGAGGATCACGAGGTCAGGAGTTCAAGACCAGTCTGGCCAACATAGTATAACAGTATAATGTATAATAGTCAAATGCATAAAAAAAATTACAATGACAGCAAAAAACCAAAACAAGACCAAAAAAAGACAAATCAAACTTACCTTTCTCCAGTGCTAGATTTCTAGGAGGCCACACTCTTCTCTTCCTGTTCCTCCCCTAAATAAAAATGGAGCACAAAATTATGACTACAGATTTCTTCAAGAAAGACCTGTAGATTCTGTAAGAGCAAGATACTAGAAAGAGAGAATGAGGAAATGAACATTGAAGTCCAGACACAAAACAGGAAAGAGGGAGACTGGCTTCACTCTCTCCTGGTGGGACTGACACAAAAAAGAGTCAGAGGCAAAATTTCCTAAGACTGCTTCCTCTAGGTAATGCTTTATTTTTACCCCCTTCAAGCACTGCAGAGTCAGCATATTCTTTTCTGTGGCTTCAATTCTGCAAGATTCAGGTCTGATAGGAAATCATGTAAACCTGATTAGCAGAGTACAAAGAAAAGAGAGAGGGAGAGGGAGAGGGAAAGAGAATCTCTTGGGAGAACTAAATGCATAGACACAGAAGCAGACTCAGGTGGGCGCAGTACCTCACGCCTGTAATCCCAGCACTGGGAGGCCAAGGCTGGTGGATCACTTGAGATCAGGAGTCCGAGACAAGCCTGGCCAACATGGTGAAACCCACTTGCTACTAAAAATACAAAAATATTAGCCAAGTGGTAGTAGCATGTGCCTGTAAGCCCAGCTATTTGGGAGGCTGAGGAAGGAGAATCGCCGAACCCAGGGGGCAGAGGTTGCAGTAAGCCCAGAACACGCCACTGCACTCCAGCCTGGGCAATAGAGAGACACTCCGTTTCAAAAGAAAAAAAAAATTCACCGGATGTGGTGGCACATGCCTGTGGTCCCAGCTACTCGGGAGGCTGAGGCAGGATAATTACTTGAATGCCAGAGGTGGAGTTTGCAGTGAGCCAAGATCATGCCTCTGCTCTCCAGCCTGGGTGATAGAGCGAGACTCCATCTCAAAAATAAATAAATATATAAATACAGGGGACAGAGACAACAGCATTCCAAGATGAATCAGAGAAAGGATCTGCTGCCCAATTACAAGAAAGCAAAGACAACAGCTGTTTGTGTGTGTGTGTGTGTGTGTGTGTGTGTGTGTGTGTGTGTGTGTGTGTCTGAGACAGGGTCTTGCTCTGTCACCCAGGCTGGAGTGCAGCAGTGCAATCATAGCCCACTGCAGCCTAGAACTCCTGGGCTTAAGCAATCCTCCTACCTCAGCCTCCTGAGTAGCGGGCACTACGGATGCACACCACCATGCCCAGCTAATTTTTTATTTTTTGTAGAAACAGGGTCTCGCTATGTTGCCCAGGCTGACCTTGAACTCATGGCCTCAAGGAATCCTCCCGCACTGGCCTCCCAAAGTGCTGAGATAACAGCCGTGAGCCACCACACTGGGACTGCAGTTTCTTATAAAGTTAAACATATACTTATCATAGGACCCACCAAGGCTGGGCGCGGTGGCTCATGCCTGTAATCCCAGCACTTTGGGAGGCTGAGGCAGGTGGATCACCTGAGGTCAGGAGTTCAAAACCAGCCTAGCCAACATGGTGAAACCCCCGTCTCTACTAAAAATACAAAATTTCCAGGCATGGTGGCACATGCCTGTAATCCCAGCTACTAGGGAGGCTGAGGCAGGAGAATTGCTTGAACCCAGAAGGCAGAGGTTGCGGTGAGCCGAGATTGCGCCATTGCACTCCAGCCTGGGCAGCAAGAGTGAAACTCCATCTCAAAAAATAAAAATTAAAAAAAACCCCAGCAATCCCAATCTTGGAGTTTTATCCAAGAGAAATGAAAACATATTCATAGCAGCTTTATTTGTGACTGCCCAACACGACAAAAAAACCCAAATATTCACCAACAGATAAATAGCTAAACAAATTGTGGTATATCCCTATGATGGAACACTACTCAGTAATAAAAAGAAATGAATTACTGATACATGCTACAACATGGATAAATATTTTAAAAAATATACCAATAGGGCCGGGTGCGGCGGCTTATGCCTGTAATCCCAGCACTTTGGGAGGCCGAGGTGGGTGGATCACGAAGTCAGGAGATTGAGACCATCCTCACCAACATGGTGAAACCCCATCTCTACTAAACATACAAAAATTAGCCGGCCATGGTGGCTTGTGCCTGTAGTCCCAGCTACTCAGGAGGCTGAGGCAGCAGAATCACTTGAACCTGAGTGGTGGAGGTTGCAGTGAGCTGAGATTGGGCTACTGCACTCCAGCCTGGGTGACAGAGCAAGACTCTGTCTCAAAAAAAAATAAAAAATCTAGTTTATCTTCCCTTGAATATGAACTTAGTCCCCTGCTTCTATAAGTAGAATACAATGGAAGTGTTGCTCATGATCTGCCAAAGTTAGGTCATAAAAGATGTTTCCACTTGGCTGTCCTTCCTGGGATGGATGCACTTAGAACCCATTCACCATTTTGTGAGAAAGCCCAGGCCACGTATGGAGGTGATGTGTGGGTGTTCCACCAGATAGCCCCAGCTGAGGCCCTAGCTAACAGCCCACATTAACCAGGAGATATTTGAGCAAGGAAACCATTGAGACTATTCTAACTGCATACTGTTTGAAGGCAACCACATAAAACATACAAAGGCAGAACTGCCTAGGTGAGTCTAGTCAGCCTTCAGTATTGTGAGAAGACTAATAAGCATCATTGTAACTTTATACCATTACGCTTGGAGTGGTTTGTTACACAGCAATAGATAGCTGATATACAAAGTGATCTTCCAATACGAATATTATGTCAGTTCTCCACTTGACAGCATTTAATGATTTAGAATTGAGTGTAAAAGTCAAAACCCAATTCTGAATCCATCTGACAAGGGATTAATAACTAGAGTACATAAAGAGCTCAGGTGGAAAAAAAAATAAATGGGAAAAAATATAATAAACTGATTTTAAAATGGGCAAAAGATCAGAATAGATATTTCTCAAAAGAAGACATACAAATTGCAAACAGATATATAAAAAGGTGCTCAACATCATCGATCATCAGAGAAATGCAAATCAAAACTACAATGAGCTATCATCCTACCCCAGTTAAAATGGCTTATATCCAAAAGACAGGCAATACCAAATGCTATTGAGGATGTGGAGAAAAGGGAACCCTGATACACTGTTGATGGGAACGTAAATTAGTACAACCACTACGGAGAACGGTTTGGAGGGTCCTCAAAAAATGAAAAATAGAGTTACTTTATGATGCAATAATCTTACTGCTAGATATATACCCAAAAGGAAGAAAATCAGTATATTGAAGAAATATCTGCATTTCTATATTTATTACAACACTATTCACAATAGCCAAGATTTGGAAGCAATTTAAGTGTCCATCAACAGGTGAATGGATAGAAAAAATGTGGTATATATACACAATGGAATATTATTCAGCCATGAGAAAGAATATAATCCTGTTATTTGCAACAACATGGGTAGAACTGGAGATCATTATGTTAACTAAAATAAGCCAGACACAGAAAGACAAATTTTGCATGTTCTCAGTCATTTGTGGGTGCTAAGAATTAAAATAATTGAACTTATGAAGATAGAGAACAGGATGATGGTTACCAGAGGCTGGGAAGGGTAGTGGGCTGGAGGGGGTGCACAGGAATGATTAATGGGTACAAAAATACAGTTAGAATGAATAAGATGTAGTATTTGGCAGTACAACAGCATGACTATAGTAAACAATAATTTATTGTATATTTAAAAATAGCTTAAATAGGCCAGGTGTGGTGGCTTATGCCTGTAATCCCAGCACTTTGGGAGGCCAAGGGGGGCTGATAACCTGAGGTCAGAAGTTCAAGACCAGCCTGGCCAACACGGAGAAACCCCATCTCTACTAAAAATACAAAAATTCGCAGGGTGTGGTGGTACATGCCTGTAGTCCCAGCTACTCAGGAGGCTGAGGCAGGGGAATCACTTGAACTGAGGGGGCAGAGGTTGCAGTTAGCCAAGATTGTGCGACTGCACTCCAGTTCCGGTAACAGAGCTGGACTTTGTCTCAAAAAAAAAAAAAAAAAAAAGCATAATTGGAGATTGTTTGTAAAACAAAGAAAGGACAAATGCTTGAGGTGATGGGCATCCCATTCACCCCGATGTGATTATTACACATTACATGCCTGTGTCAAAACGTCTCATGCACCCCATGAATATATACACCTACTGTATATCCACAAAAATTAAAAGTAAAGCATTTTTTAAACCCCCAATCTTGGCCAGATGTAGTGTCCCACACCTGTAATTCCAGTGCTTTTTTAGGCCAGGATGGGAGGATCACTTGGGTCCAGGAGTTTGATACCCACCTAGGCAACATAGCAAGACTGTCATCTCTAATAACAATAAAAAAACTTAGCCAGGCATGGTGGGGCTCAGGCCTATAGTCCCAGCTACTTGGGAGCTGAGATGACAGGATCCCTTGAACCCAGGAGGTTGAGGCTGCAGTGAGCTATGATTGCCCCACTGCACTCCAGCCTGGGTGACAGAGTGAGACCATGTCTCTTAAAAAACAAACCAATCCCAGCATGATCGGACCCTGTCTGCCACCCTCTATTCCTTTCCTCTTGCTCATTGCGCATCAGGCATCTGGGCTTCTTTTCTGCTCCTGTAAATGCCAAGTGGTTTCCCTCTTCAGGACCTTTGCACATGCTCTCCCCTGCCCGAAATGGACTTCCCATACCTCCTGCCATAGCTGGATTTTTCTCATGTTTCAGACCTCAGCTCACACATCATCTCTGCAGAGAAATCCTCCCTCATCCTGTGAAGAGGGAATCATCATCCTTTTCATTGCCTCGTCCTGCCTGGTTCTCTCAAAGCAGATATCACACTCAAAAATCAACTTGTTTTTTATTGAACTGCTTGTCTGCATGTCCTCCTCCCAAACTCATGGCAAATCAGAACAGAGGCTCCCTATGGCAGGAGTCCTATCTTGTTCATTCTCAGAACCTAATATAGTACTTGGCACATAGTAGGCACACAACAAATGTCATTAGAATGAATAAGTATCAAGGGGCCAGGCACAGTGGCTCATGCCTGTAATCCCAGCCCTTTGGGAGGCCGAGGCAGGTGAATCACCTCAGGTCAGAAGTTCGAGACCAGCCTGGCCAACATGGTGAAACCTTGTCTCTGCTAAAAATACAAAAGTTAGCTGGGCATGGTGATGCACACCTGTAATCCCAGCTACTTGGGAGGCTGAGGCAGGAGAACTGCTTGAATTTGGGAGGCAGAGGTTGCAGTGGGCCAAGATTGGGCCACTACACCCCAGCCTGGGTGACAGAGTGAGATTCCATCTCAAAAAAAAAAAAAAAAAAAAAAAGAATGAATGCATAAGTATCAAGGAAGGGAGATTTTGTGATTTGCCACCTTTACATGGAAAGCCTACTTAACATTGACATTTTCTATTTGATGGTATTTTTATAATAGGAAATTGAAACTGAGCTAATTAAAAAAGAATAAGGCTGGGCATGTTGATTTATGCCTGCAATTCCAGCACTTTGGGAGGCTGAAGAGGGAGGATCACTTGAGGGTAGCAGTTTCAGACCAGCGTGGGCAACATACAGAGACCCCTGTCTCTGTAAAAACAACTTTTTTTTTTTTTTGAGATAGAATTTCGCTCTCGTTGCCCAGGCTGGAGTGCAGTGGCATGATCTCAGTTCACCAACCTCTGCCTCCCAGGTTCAAGCAATTCTCCTGCCTCAGCCTCCCAAATAGCTGGTACTACAGGCATGCACCACCACACCTGGCTAATTTTGTATTTTTAGTAGAGATGGGGTTTCTCCATGTTGGTCAGGCTGGTCTGGAACTCCCGACCTCATCTGATCCACCTGTCTTGGCCTCCCAAAGTGCTGGGATTACAGGCATGAGCCACCTCACCTGGCCAAAAATAACTTTTAAAAAATAAACCAGGTGTGCCAGGTGCAGTGGCTCATGTCTGTATTCCCAGCACTTTGGGAGGCTGAGGGGGGCAGATCACCTGAGGTCAGGAGTTCGAGACCAGCCTGGCCAGCATGGTGAAACGTCATCTCTACTAAAAATACAAAAATTAGCTGGGCATGGTGGCAGGCACCTGTAATCCCAGCTACTCAGGAGGCCGAGGCACAAGAATCACTTGAACCCGGGAGGCAGAGTTTGCAGTGAGCTGATATCAGGCCATTGCACTCCAGCCTAGACAACAAGAGTGAAACTCCATCTTGAAAAAAAAATTAACCAGATGTGGTGGCACATGCCTGTAGTCCCAGCTCCTCCAGAGGCTGAGGTGGGAGGATCACTTGAGCCCAGGAGATAGAGGCTGCAGTGAGCCATGATTGCCCCACTGTACTCCAGCCTGAGCAACAGAGTTAGACCTTATCTCTGAAATAAACAAAAACAAAAAAAAGGCCAGGCGCGGTGGCTCACACCTGTAATCCCAGCACTTTGAAAGGCTGAAGTGGGTGGATTACCTGAGGTCAGGAGTTCAAGACCAGCCTGGCCAACATGGTGAAACCCTGTCTCTACTAAAAAATACAAAAATTAGCCGGGCATGGTGGCAGGCACCTGTAATCCCAGCTACTCAGGAGGCTGAGGCACAAGAATTGCTTGAACCCGGGAGGCAGAGGTTGCAGTGAGCAGAGATCATGCCACTGCACTCCAGCCTGGGCAACAGAGCAAGACTCCATCTCAAAGAAAAAACAAAACAAAAACACTAAAAAGAACATTTCAGCTCTTGTCAAGAGACTGGACATGGAAGGGCAAGAGTTGGAGCAGGACATCTGGTGAGGAGCTGCCACATCAACATCTTTTGATCACCCCAGGCCACGTTTTGAGTGGGGCCTCTACTAGAATGTGGCCCAGCCTCAGATGCCTTAATTCTGACACTCAGTGCCGGTAGAGGCCCTGTGAGGTCACACTGTGGAGGCTTCTTGGGAAAGTGTTGGCTCTAAAATCAACATCTTGTTTCATTCCTTTGATGCTGGAGACAATGACCTCTGTCTCCTCATATGTCTGCTCAAGACTGTTACAAACAGGGTGGAGTGTCTCTTAGTCTAGGAGCTTGGGCTGCTCTGGAGTTTGCACAAACACAAATAATCATCACAGGCTCTCAGGCCATGTGTCTTGGTTATGACACAAAACAGCCCTTCAGCAGTGGACGTCTACATACTGGAAGTTCCCAAACACCTCTTTTTTTAAAAAAAAATATAGAGACAGGGTATCACTATGTTGCCCAGGCTGGTCTCGAATTCCTGGCCTCAAGAGATCCTCCTGCCTCAGCCTCCCAAAGTGCTGGGATTACAGGTGTGAGCCACTGAGTCTGGCCCTTTTTTGTTGTTGTTTTTAGACAGGGTCTTGCTCTGTCACGCAGGCTGGAGTGCAGTGGCATGATTACAGCTCACTGCAGCTTCAAATTCCTGGGCTAAAGTGATCCTCCTGCCTCACCCTCCTGAGAAGCTGGGACCACAGGCATACAGCCACACCCAGCTAAGTAAAAAAAAAAAAAAAAAAATTTCTGGAGACAAGGTCTCACTATATTGACCAGGCTGGTCTTGAACTCCTGATCTAAAGCCATCCTCCTGCCTCCGCCTCCCACCTTGAACCCCTCTTTTCCCCAGTTTGAAAATGAAATCCACACTTTGAGAAGGAGGAACAAATGGGGAAGACAGGAAGCCAAGAAGCCAACCAGGCTTGCCTGACTAAACACTAAATCCCTCACATTGGTTTTACTTCAATGATACAGCTAATTAAGGGTTGTTGATTTTTTTAAGTTCCTATTTGGCAAGTGAACAGTTTCTTCCTCAGTAAATTTGAACATCAAGTATCTGTTCTGTGATTGAATGAAGCAAATATTTTACACATGGGAAACAATTGTTAAATGATTGTATTATAGAAAGGGATGAACGGGACGGGGGCAATGCAGAGGCGGATGTCAGTGCCTGTGTCCCTGTGCTCCCCACCCACCTCCTCTGTCCCTGCTCCCCATGGTGTTTGTCAAGGGGCATAGTGCGCTGAAGGAGGGGTTACCAGGTGGAATATCCAGAAGACATCATTCTCGGCTACATGGAATCCACTTACTTTGATCTAATTTCTTTACTCATAGAATTCATTAAACATTCACATCAGCAGCTTCTGAATATCTAAGCCAATTGTTAAACATAGTGATGTTACTGGATTCTTAAAACAAGCTGGAGGCCGGCCGGGCACAGTGGCTCACACCTGCAATCCTAACACTTTGGGAGGCTGAGGGTGGATCATCTGAGGTCAGCAGTCAGAGACCAACCTGGCCAACATGGCGAAACCCCATCTTTACTAAAAAAAATACAAAAAAATTAGCCGGGCATGGTGGCAGGCCTGTAATCCCAGATACTCTGGAGGCTGAGGCAGGAAAATCGCCGGAACCCTGGGGTCAGAGGTTGCAGTTAGCCGAGATCGCACCACTGTACTCCAGCCTAGGTGATAGAGCGAGACTCCGTCTCAGAAAAAAGCAAAACAAGTTAGAGAAGGGTTTTTTTTTTAACTTCATTTTGAAATTGTGAAGACAGGCAGTGAGAGTGAGTGAGTTGTCCAAATTCAGGCCGCAAGCTGGAGAGCATGCGATTCCTGGCCTTTTGCAGCCAGAGTGTGTGGGCCAGCTGTGTGGTGGTGTGCACTCCCCTCTCCGTCTGGTATATGGCAGTATATATGGTATATACGGTATATGGCACTACCATATACCAGGTCTGGCCTTGTCACCTGGAGACCTGGGAGTCTTCTTTTGTTTTCCCTGACTTTTGTCACCAGATCTGCTTACTTACAAGTCCCGTTGGTTGTGCCCCTCCCAGCCTTTCCCGTCTTCCTCCTTTTTATCTTGGTCATTATTTCAACCCAGCTAGAATCATATCTGGCCCAGATTACTGCATTAGTTCCTAGTTGGAGTCCTTTAAACTCTCTTTTTTAAAAAAAGATGGCTGAACATGTGGTTCCTGCCTGTAATCCAAGCACTTTGGGAAGCTGAGGCAGGAGGATCACTTGAGGCCAAGAGTTCAAGACAACCCTGGGCATCAGAGTGAGACCCCCATCTCTACAAAAAAAATTTAAAGTTATCTGGGTAAAGGAAATAATGTATACAGTGGTCCATTTCCAAGACAAAGTGCCTTAAATCAGATTAGGTCAGCAAACTACAGAAGAAACAGGGTATACACGGCTCGGCATGGTGACTCACACCTGCAATCCCAGCACTATGGGGGGCCGAGGTGGGTGGATCATGAGGTCAGGAGATCAAGACCATCCTGGCTAACACGGTGAAACCCCGTATCTACTAAAAACACACACAAAAAAATAGCTGGGCGTGGTGGCGGACACATGTAATACAAGCTACTCAGGAGGCTGAGGCAGGAGAATGGCATAAACCTGGGAGGCGGAGGTTGCAGTGAGCCGAGATTGCGCCACTGCACTCCCACCTGTATGACAGAGCAAGACTCCATCTTAAAAAAACAAACAAAAAAAACCACCTAAAGCTCCTACCCAACAACCAATAGGTGACATCCAGGAAGATTGTGACCCCATAGTACTCAGCCTATGTATAAGGAAATGGGAGGGACCTGCACACAAGAGGATAAATTGCTTGTTGAAACTGTTCTGAGTGTGCCTGCCTATCAGACACCCGATCCTGCAAGACCATCGTTAAAAGTCTTACTTTCGCTCTTCTCTGGGTATCCGAGTCCATTCTTTGTGTTTGGACAGGGGAGATTGTTTCTCACACTGGGCGCGGTGGTGCAACCTCCACCTCCCGGGTTCAAGTGATTCTCCCTTCCTCAGCCTCCCGAGTAGCTGGGACTACAGGCACCCACCACCATGCCCAGCTAATTTTTGTATTTTTAGTAAAGACGGGGTTTTACCATGTTGGCCATGCTGGTCTTGAGCTCCTGATCTCAGGTGATCTGCCTGCCTCAGGCTCCCAAAGTGCTGGGATTACAGGTGTGAGCCACCGCCCCTGGCCCAGTTGTGAAGTCTTATACAGAGTATCAGTCAGTCAATGTTATTCCCTGGTTTTGAATGTATTTGTTTTACTTCAATAGTAAGTTGCTGGGCACGGTTGGTCACGCCTCTAATCCCAGCATTTTGGGAGGCTGAGGCAGGTGGATCACTTGAGGTCAGGAGTTTGAGACCAGCCTGGCCAACATGGTAAAACACTGTCTCTACTAAAAATACAAAAATTAACCAGGCACAGTGGTGGGTGCCTGTAATCCCACCTACTTGGGAGAGTTTGAGGCAGGAGAATCACTCAACCCAGGAGGCGGAAGTTGCAGTGAGCTGAGATCATGCCACTGCGCTCCAGCCTGGGGGATAGAGTGACACTCTGTCTCCAGGAAAAAAAAAAAGAAGGGAAGTTGTATCTAGAGGAATTAAATGAAATTTGATGCTAAGAGATAAAGGGAGAAAATTGAGAGTGTAAAGAAGCAACATTTAAAGAGTTTAGCTGGTGTTTTTATCAGAAATAGTGTTTCTTGGACTCTTCTCCATTAAAAAAGTGGCCAGGTATAGTGACTCATTCCTGTAATCCTAACAATTTGGGAAGCCAAGGCAGGAGAAAAGCTTGAGGCCAGGAGTTCAAGACCCAGCCTGGGCAACATAGCAAAACTCCGTTGCTCCAAAAAGGATGTTTTTCAGATTAGCCGAGTGCAGTGGCACACACCTGTAGTCCCAACTTCTTGGGAGGTTGAGGTGTGAGGATCACTTGAGCCCAGGAGGCAGAGGTTACAGTGAGCCAAGATCTCACCACTGCACTCCAGCCTGGGTGATAGAGCAAGGCCCTGGCTCTAAAGGAAATTTTAAAGATTGCCCTTGGAATTAAGATTAATATGTATTCCCTGTGGTTTCCAGGGTATCAAGAAAAAAAAAAAGGAGGCAGAAAGACAGAGAAGAAGAAAAGGAAAATTTGAGCAAGAATGGAAGAAGGGCTGTTTGTGGTGGCTCATGCCTATAATTTCAGCACTTTGGGAGGCCTAGACGGGCGGATCACCTGAGGTCAGGAGTTCGAGACCAGCCTGACCAACATGGCAAAACCCCATCTCCACTAAAAATACAAAAATTAGCAGGCATGGTGGTGGGTGCCTGCAATCCTAGCTACTCAGGAGGCTGAGGCAGGAGAACCATTTGAAAACAGGAGGCGGAGGTTGCAGTGAGCTGAGATCATGCCATTGCACTCCATCCTGGGTGACAGAGCAAGATTCTGTCTCAAAAAAAAAAAAAAAAGTTGTCTGAGCCCGGGTGCAGTGTTTCATGCCTATAATCCCAGCACTTGGGGAGGCTGAGGCAGGCAGATCATTTGAGGTCAGGAGTTTGACACCAGCCTGGCCAACATGGTGAAATCCCATCTCTACTAAAAAATACAAAAATTAGTTGGGCATGGCAGTGGGTGCCTGTAATCCTAGCTACTTGGGAGGCTGAGGAA
This sequence comes from Homo sapiens, assembly GCF_000001405.40. Lineage (NCBI taxonomy): Eukaryota > Metazoa > Chordata > Mammalia > Primates > Hominidae > Homo > Homo sapiens. The sequence continues at coordinate 65,020,641 of NC_000007.14, forward strand.
GGGAGAATCACTTGAACCCAGGAGGTGGAGGTTGCAGTGAGCTAAGATCGCGCCATTGCTCTCCAGCCTGGGTGATGAGTAAAACTCTGTCTCGAAAAAAATTAAAATAAAAATAAGTCAGTAAAATAAATAAATAAAAATACAAAAATTAGCTGGGCGTGGTGGTGGACACCTGTAATCCCAGCTACTTGGAAGGCTGAGGCAGGAGAATCACTTGAACCCGGGAAATGGGAGGTTGCAGTGAGCCAAGATAGCTCCATTGCACTCCAGCCTGGGCAACAAGAGTGAAACTCCATCTCAAAAAAAAAAATTTTTTTAAATATATATATAGTGAGAGAGAGACAGAGAAAGTTTACCTCTACTTGATGAGCCAAGTCTCTTCAGTGTGTGAAAAATAAATGCTTTTTTTTTTCAGGCACCCCAGACTTCTGGGAAAGGACCTTGGAGCTGTGCCCAAGCATCCCAGCCTTTGCCCTCAATTGCAAACAGAGTGGAGTGTCTCTTAGCTAAGAAGTTTGTGCTGCTCAAGGGTTTGCACAAATACAAAGTTGAGAAATACTCCTTGCTGAAAGGGGTGTAAAAGGCAAAGGACAAACCGGTTGTCCTCTGAAGTGGAGACATTTCTATTCTATGTTGGGCTATGATCTTGGAGAATGCAGGCAAGGAACGAGTTTCGCTGGTTTTTCAGTGAGAGACCCCTTGTAGTAAGAGAGGCTCTTCTCTCTCTACCTGGTGAGTTATTTTCATCTCTTTGGTACCCATTTCCTCATGTTTAAACTTAGGAGTGAAACCACACGTCCCCTAAGATCCTTTTCTCTTAGCTGTTCTGTGAGTTAATTAATGAGATTTGTTTTCCCATTAGCATATATCCAAAAAGGTAATCAGGATAGGTTTTCCATGTTTCCTGGAATCTTGTAATTGCCCCAAATGAAGTGGGAGTATTTGGAGGAGAATCCCTTCCTTGCTTCCTTTATTTCATTTTTAGAGACAAAATCTCTCTGTCACCCAGGCTGGAGAGCAGTGGTGCAATCCTGGCTCACTGCAACCTCCAATTCTTGGCCTCAAGTGATGCTCCCATCCCAGCCTCTGGAGTAGCTGGGACAACAGGCTCACACCACCATGCCGAGCTATTTTTTTTTTTTTTTGAGACCGAGTCTCGCTCTGTCGACCAGGCTGGAGTGCAGTGGCGTGATCTCGGCTCACTGCCTCACTGCAAGCTCCGCCTCCCAGGTTCACGCCATTTTCCTGTCTCAGCCTCCTGAGTAGCTGGGACTACAGGCACCCGCCACCATGCCCAGCTAATTTTTTGTATTTTTAGTAGAGACAGGGTTTCACCATGTTAGCCAGGATGGTCTCGATCTGCTGACCTTGTGATCCGCCCGCCTCGGCCTCCCAAAGTGCTGGGATTACAGGCGTGAGCCACCACACCCGGCCAACCAGCTAATTTTTAAAATTATTTTGTTGAGACAGGGTCTCACTATGTTGCCCAGGCTGGTCTCAAACTCCTGGCCTCAAGTGATCCTTCTGCTGCAGCCTCCCAAAGTGCTGGGATTACAGGCATGAGACATTGTGCCTGGCCCTTCATTGCTTTTTAATAACCTTAATTCTTTTGAATATCTTTAGAACTACAGTGGTTTTGTCTTTTGAGGCTAGAGTTGATTTCCATAAATAGTCATTTTGAGCCAGGTCTTTTGAATAAAGTGAGTGGCCAGAGAAGATGCCACAACTTTGGCGAAAAGAGTTTCCCAAGGATTACACCATGAACTCTAAAATGCTGTGTGCCGGTCACTGGGCCACAGTTCACTCTTCTTGCCAAATTCAGAATTGCAGATGAGAACTTTATTTTATTTTATTTTATTTATTTATTTAATTTTTTAGACAGAGTCTTGCTCTGTCACACAGGCTGGAGTGCAGTGGTGTGATCTCAGCTCACTGCAACCTCCGCCTCCCGGGTTCAAGAGATTCTCCTGCTTCAGCCTCCCATGTAACTGGGATTACAGGCATGTGCCACCATGCCCAGCTAATTTTTGTAGTTTATTTATTTATTTATTTATTTATTTTTTGAGATGGAGTCTTGCCCTGTCACCCCAGCTGGAGTGCAATGGTGCGATCTCAGCTCACTGCAACCTCTACCTCCTGGGTTCAAGTGATTCTCCCTGCCTCTGACTCCTGAGTAGCTGGGATTACAAGTGCCCACCACCACACCCGGCTAATTTTTGTATTTTTATTAAAGACAAGGTTTCACCATGTTGGCCAGGCTGGTCTCAAACTCCTGATCTCAAGTGATCCGCCCGCCTTGGCCTCCCAAAGTGCTAGGATTACAGGCATGAGCCACGGCACCTGGCCTAATTTTTGGACTTTTAGTAGATACAGAGTTTCACCATGTTGGTCAGGCTGGTCTCCAACTCCTGACCTCAAATGATCTGCCCACCTTGGTCTCCCAAAGTGCTGGGATTACAGGCATGAGCCACTGTGCCCGGCCGATTTTTTCTGATATCAAAGGAATCACCAAGGTCTTCCCTTTCTTTTGATTCATTTATTTTCTTGGTTCTGAAATATTTTTTAAAATATGGAATGCTTCATGAATTTGTTTGTCATCCTTTCACAGGGACTATGCTTATCTTCTCCATGTCATGCCAATTTTTGTATATGTGCTGCCGAAGTGAGCACTGGTTCTGGATTGATTGATTGATTTGTTTGTTTATCTGTTTTTGAGACAGGGTTTCACTGTGTCTTCCAGGCTGGAATACTGTGGTATTATCGTGGCTCACTGCAACCTCTGCCCCCCAGGGCTCAAGCAGTCCTCCTGCATGGGCCTCCCAAAGTGTTGAGATTACAGGCATGAGCCACTGTGCCCAGCCTGGAATGTTTAACTGCTGACTTTGATGCCTGGTTTTGGTTGTACTAGACATTCCCACTACTTTTTTCTTTAAAAAGTACTGGTTTCTTTAGCTCCTTAAAAAGATCTTTGGTGTTTTATATATCAAAATATGTGAGGCCAGGTGTGGTGGCTCATGCCTGTAATCCCAGCATTTGAGGAAGCCAAGGTGGGAGGATCTCTTGAGCCCAAGAGTTCAAAACCAGTCTGGGCAACATAGTGAGACCCCTGTCTGTATAAGAACTAAAAAATTAGCTGGGCACGATGGTGCATGCATGTAGTCCCAGCTCTTGGAAGGCTGAGGCAGGAAGATCGCGTAAGCCCAAGAGGGTGAGGCTATAGTGAGCCATGATCATGACACTGCAGTCCAGCTTGGGTGACAGAGTGAGACCCTGTCTCAAAAAAAAAAAAAAGATTAATAATTGCAGAAACATTTTCTATGCTCCAGATTACTTTAAAAATTGGACCTAATCTTGGCCAGGCATGGTGGCTTACACCTGTAATCAGCACTTTAGGAGACCAAGGCAGGTGGATCACTTGAGGTCAGAAGTTGGAGACCAGTCTGGCCAACATGATGAAAGCCTGTGGGTGAAAGTAAAGTTGGGTGCAGTGGCTCTCCCTGGATTCCTTGATGCTTTTAATACCCTGAGTCCTCTACCCCACTCTGAGCCACACTGACACTTGTGCACCAAGGTGCGTGGTGTGGCCCCAGTGCCCACAGGATCGCTTGTAAGAACTGCTCCTTCAGCCCCCACCTGTGGCCTTTCCTCCAGGGTGAAGTCTGGTTCCTGATGTTCACACCATGCTCCTTCTCACCAGGGTGCACGGGCATCACTGCCTACAAAACATTTGATTGAAACCTGTTCCTTGGGGGGCCACCTTACCTGTCCAGGATGGCTTTCTCTGAAGCCAGTTCTCCCACCACAGTGGGAAGTAAAGAAAATTATGAAAATTGGCCAGGCATGGTGGCTCATGCCTGTAATCCCAGCACTTTGGGAGGCCAAGTGGGACAGATCACTCAAGGTCAGGAGTTCGAGACCAGCCTGGCCAACATGGCAAAACCTGGTCTCTAATAAAAATACAAAAAATTAGTCAGGCATAGTGGTGTGCACCTGCAATCCCAGCTTCTCAGGAGGCTGAGTCAGGAGAATTGCTTGAGCCTGGGAGGTAGAGGTTGCAGTGAGCTGAGATCATGTCACTGCACTCCAGCCTGTGCGACAGAGCAAGAGACTCTGTCTCAAAAAAAAAAAAAAAAAAAAAGAAAAGAAAAGAAAAAGAAAATTATGAACACTCTCTCTTGAATACATGGGCATCTCCTGAACAGGGAGGTGGTTGAGGGGAGGTCCTGGCAGGTGGGACAGGGAATCCTGGCAGAGCAGCAGCTGGGACTTCAGTGTATTCAGTGTCTGGACCACAATGGTTCCCTTTGTCACAAGTATCCATCTACATTCACTGACTTATATGGGGGAACCTGGGGAAAAACCAGTGATATGGTTTGGCTGTGTCCCCACCCAAATCTCATCTTTAATTTTAGCTCCCATAATCCCCACATGTTGTGGCAGGGACCCAGTAGGAGGTAATTGAATCATGGGAGTGTGTTTTTCCCATGCTGTTCTCATTGATAGTGAATAAGTCTCAGGAGATCTGTTAGTTTTATAAAAGGGCAGTTCCCCTGCACATGCTTTCTTGCTTGCCACCATGGAAGATGTGCCTTTGGTCTTCCTTTGCCTTTGGTCATAATTGTGAGGCCTCTCCAGCCATGCTGAACAGAGTCCATTAAACCTCTTTCCTTTATAAATTACCCAGTCTCAGGTATGTCTTTGTTAGCAGTGTGAGAATAGATGAATACAATCAACTTCAACAGCTTAAGTGGGTCTAGCCACCACTCCAGAAGAGATACAGGATTATAAACCATGGTGGCATCCACACAGTGCTAACTCAGCATATGTGCAGAGTATATGAACTGTGGGGCTATGGTGGGCTCCACCTAGATTTCTTTCTTTTTTCTTTTTGAGATAGAGTCTTGCTCTGTTGCCCAGGCTGGAGTGCAGTGGCTCGATCTCAGCTCACACTGCAAGCTCCACCTCCCAGGTTCACACCATTCTCCTGCCTCAGCCTCCCAAGTAGCTGGGACTACAGGTGCCTGCCACCACACCCGTCTAATTTTTTGTATTTTTAGTAGAGACGGGGTTTCACTGTGTTAGACAAGATGGTCTCGATTTTCTGACCTCGTGATCCACCCGCCTCGGCCTCCCAAAGTGCTGGGATTATAGGCATGAGCCACCGCTCCCAGCCCTCCACCTAGATTTCAAAACATGTATTGAACAGCTGGGTGCCTCAGGCAGAAGTTTGTCACAGAGGTGGAGCTCATGCCTGTAATCCCAGCACTTTGGGAGGCCGAGGAGGGTGGATCACGAGGTCAGGAGATCGAGACCATCCTGGCTAACATGGTGAAACCCCATCTCTCCTAAAAAAAAAAAAAAAAAAAAAAAAATTAGCTGGGCGTGGTGGCGGGCACCTGTAGTCCCAGCTACTCAGGAGGCTGAGGCAGGTGAATGGTGTGAACCCAGGAGGCAGAGCTTGCAGTGAGCCGAGATATAGCCACTGCACTCCAGCCTGGGTGACAGAGCGAGACTCCATCTCAAAAGAAAAAAAAAAAAAAAACTTAGCTGGGTGTGATGTCGGGCACCTGTAATCCCAGCTACTCAGGAGGCCAAGGCAGGAGAATCGCTTGAAATCAGGAGGTGGAGGTTGCAGTGAGCCGAAATTGTGCCATTGCACTCCAGCCTGGGCAACGAGCAAAACTCCGTCTCAAAAAAAAAAAAAAAAAAAAAAAAGTGGCCGGGCGTGGTGGCTCATGCCTGTAATCCCAGCACTTTGGGAGGCCGAGGAGGGCGGATCACGAGGTCAGGAGATCGAGACCATCCTGGCTAACATGGTGAAACCCCGTCTCTACTAAAAATACAAAACATTAGCTGGGTGTGGTGGCGGGAGCCTGTAGTCCCAGCTACTCGGGAGGCTGAGGCAAGAGAATGGCGTGAACCCGGGAGGCGGAGCTTGCAGTGAGCCGAGATCCTGCCACTGCACTCCAGCCTGGGAGACAGGGCTAGACTCCGTCTCAAAAACAAAAACAAAGAAAGAAAATGTCTGCCTTATATCTGTCCTACCATTGAATTTTGGAGGCACCTTTTTTTTTTTTTTAAATTTCACAGGCTCACAGCTGTTGCCTCAGAATGAATTGTGCGGTGGGTCTCATCCATATCTGATTTAGATAGGACTCTGAACTTTAAACTTTTGAGTTGGTCCTGAAACAAATTAAGACTTTTGCAGCTATTGGGATGGAATGAATGTATTTTGCAGGTGAGAAGGACATGAATTTGGGTGGTTGGGGCAGAATGCTATGGTTTGAATATATCCTCCAAAGTTCATGTGTTGGAAACTTAATCCCCAATGCAACAATGTTGAGCGGTGCAACCTTTAAGAGATAATTAGGTCAGGAAGACTTTGCCTTCAGGAATGGATTAATGTTGTTATGGTGGGAGTGGGGTTCATTATGATGCGAGCGAGTTTCTTATGAAGGATGAGTTCTGCCCCCTTCCTGCTCTCTCTCACCATGTGATACTTTCTGCCATTGTCTGATATAGCAAGAAGGCCCTCACCAGATGTAGCCCCTCTACTCAGACTTCCCAACCTCCAGAACCCTGAGTCAAATAAATTTCTGTTCATTATAAATTACCTGTTATAGCAGCACAGGATGAACACAAGTGCCTCTGAATTATTCACCCTGGAGAGAAGAAACTGGTTTAAAAAATGCAGATATTTTAGTGTCTCCCAGAGCTCTGAATCTAAATCTCTGGATATCTAAACCTCTGGACATGTAATTTTTAACAATTTTCCTGGTGATTCTTAAGCACTTCAAATTTGAGAACTGCTGCTCTATACCCAATATCATTTTAACCTGGAAAATATGCACTCACCAACCGTTCAATGTTATTACCTGAGTTTGCCTGATCTTAAAGGTCACTAGAGGGCTTGATAAAAAACCAAACACCGAATGTTCTCACTCATAGGTGGGCACTGAACAATGAGAACACATGGACACAGGAAGGGGAGCATCACACACCGGGGCCTGTTGTGGGGTGGGGGGAGGGGGGAGGGATAGCATTAGGAGATATACCTAATGTTAAATGACGAGTTAATGGGTGCAGCACACCAACATGGCACACGTATACATATGTAACAAATCTGCACGTTGTGCACATGTACCCTAAAACTTAAACTGTAATAAAAAAATAGAACTAAGAAGTTACATAGTATAATATGCCATGAAAGTAAATGTATTTAATAAGGGAAGAAATGGAAAATATCAAATAAAGCAATATAATAATTTCAAAAAAAATACATATATATATACATTGTTAGGTAGCTCTGCTGGTGGCAATCATGAATAAAACAAAGCCCAAGAGTTTACATTTATTTATTTATTTGCTCTTTTTGAAATGGAGTCTCTGTCACCCAGGCTGAAGTGCAGTGGTGTGATCTCAGCTCACTGCAACCTCCACCTCCTGGGTTCAAATGATTCTCTGGCCTTAGCCTCCTGAGTGGCTGGGATTACAGATGCCCGCCAACATGCCCAACTAATTTTTGTATTTTTAGTAGAGACAGGGTTTCACAATGTTGGCCAGGCTGGTCTCAAACTCCTAACCTCAGGTGATCCACCCAACTTGGCCTCCCAAATTTCTGGGATTCGAGGTGTGAGCCACCATGCCCAGCCAAGAATCTACATTTAAATGCAGTTGTTAAATGTTCTTCTAAGTAACTGTGTACACATTTATCTATTTTGTGGAATTACTGGAAGATAGATCACTTACATTTTGGATAGCTTTAGCCCAGTATGATAATTTTAGTTTTTGAATAGCAGTTTATTTTAAGCCATTGCTTCCAGAAGAATTTAATCTGATCCAATGTTGCATTTTTCTTTCACCCATAGAGACAAGAATGAAGATAATAGCTATAGCATTTATTGAACATTAACTATGTGCCTGTCACCATGTAACTGATTCTCCTCAAACCCTCAGAGGCATGGACCACTGTACTACTGCCATCCCCATTTTATGGAGAAGATACTGAGGCAAAGGGGAGTTAAGTACCTTGCTAGGCACAGGCAGTTATTAACGCGGTAGAGCTGGGATTCCAAACCATTCTTGTAAGCAACGCAACACTGCGTCTCTGGACTTAATCCAGACCAATTTCTCTGATGCTCAAAAGTTGCCTGCATTAAATGCGCTTTTGTGAAATTCCTTCCTTCCTTCCTTCTTTTTTTTTTTTTTGTTTTGTTTTGAGATGGAGTCTCTCTCTGTCACCCAGGCTGGAGTGCAATGGCACAAAGTCCGCTTACTGTAACCTCCACCTCCTGGTTCAAGCGATTCTCCTGCCTCAGCCTCCCGAGTAGCTGCAATTATGGGTGCCCACCACTACACTCGGCTAATTTTTGTATTTTTAGTAGAGACAGGGCTTCATCTTGTTGGCCAAGCTGGTCTCAAACTCATGACCTCAGGTGATCTGCCTGCTTTGGCCTCCCAAAGTGCTGGGATTACCGGCGTGAGCCACCACGCCCGGCCAAAATATATTTCTTATATAAAAGAGAAAGTTTTCCTTGTGTTGTGTTCTACTCATGGTTAAAATGTTCCTAAAATGGGCCTTGTTGTTTTCTCTTCTTCTTCTCTAGAGCAGCTAGAAAGAAAGACACTTGTTCTTAACCCAAAGAGGCCTCTTCTAAAAATGTTTTCTATATTGGTGAGACTAATTAAACTGGAAAAGTTCATCAACTAAATGATGAAACAAGGTAAAGCCTTTTGTTAATTATTTTTGAATAATTTATTCCTGGCCTGCCACCGTGGCTCACGCCTATAATCCCAGCATTTTGGGAGGCTGAGGTGGGAGGATCACGAGGTCAAGAGATCGAGACCATCCTGGCCAACATGGTGAAATCCTGTCTCTACTAAAAGTACAAAAATTAGCTCAGTGTGGTGGCACATGCCTGTAATCCCAGCTACTCGGGGGGCTAAGAAGGGAGAATCACTTGAACCTGGGAGGTAGAGGTTGCAGTGAGCTGAGATGGTGCCACTGCACTCTAGCCTGGCGATAGAGTGGGACTCCGTCTCAAAAAAAAAATTATTCCTGGGCTCCCTATGACTTGTTGAGGAATTGCAAGATACTGGGAAGTCTCTAATTAGGGAGTTTTAGAATAAACAGAAGTATAAACATTCATAGGAGTTAGATTTGAAGACAACTGCTTTTAACACACAGACCCACCAGGAAGTGAGCATCTTGGTGGGGTTTATTTATTATGTGTTTTACTTTGAACAGAGAACATGCACGTTCATTAGCTCAAAAGTGTTCTTGTCCTCGCATAGTGAAGGAAATGTGTGCAAGATAAGGATGAATGTGGTATGCAGGGAGATCCAGGCACGGCTGGCGTTTGGCTTTGCTGATGGCTGCAATGTGGACTGTGGACTGTGGGCAAATTAACTCACCACTTTTTGAATGGCCTTTAGAGAGGAAATCCTAAAAAGATTCCAGGACTTGCAGCAGCCACACAGGAGATTGAGTATTCAAGGGAATAGAATGCTGAAGAACACAGAGACAGTTAGGTTAACTAAAGAAGATGAAAAATTAGTCTGGGCTCAGTGCTTCATACTTGTAATCCCAACACTGTGGGAGGCTGAGGCAGGAGCATCACTTGAGCCCAAAAGGTTGAGGCTGGCCTGAGTGACATAGTGAGACCCCCATCTTTACAAAAAATAAAAAGAAATCAACTGGGTACGGTGGCACGCACATGCGGTCACAGCTACTCAGGAGGCTGAGGTGGGAGAATCGCTGGAGCCTGGGGAGGTGAGACCCTGTCAAGGAGGAAGAGGAGGATGAAGAGGAAGAAGGAGGAGGAGGGGGAAGAGGAGGAGGAAGAAGGAATAGAAGAAGAGCTGGGTGCGGTGGCTCATGCCTGTAATCCCAGCACTTTTGGAGGCTGAGGCGGGCAGATCATGAGGTCAACAGATCAAGACCATCCTGGCCAACATGATGAAACCCTATCTATACTAAAAATACAAAAATTAGCTGGGCATGGTGGCTTGTGCCTGTAGTCCCAGCTATTCAGGAGGTTGAGGCAGGAGAATCACTTGAACCCAGGAAGCAGAGGTTGCAGTGAGCTGAGATTGTGCCACTGTGCTCCAGTCTGGTGACAGAGGGAGACTCCATCACTAAAAAAAGAAAGAAGAAGGAGAAGGAGTAGGAGAAGAAGAAGAAGAAGAAATGGTCTCTGAGCAGCCATGAAGAGTAGGAAGATAACCCAACCTACCTCTCACTGGGTCTATGGGGAAAATATTGATTAAGGCAGAGCAGGTCTTCACAGAGAGACTAGGTTTGGTGAGTAAGAGATTCAAAAAGCTAGAAGGGAATGAGGATATTTAAGTTACTCTTATTGCATAATATATAACCACAAAACTTTAGGTGCTTAAAATAATCTTTTTTTTTTTCATGGTTCTGGGAGTTGACTGGGTTCAGGTAGGTGATTTTCACTCGAGGTGTCTCATGCTGTTGCAGTGGCTGGGGCTGGAATCTTCACAAAGCCTTCTTCAGTCCCATGTCTGGCAACTGATGTTGGCTGTCATCTGAAACCTGTGCTGGGACTGTTGATTGGAACATCAAAATGTGGCCTCTCCCTGTGATCTGGGCTTCCTCACAGCATGGTAGCTGGGTTCAAAGAGCAAGCATCCCAGGAAGACCACGGAGAAAAGATGTCTCCTTTTATGACCTACCTTGAATCACTTCTGCCAGTCACAGACCTTCTTGAATTCAAGGGAGAGGAGCATAGGCCTGACCTCACCATGGGAGCAATGTTAAAGTTATGTTGAAGAAGAGCACATGCTATTATTATTATTATGTCTTGCTCTGTCACCCAGGCTGGAGTCCAGGTGTGCAATCTCGACTCACTGCAAATTCCACCTCCCAGATTCAAGTGATTCTCCGGCCTCAGCCTCCCAAGTAGCTGGTATTACAGGCACATGCCACCACACCCAGCTAATTTTTGTACTTTTAGTAGAGACAGGGTTTCACCATGTTGGCCAGGCTGGTATCAAACTCCTGACATCAGGTGATTCACCCGCCTAGGCCTCCCAAAGTGCTGGGATTACAGGTGTCAGCCACCACACCTAGCACATGCTATTAGTAAAAAGTCAGAAAACAGTCAGGTGAGATGGCTTGCACCTGTAACCTCGCACTTTGGGAGGCTGAGGTGGGCAGGTCACTTGAGGTCAGGAGTTCGAGACCAGCCTCGGCAACATAATGAGACCCCCCCCATCTCTATAAAAATAAAAAATTGAAAGTCAGAAAACAAAAGATGTTGGTGAGGGTTCAGAGAAAAAAGGAACACTTATACACCGTTGGTGGGAATGTAAATTAGTACAACCATTACAGACAACAGTAGGGAGATTTCTCAAAAAACTAAAAATAGAACTGCAATCCAACCAGCAATCTCACTACTAGGTATCTACCCAAAGGGAAAGAAATCAATATATCAAAAAGTACCTGTACTCATACGTTTATCACAGCACTATTCATAGTAGCAAAGATATGGAATCAACCTAAGTGTCCATCAACAGATGACTGGATAAAGAAAATATGGTACATGTACGCCACGGAACATGACCTAGCCACATAAAGAATGAAATCATGTCTTTTGCACCACTGTGGATAGAACTGGAGGCCATTCTCCTCAGTGAAATAATTCAGAAACAAAGTCAAATACTGAATGTTCTCATGCATGGGAGTTAAACAATAGGTACACATGGGGAGCAATAGATATTGGAGACTCCAAAAGATGGGAGGATGGGAGGAGGGTGAGGGGTGAAAATTTCCTATTGAGTACAATGTTCACTATTTGAATCATGGCTACACACAAAGCCCAGACCTCAGCACTCCACAATATATGCATATAGCACTCCACAATATTTGCCCCTGGTCCAGTTGTGAAGTCTCATACAGAGTATCAATCAGTCAATGTTCTCCCTTGGTTTTGAATGTATTTCTTTTACTTCAAGAGTAAGTTGTCAAGCGTGGTGGCTCACACCTGTAATCCCAGCACTTTGGGAGGCCGAGGCGGGCAGATCACTTGAGGTCAGGAGATCAAGACCAGCCTGGCCAACATGATGAAAACCTGTCTTTACTAAAAATACAAAAATTAGCCAGGCATGGTGGCAGGCACCTGTAGTCTCAGCTACTCAAAGGCTGAGGCAGGAGAATCTCTTCAACCTGGCTGATGGAGGTTGCAGTGAGTCAAGATCACACCACTGCACTCCAGCCTGTGTGACAGAGCTAAAAAAAATTTTATAAAAATAAAAATAGCCCTCTCCCTCTCCCTCTCCCCACGGTCTCCCTCTCCCTCTCCCCATGGTCTCCCTCTCCCTCTCTTTCCACGGTCTCCCTCTGATGCCGAGCCAAAGCTGGACTGTACTGCTGCCATCTCCACTCACTGCAACCTCCCTGCCTGATTCTCCTGCCTCAGCCTGACGAGTGCCTGCGATTGCAGGCGCGTGCCGCCACCCCTGACTGGTTTTCGTATTTTTTTGTGGAGACGGGGTTTCGCTGTGTCGGCCGGGCTGGTCTCCAGCTCCTAACCGTGAGTGATCTGACAGCCTCGGCCTCCCAAGGTGCCAGGATTGCAGACGGAGTCTTGTTCACTCAGTGCTCAATGTTGCCCAGGCTGGAGTGCAGTGGCGTGATCTCCGCTCACTACAACCTCCACCTCCCAGCCGCCTGCCTTGGCCTCCCAAAGTGCCGAGATTGCAGCCTCTGCCCGGCCGCCACCCCGTCTGGGAAGTGAGGAGCGTCTCTGCCTGGCTGCCCATTGTCTGGGATGTGAGGAGCCCCTCTGCCCGACTGCCCAGTCTGGGAAGTGAGGAGCGCCTCTTCCCGGCTGCCATCCCGTCCAGGAAGTGAGGAGCGTCTCTGCCTGGCCGCCCATCGTCTGAGATGTGGGGAGCGCCTCTGCCCCACCACCCTGTCTGGGATGTGAGGAGCGCCTCTGCCCGGCCGTGACCCCGTCTGGGAGGTGAGGAGCGTTTCTGCCCGGCCGCCCCGTCTGAGAAGTGAGGAGCCCCTCCGCCCGGCAGCCGCCCCGTCTGGGAGGTGAGGAGTGTCTCCGCCCGGCAGCCGCCCCGTCCAGGAGGGAGGTGGGGGGCAGCCCCCGCCCGGCCGCCACCCCGTCCGGGAGGTGGGGGGCCCCTCTGCCCGGCCGCCCCTTCTGGGAAGTGAGGAGCCCCTCTGCCTGGCTGCCACCCTGTCTGGGAGGTGTACCCAACAGCTCATTGAGAACGGGCCATGATGACAATGGCGGTTTTGTCGAATAGAAAAGGGAGAAATGTGGGGAAAAGATAGAGAAATCAGATTGTTGCTGTGTCTGTGTAGAAAGAAGTACACATAGGAGACTCCATTTTGTTCTGTACTAAGAAAAATTCTTCTGCCTTGGGATGCTGTTGATCTATGACCTTACCCCCAACCCGGTGCTCTCTGAAACATGTGCTGTGTCCACTCAGGGTTAAATGGGTTAAGGGCGGTGCAAGATGCACTTTGTTAAACAGATGCTTGAAGGCAGCATGCTCGTTAAGAGTCATCACCACTCCCTAATCTCAAGTACCCAGGGACACAAACACTGCGGAAGGCCGCAGGGTCCTCTGCCTAGGAAAACCAGAGACCTTTGTTCACTTGTTTATCTGCTGACCTTCCCTCCACGATTGTCCTATGACCCTGCCATATTCCCCTCTGCGAGAAACACCCAAGAATGATCAATAAAAAAATAAATAAATAAAAATAAAAATAAATAAATAAAAAATTTAAAAAACACATGGGATGGCAGAACTTGTTGCAGCCACCTTGGAATATAGAATTTGCCACAGAGGGCAAGTAGAAAGTATGTCAGAGTTTAAGATTTCAGAAATCTAGCCATCCAAAAGGATCACAAGAGCCATTCCTGTGGCGGCTTTGAGGAGTGGAAGCAAAGGTCATCAGAGCTGAGAAAGACGTGGGATGATGAGTCAGGCGAATTGCATGCTCATCCACATGGATGCTGACATCCTCAGGAAAGCAGAAGGACTTCAGATAACAGAGGGCAAAACAAGATTTCATTCTTTTTTTTTTTTTTTTTTTAGAGACAGGGTCTTTCTCTGTCACCCAGGCTGGAGTGCAGTGGCGTGATCTTAGCTCACTGTAGCCTTGAACTCCTGGGCTCAAGCAATCCTTCCGCCTCGGCCTCCTGAATAGTTAGGGCTACAGTGTGTGCCCCCACGCCTGGCTAATGTTGTATTTTTATTTTTTGTAGAGATGGGGTCTTGCTATGTTGCCCAGGCTGGTTGATAACTCCTGGCCTCAAGCGATTCTCCCACATTGGCCTCCCAAAGCATTGGGATTACAAGCGTGAGCCACTGTGCTCTGCCTCAAAACACTCTTTTAAAAGCTTTTGTTTTTTTTTTCTGGAGTGGTGAAATAATTAATCTCTGTGGTGAGGACTTCCTTTTTATTTGGGAAAAGATATTTGCTGTGGGCCTATTGTTTCTGCAAAAATACTAGTAGCTAACATTTTTTGAGTGCCCATTCATTCATTCAAAATATATATATGGGGGCCAGACATGGTGGCTCACACCTGTAATCCCAAGGCCAAAGCGGGTGGATCACCTGAGGTCAGGAGTTCGAGACCAGCCTGACCAATATGGTGAAACCCCATCTCTACTAAGTACAGAAAAAAAAAAAAAAAGCCAGGCGTTGTGGCACATGCCTCTAATCCCAGTTACTTGGGAGGCTGAGGCAGGAGAATCACTTGAACATGGGAGGTGGAGGTTGCAGTGAGTCGAGATTACATCATTGCCCTCCAGCCTGGGCAACAAGAGCAAAACTCTGTCTCAAATTAAAAAATAAAAATAAAAATAAGTGAGGGCTTATGAGGCATCAAAGGTCATTTATAGAATGTTGTTAGCAATTTAATTCATGATAGCTAAAAATGGGCCAGATGTCCATCTGTAGTAGAATGGACAAGTAAAATTGTGGATATCTACTATAATGGACTATTATACAGTAATGAAAAATAACAATCACTATTTGCAATAGCATGGGTAAACCTCCCAGACCTATTGATGAAAGAAGCCAGATGATCAAGAGATCTCATCAACTGAGTAAAGGAATCTATAAGAAGGGAAGATGCAGGAGTCCACTTAGATTTATTAAAATCATTAGGGATGTAGAGTAAGGTTTTTGTTTTTTGTTTTTGTTTTTGTTTCTTAATCAGTGTGTCACTCTGTCATCCAGGCTGGAGTGCAGTGAGGCAATGTTGGCTCATTGCAGCCTCAGTCCACACCCCTGCCCCAAGCCCTCTGGGCTCAATCAGTCCTCCCCCTTCAGCCTCTCAAGTAGCTGGAACAACAGGCATGCACCACACCTTGCTAATTTTGTATATATTTTTGCAGAGACCAGGGCTCCCTATGTTGCTCAGACTGGTCTTGAACTGCTGGCCTCAAGCAATCCTCCTGCCTCAGCCTCTCAAAATGTTGTGAGCCACCCCACCCGGGCAGAGCGAAGATGTTTTTGAGGACTGTGGTAGATAGCTTCCTCATATTCATGTCCTGTGTAATCCTCTCCCTCTGAGCATGGGCTGGACCTAGGAACTATTTTCTTTTTCTTTCTTTCTTTCTTTTTTTTCTTCTTTTTTTGAGATGGAGTTTCTCCTTGTAAGCCAGGCTGGAGTGCAATGGTGTGAGCTCGGCTCACTGCAACCTCCACCTCCCAGGTTCAAGTGAGTCTCATGCCTCAGCTTCCCAAGTAGCTGAGTTTACAGGCATGTGCCACCACATCCAGCTAATTGTGGTATTTTTAGTAGAGACGGGGTTTCACCATGCTGGTCAGCTGGTCTCGAACTCCTGACCTCAGGTGCTCTACCCACCTCGGCCTCCCAAAATTCTGGGATTACAGGTGTGAGCCACCATGACTGGCTGGACCTAGAGACTATTTTCTAAGTAGCAATAGACTACGTAAAAGTGATGGGATGTCACTTCTGGGATTAGGTTTCAAAAAAGGACTGTGATCTCACTCTCATTTTCTTTTTCTGTCTCTTCCTCTTTCTCCTCCCTCTCCCCGGGGTAAGCCTGCTGCTTCTTACCAAGAGGTGGAAGTGGACAGGAAATGATGTCTCCAGCCAACAGCCAGAGAGGACCTCAGGCCTGCCAGCAGCAGTGGAAGTGAGTTTGAAAGAGGATTCTGAAGCCTTGAGAGAGCTGCAGCCCTGGCTGACAGCTTGATTGTATCCTCATGAGAGCCTGAGCCAGAGGACACAGCTAACCTCACCCAGATTCCTAGCCCATGGAAACTGTGAGGGAAAAAAAAGTTTATTGTTTATTAACTGCTAAATTTGGGGTGATTTTTACCCAAGAATAGATAACGAATACAAGGATATTGCTTATTACTCAAAATCACTATATAAAGCCCCTGAAAAATTGAAAGCTGCAACCAGGGAAACACTGAAAATCTCCAAGAACACTGTGTTTCTTCTTAAAGACAGTGAGAAAAAGCACATACATCTGTTTTCCTTTTAGTGTTGGCCACCAGGAAGCTCAGAGCCAAATTTATGATGCAATTTTAATAACTATGTAAGCCCCTATGGCCTGCTTATCTGTGTTCTTATTCCTGGCCTTTCATTTTATTCTGACTTTTCTTTTTCTTCATCCTGATTGTATTAGCTCATCTTTATTTTTCTATATTATATGAGTTATGGTAAGCAACTTCAAATTCAGCTTACGGAGAAGCAAGGCATTCGTAAATCTTTTTTTTTTTTTTTTTTTTTTTTTTCTGAGACTCTTACTCTATCGCCCAGGCTGGAGTGCAGTGGCACGATCTTGGCTCACTGCAACCTCCACCTCCCGGGTTCCAGCAATTCTCATGCCTCAGTCTCCCGAGTAGCTGGGATTAGAGGCGCCCACCACGACACCGGGCTAATTGTTTTTGGTTTGTTTTTTGTATTTTTAGTAGAGACGAGGTTACACCATGTAGGCCAGGCTGGTCTTGAACTCCTGACCTCAAGTGATCCACCTGCCTCGGCATCCCAAAGTGTTGGGATTTGGCGTGAGCCACTGTACCCGGTCCATGAATCATTTTTTAAAAATAGTTTTTAAATTTAAAACATAGTTTTGCACATTAAAAAAAAAAGTTTTGCACAGGTCGAACAGAGTGTCCCCGGAGGTGGTGGTGGGAAGATCAGGTCATAGGTGTGTGTCTCTGGAGCTCCAAGCACTGGCCAGGGTTGATTTGGATTGGGTCAGAAAAATACAACGAAAAAAGGAAAAAGGATGGCAATTGATTGCCATCCCCAGAGGGAGGGGCCGAGGGTTCGCCCAGTCACCCACAGTGGCATCCTTGCAAGGTGCTAGTTGCACCGCTCCTCTAAGTCCCTCCCGCACTGGCGCGCTCGGCCCCGCCCCTACCCTGCCCCGCCCCTGCCCCACCCCTTTCTCCCCCGGGCTCCACCCCTCGCGCGCGTCGCCTCAATCTCCGCCCGCAGATCCGGCCTCCCCGGCGGTTGCGCACTCCGCCCCCACCCTCCGCGCCCGCCCGCTCTTTCCCCGCCCCGTCCAGCTCACTCCTTTCGGGGCGGTTGGGCCGCGCGCCTGTGGGGGCGGGGCCCGGAGCAGGCGACCGAGCCAATGGGGCGCGGCGGCGGCCGCGGCAGCTGGGTCGGGTCCCGACGGGCGGCGGCGGCTGAGGTGGAGGCGGAGGGAGGCGGTGGAGGCGGAGGGAGGCGGTGGCGGCGGCGGCAGGATGGCGACGGCCGTCCTGCTGAGCGTGTCGGTGCCGCGGTGGGAGCGGGTGGCCCGGTATGCAGTGTGCGCTGCCGGAATCCTGCTCTCCATCTACGCCTACCATGTGGAGAGGCAGAAGGAGCGGGACCCCGAGCACCGGGCCCTCTGCGACCTGGGGCCCTGGGTGAAGTGCTCCGTCGCCCTTGCCTCCAGGTAGCCGGCTTTGGGGAGTGGGCCGGGAGCGGCCGAGCGGGGCAAGGGCGGAGTCTCGGGGTGGGGAGCGCGCGGCGGGAGCTCAGGCCTGGGGGCGGCGGGGACCGGGCCGCTGGGGAACTTACGGGGTCGGGTCGGGGCCGGGTGGGGGGTGGCGGCGGGGCGCTCCTGCCCGGGGGGCGGCATGAGCCCAGGCCGCGGGGCGGAGGTGGCGGGGCCGCGAGGCAGCCGGGGAGGGATGAGGTGGCAGAGTGCAGCCGGGAGGCCGGGGCGGACGCGGAGCGGTCGGGTGGGCCGGGGCCGGGCTGGGCAGGAGCGCGAGGGGGCTGCGGAGGGTGGGTGCAGGCTGGCTTGACAGGTTTCCTGGTTCTCGGGAGGCGGGCCGGGGGTGTGGGACCTTGTCCGCCGCACCCGTGAGACCAGCGGCAGCGGGCCTCTTGTTCCCCCGATCGCTGCAGCCGAGGCTTTGGGGCCGGCGCGGAGACGGGGTTGCCTTTCCCACTGTTTTCCTGGTGCTAGGACAGGTGTTTCCGTGGTCAGGCCTCTTTGCACTCCAGCGCTAGTGAGAATTTGCAGACTTACTGGGACGGTGACATTAGCTGGCAAACACAAATTTGACCCTACTGTGGAAGAAGATACCAGCACTTAACATATCTGATTTCTTGGATTCCCTCTCGTATGTTTCAGTGTGCCAGGAGAAGGAAATGGTCTGAGTTTGGGTCTAGTTTAAGCTTCATTGGAGTAAAGGACAAGTATGTTATGTATATGGCGGTGTTTTAGGCATTGGGATGACTTTTAAACGTTGTTGCCTATTAGTATAATAGGATACCCACAACAGATTAAAAACACACCCTTTGCTAAACTGGAGCGATTGGTTTGTGTTACTCATCATTTTAGTTTTTTCTTTAATGTTGTAATTGGTTTGTCTGTTATGTTTTATTTTAATGCATTACATTTTCCTAGGCAAGTTACTTTGAAAAAGGGGGGAATTTACTTTTAAAAGTGGCTGCTTTTTTTTTAATGGGGCGATTAAAAACATAAAAGTCGAAGGAATGATTTCAAAATGGATAGGTTACGATTTTAATAGAGACTATGTCTGATATTTAGATGTTTGTTAACAGTAGTCACATTTGAGCGATTTCTTCCCCTCCTGTTGATTGGTAAATTGGTATATATCAGAAATGTATAGCTCACTAGTTTATTTCAACTCATATATTGTTGATTACATGAACAAGGTAGCATTGGAGTTTCTCTTGTTATTGGTTACAAACTTCAGGGAACTGATCTTTCCACTTAGCCTTTTTCATGGACCAGATACTCTGTCTCATTTGCTCTTAAACCAAAATCCTTTCGCTTTTTAGAGGGGAAATAATTATCATAGGGCCAAATGGAACATTTTAAAAATGCATTTAAAATGTAGGTATCAGTTTACAGGGGAAAATGCATAGATGTGACAAAAAGCTCACATTTGTTGTTGGTTATTCAGAACAAAGTTAATAGGCTGATTAGACTCTCAGATACGCTTTGAGAACCATTGAGTGTCTTTTATGCAAACATTGTTATGTTATTTCCACTTTCAGAAAGGACTTTTAAACTTACAAGTACCTTCCACCCAAAGTTAGTTGAATGAATAAATATTTAAGGAAAACATTATGCAGCAGCACATTTCAAGTATTTTAAGAAACAAGAAGAACTAAAAATGACTTTTGATCCTAGTTTAATATGGAATTTAAGCAGAATTATTACCAATTTTAGATTTTTTTTTTTTTGAAACAAGTAGTCTATAATAAATGGACCTTTTAATATTGGGGCATGGAAAGAGTACTTACTGTATGCTTAAGTTCTTTTTTTTTTTTTTTTTTGAGACGGAGTCTTGTTCTTGTCACCCAGGCTGGAGTGCAATAGCATGATCTCGGCTCACTGCAACCCCCGCCTCCCAGGTTCAAGTGATTCTCCTGCCTCAGCCTCCCGAGTAGCTGGGATTGCAGACATCCGCCATCATGCCTGGCTAATTTTTGTATTTTTAGTAGAGATGGGGTTTCACCATATTGGTCAGGCTGGTCTCGAACTCCTGACCTCAGGTAATCCACCCACCTCTGCCTCCCAAAGTGCTGGGAATCAAGCATGAGCCACCGCGCCTGGCCTGCTTAAGTGCTTAAAATTGACTTGGCCGGGCACAGTGGCTCACGCCTGTAATCCCAGCACTTTGGGAGGCCGAGGTGGGTGGATCATGAGGTCAGGAGTTCAAGACCATCCTGACCAGCATGGTGAAACCCTGTCTCTACCAAAAATACAAAAATTAGCTGGGTGTGGTGGCATGTGCCTATAGTCCCAGCTACTTGGGAGGCTGAGGCAGGAGAATTGCTTGAACCTGGGAGGCAGAGGTTGCAGTGAGCCAAGACCACACCATGGCACCCCAGCCTGGGCAACAGAATGAGACTCCATCTCAAATAAATAAATAAATAAATAAATAAAAATAATTTAAAAAATTGACTTTTCTTTAAAAAGGTGTATTTAGCATACACTCTAAATATTCTCATAGTTATATCCTGCTAGAGCTGCGTGTTTGTGCATAAAACATCAAGTAGTATATTAAAAATATGTATAAGTACATGTAAGACTAAAGGTAACTGGATCTCTTTATAGTTTTAAATGTGAATTTAATATGTTGTGACTGAAAGTGATGTTTCATTGTGTAGCTGTGGACGTAAAATAGTTTAACTTAGATGCTTGCCAAAGGAGGGTAGGTAAAAATAAGATTTGCTAATAAGAAGAGTAGATAACTTATTTGCCATGTATACAGTGAAATTAAGAAATTTGTTCAATTTGATCAGCCTGTTTATAAACTACTTGCAAAAATCAAGTAGCTTATAAACTACTCATTTAATAAATGAATTTACAAATCAACTTGTTTTGCAGGTAGTTTATAAGCAGGCTGATCAAAATCACATATGTATATATATATATATAATCACATATATGTACATATATAGACTCATTTTCTTTTGGAAGTGCGTAGACAAAACATCATTGAAAGTTTTTATTTTGTCAAGCTGAAGGATACTTTTCTTTTTTTTTTTTTGAGACAGAGTCTTGCTCTGTCGCCCAGGCTGGAGTGCAGTGGCGCGATCTCGACTCACTGCAACCTCCACCTCCCGGGTTCACTCCATTCTCCTGCCTCAGCCTCCTGAGTAGCTGGGACTACAGGCGCCCGCCACAATGCCCGGCTAATTTTTTCTATTTTTGGTAGAGACGGGGTTTCACCATGTTAGCCAGGATGGTCTCAATCTCCTGACCTCGTGATCCGCCCTCCTCGGCATCCCAAAGTGCTGGGATTACAGACGTGAGCCACCGCGCCTAGCCTGAAAGAGACTTTAAATGAAAGCTGATTATTGGACACCTCAAGTTAGTTTCTTTTGAGTAGTGATTGCCGTGTAGCAGTAGTACTCAAATATGTAACTCTTTTAGGAAAACAAAGTTTAAGTCCAGAGGAAAGTTAACAGATAAAGATTCTGAAGAAAGTCATCTTCCAGGATCCAGAGTCAGCACGTGGTTTTGGATTGCTCAAACTCACTTTATTCTCATTTCACAAGCCCTAAGTGTCTTAATCCAAACACAATAAGGTAGAGATTAATGAGAGAATCTTGAGAGGCAGGTGTTATCTGTGTGTAAAGTCCTCTATTATTTTGGGGAGGCATAATGATGGAAAGTTCCAGATTTTATATTTCTAAAGAAATATTTCACTGAAATTAGTAGGCTACAATAGAAATGCTGATTTTTCAATTCTACCAGGTACAGCC
This sequence comes from Homo sapiens, assembly GCF_000001405.40. NCBI lineage: Eukaryota > Metazoa > Chordata > Mammalia > Primates > Hominidae > Homo > Homo sapiens. Next base: position 65,042,366 of record NC_000007.14, read on the forward strand.
AATAAAAACAATAACACACCACTATCTCCTGTCATCATCGTTTCATTTAACAAAAGGATATTTCCATTCAAACAATTTGAAAGAACAGAATCTCTCAGAATAGAAGATTTTTAAATGGAATCATTTAGCTATATGGAAAAGTTTACTTTCCGACCAGCCTGGCCAACATGCTGAAACCCCGTCTCTACTAAAAACACAAAACGAGCTGGGCATGGTAGCATGCACCTGTAATCCCAGCTACTCGGGAGGCTGAGGCAGGAGAATCACTTGAACCTGGGATGTGGAGGTTGCAGTAAGCCGAGATCGCGCCATTGCACTCCAGCCTGTGTGACAGAACGAGACTGTCTCAAAAAAAAAAAAAAAGTTTACTTTCGTGTCCTTACTTTTTCCCATTTTCCCATAAATCGGTGAAAACTCTGCTGCAAACCTGCACCAGCCTGCCAGCTAACATTCAGTTAGCAGTCCCTGCCCCTTGGTTTGGTACACTGAGCTCAAATCTAAGGGATCTGGGTGGGCTACCACCTCTCCCAGTTCTTAGGCTTGTGGCCTTATCTTCATGGTGCCTCAGTTTCTTATGTTAAATAGGGCTTTTAACACCTACTTAGGGCCTGGTGCAGTGGCTCACACCTGTAATCCCAGCACTTTGGGACGCTGACACCTGGCAGACCTCTTGAGCTCAGGAGTTTCAGACCAGCCTGGGCAACAGGGCAAAACCGTGTCTTTACAAAAAATACAAACGTTAACCGGGCATGGTGGCGCATGCCTGTATTTCCAGCTTCTTGGGAGGCTGAGGTGTGAGGATCACTTGAGCCTGAGAGGCAGAGGTCTGCAGTGAGCCATGATGGTGCCACTGCACTCCAGCCTGGGTGGTAGAGAGAGACCCTGTCTCAAAAAAAGAAAAACAAAAAAACCTACTTTGCCAGATTAGTGTTATGATGAAAAGTGATACATGTATGTTCCTGAAATAAAGCCTGTCCTCAGTTATAGCTGTTACCATTGATTGGAGATGTTCTTTTTTTTCCAGTGTTTGATAATAAATGCCTTTAAGTTAAGTTTCTTGTACATACTTGTTTATATCTTTAAACATTAATTGTTTTAATGTAGTTTATTGCTGACTTCATAGCATAGTATAAAGATGTGTTCATTTAAAACAATTTTGAAGTTGTGCAAGAGAAACTAATATGCAGAATATTCTTTTTTTTTTTTCTTTTTAGATATGGAGTCTCGCTGCTCTGTCACCAGGACTGGAGTGCAGTGGCATGATCTCAGCTCACTGCAACCTCCACCTTCCGGGTTCAAGTGATTCTCCTACCTCAGCCTCCCAAGTAGCTGGGATTACAGGCGCCCACCACCATGCCCGGCTAATTTTTGTATTTTTAGTAGAGACAGGGTCTTGCCATGTTGGCCAGGCTGGTCTTGAACTCCTGACCTCAGGTGATCTGCCTGCCTCAGCCTCCGAAAGTGCTGAGATTATAGGCATCAGCCACCGCGTCCGGCTGTAATATGCAGAATATTCTATGTAGGTATTTTCTATATATAAGACCCCCTCTAAGAAGGGTTTCTATGTAAGAATAGTACAAATGATCTGGAAAGGTTAATAGGCTTGACAAATCTACGTTTCTTAAAACTGTAAAAATAGTCCAGTTGTCCTATGGTATATGTAAAGAACATATACCATAGGGGATTGGTTCCAGGACCCCTGTTTTTACTGAAATCCTGGCATACCCAAGTCCACACTGTGGGCCCTGCAGAACCTGAATGTGAAAATTTGGGCCTCCATATATGCCGGTTTCGGTCTGCATTTGGTTGAAAAAGATCCACATATAAGTGAGCTCACGCAGCTTAAACCCGTGTTGTTCAAGGGTCCACTGCATTTGAAAATCAAGTCCATAAAAAAGTTGCCTTATTTTACAAAATGTTGGATTACTACCTCTCCCGTATCTTAAAAGTACCATCTATTTACTATCCCATTGAGATAATAAAACTTTTAGAATTAGAATAGAACCTAGGGCTGGGCATAGTGGTTCACGCCTGTAATCCCAGCACTTTGGGAGGCTGAGGTGGGTGGATCACCTGAGTTCAGGAGTTCAGGACCAGCCTGGCCAATATGGTGAAACCCCCTGTCTACTAAAAATACAAAAAATTAGCCGGGCGTGGTGGTGGGCACCTGTAATTCCAGCTACTCGGGAGGCTGAGGCAGGAGAATTGCTGGAACCCGGGAGGTGGAGGTAGCAGTAAGCCGAGATTGTGCCACTGCCCTCCTGCCTGGGCAACAAGAGGGAAACTCTGTCTTTAAAAAAAAAAAAAAAAAGAACCTAGAACTATTTACTGCTCCTTGCTTTGTCTGAGACTCAGAGGTTAAGTGACTTGCCCAAGGTAGCACAGGTAGTAGCAAATTGAGACTTGACACCTGGCTTCCAGAGTACTTATTTAAAGTCCCCTTTGCACCCCCATTTTAAAAATTAAATTCTTGGCCGGACACAGTGGCTCACGCCTGTAATCTCAGCACTTTGGGAGGCCGAGGTGGGCGGATCATGAGGTCGGGAGATCAAGACCATCCTGGCTAACATGGTGAAACCCCGTCTCTACTAAAAATACAAAAAAAAATTAGCCAGACATGGTGGCGCATGCCTGTAGTCCCAGCTACTTGAGAGGCTGAGGCAGGAGAATCACTTGAACCCAGGAGGTGGAGGTTGCGGTGAGCCGAGATCGTGCCACTGCACTCCGGCCTAGGTGACAGAGTGAGACTCTGTCTCAAAAAAAAAAAAAATTAAATTCTTGTCTAGGTAATGCATTCGCTGCTTCGGATTTGAAAGATAACAAAGCATGTACAGTGAAAAGTCTCCTTCATATCCCTTCCACCAAACAGACAGTTCTCCCTCTCAGTAGACCGCTGTGAAACTTTTCAGAGCCGTTTGACACATAGACAAACATCCATGTGACCATATGATTCCCTTTTTTTAACATGGGTGTATCGTGTATGCGTCCTTATTGATAGCCTGCTTTTTGCTTGGCATTTGTTCCATTGCTCCCATACTTTAAATGCTTATGTTCATATTTAGTGAAATGTTAATAACTGCTAGTACGTAAAAGAGAATTTGTTCTAGTAGTTTTGACTAACCAAGATAAATTTCAGAAATAAAATTCTTAACATTATCATTGTTTCTTGGTATGGAAATTTCAGAAGCAGGTTGAACTGAAAAGAGTCCAAGAGGAATAGAGAAATATCACAAGGAAGTGAATCTGGACTGTAGTAGAGATAAATGTTAATACTTACAGATAATGCTCACTATGTGCTAGGCAGTGTTCTAAATGTTTTGCATACATTATTGAAGTCTCTCAAGAGTCCCATGAGGCAGGTAGCTTTTATCACCATTTTACAGATGGGAAAACTGAGCCACTCAGACTAACATTTGATCCAGGTAGTACAGTGGCAGAGGCCTAATTCTAACCCACGCAGTCTGGCTCAAGAGTCCAAGCTCTTTACCACTACTCTTTCGTCTTCCTTTCTTCCTTTCCCTCCCACCCTCCTTCTTCCTTTCCTTTCCTTTCCTTTCTTTTCTCTCTTTCTTTTCCTTCCTTCCTCTTTAATTTTTTGAGACATTGTCTCACTCTGTCTCCCCAGGCTGAGTGCAGTGGTGCAATCATGGCTCACTGCAGCCTCAACCTCCCTAGGTCAAGTGATCCTCCCACCTCAGCTTCCTGAGTAGCTGGGTCTACAGTTGCGCACCCCACCATGCCTAGCTAATTTTTTCTATTTTTCATAGTGACCAGGTCTCACTTTGTTGCCTGAGTTGGTCTCAAACTCCTGGCCTCAAGCAGTCTTCCCACTTGGCCTCCCAAAGTGCTGAGATTACAGGTGTGAGCCACCACGCCCAGCCTTTTACCACTACTTTAAATTCCATTTAGATCTAATATTGATAGAGTGATAACCATATCAACCAGATTTTTAAAATATGCAAACGATGGTGCCAGTTTCTGTATCTGTGACAAAAATATATAGAGTTTGTATTATAGCTTTTACCTGTTTAGAGCACTCTTTGGAAAGGCAGGGAAATTACTGTGAAGGTATTGGTATTCCAGAAGTAAGTTCCTGGAGTGTTTTGCCTTCTAAGGTGTGAGGACGTGGTTTGTCACACCCAGTTAGCTATCAGATAGTGTAGTGAGCTATCCGGAAGACTTAGCAGGTTAGCCTAGGGAGGAAGGAGAAAGGGGTTCTGGGCACATGGAGGGAGGGGGAGGGAAAAGAGTTTGTTTTTGTCCTAGATTGGGGTAGCTTTTTCTGAGGGAGGCCTTGTCCTGTGGACCTGCTGCATATAAAGACAGGAGAATTGGACCTGAGGTGTGGTGCTAGCTAAAGCGCCACACAGATCTGGGAATTTAAGAGGAGTTCATTTCCTCAATCATTAGGAAGAACTTGAAGGGGTAGCAAACTGTGGTCATTTGAGAAGAATAGCAAGTGGTCATATTTGAATGTAACATACTCAACTGGGTTGGGAAAGAACCAGAATCTAGATCTTGCCCATAACAAGTGCAAAACCAGGCGTTCTTGTAAACCATGTACTCTTGTAAACACTGATAAGACATAGCACTGAGTCTTGGGCTTTTCTTCTATAAAGTTGTTGTACTGGTTGAGGATCCCTAATCCAAAAATCCAAAATCTGAAATGCCCCTGTGAGCATTTCCGTTGAGTGTCATATTGGCACTCAAAGTTTTGGATTTTGAACCATTTCAGATTTTGGACTTTCAGATTTGGGATGCTCAACCCGGTATATAATGCACATATTCCCAAATCTGAAAAAATCCCAAATCCAAAGTATTTCAGCTCCAAAGCTGTTTCAGATAAGGAATACTCAACCTGTACTACATTGTACTAGGCTTGTATTAGATTCCCAGTTTTCAAAATTTGTATCTCAGAATCCCTGTTCTCTGTCAATGAAACAGGGATTTCATACACCTTTGATTCACATTTTAATGTTTTAACTTTAAAATATTATAAATGTTTAAACACAGTCAAATGCATCTCATGCTAAATTTTAATATATTAGAGACAACTGATTTGTACTGCCAGGTTATCTCAAGAGAGTTATACTGAGTGAAAACAAGTGAGAACCCTAGAAGGTTATATACTGTATGATTGCATTTATGTAACATTATTGAAATAACAAACCTGCAGAGATGGAGAACAGATTTAGTGGTTGCTAGGAGTTAGGAATGGGAGGTGAGGGGTGGTGTGGTTATAAAGTGGTAGCATGAGGGAGCTGTGTAGGGATGGAACAGTTCTGTGTCTCAGGTGTGATTATACAAAGCTGCAAACGTGATAAAAACTTCATACAACCACACACACACATACTGCATATAAATCCTAGCGTACTCAAGTCCCATTTGCATACAAAACTGGTGAAACCTGAATAAACTCAGGATTGGAGGAATTTGGGCGAGGGTACTTGGGACCTCCCTGTGTACTTTTTTGTAAATTCCTGTGATTTATAGTTATAGTAATTTTAAAATAAAAAGTTGGCCAGGCACGGTGGCTCATGCCTGTAATCCCAGCACTTTGGGAGGCTGAGGCGGATGTATCACGTGAGGTCAGGAGTTCAAGACCAGCCTGGCCAACATGGTGAAACCCCATCTCTACTAAAAATACAAAAATTAGCCGGGCATGGTAGTGGGTGCTTGTAGTCTGAGCTACCTGGGAGGCTGAGGCAGGAGAATCACTTGAACCTGGGAGGCAGAGGTTGCAGTGAGCTGAGATCATGCCACTGCACTCCAGCCTGAGCGACAGAGCAAACTCTGTCTCAAGAAAATAAAATAAAATAGACTGGGTGCAGTGGCTCACGCCTGTAACCCCAGCACTTTGGGAGGCTGAGGTGGGTGGATCACCTGAGGTCAGGAGTTGGAGACCAGCCTGACCAACATGGTGAAACCCCATCTCTACTAAAAATACAAAATTAGCCGGGCATGGTGGTGCATGCCTGTAATCTCAGCTACTCGGGAGGCTGAGGCAGGAGAGTTGCTTGAACCCAGGAGGCGGAGGTTGCAGTGAGCCAAGATCACGCCATTGCACTCCAGCCTGGGCAACAAGAGTGAAACTCCATCTCAAAAATAAAATAAAATAAAATAAAAAGTAAAAAAGCACACACAAAAAAGTGCATTTAGAATATTTGAGAGAAAATAAGCAAAAGGAAGAAAATGTAAATTATCTATAATGCTTACACCCAGGACAACAATCCTTGGAATAGAGTGTCTCACTTTGTATATAGAAATGAAACTTTTAAAATGCCATTTTATTTTTTAATTAAAATTTTTTCTTTCCTTTTTTTTCCTCAGAGTTAGAAAGGATAAAAATGTTATTGATTAGTAAGACTGTATCTTTATGTTGATATTTTGAAATTTTAGGCTAGTGCTTGTTTGTTCATATAACATTATATAAGCACATTCAGTACTATTAGAACTGTTGCATTATGCAATAACATGACTGCCTAATGCATATATCAGGATTAGTACATATTGTAAAGTTTTTATTTTTTACCAAAATGTTTACGACTACCAAGTATTCATTCCTTAACACTATTACATAATTAATTTAGAAATGTTTTACTTTTAAAACTTCTGGATAGGTGTAATTAAATTCTTAGATAGCGTTAATGTACTATTTAAAAAACACACACAAAACATTATCATTTGTAAAACATGCTTTATCATCTATTCATCTTTGTGAATCCGGTTTTTCTTGATACCATGCCATCAAAACAAATTTGACATAAGACTGCCCAATCATCCATAATTTAAAGTTGGTGTTTGTCAGAAGAATTTTATTGTTCTCATTATACATGTTATACATTTGAGCTTTTTTTTTTTTTTTTTTTTTTTTTTGGAGATGCAGTCTCACTCTGTCACCCAGGCTGGAATGCATGCAGTGGTGCCATCTCGGCTCAATGCAACCTCCACCTCCCAGCTTCAAGTGATTTTCCTGCTTCAGCCTCCTGAGTAGCTGGAACTACAGGCACGTGCCACCATGCCTGGCTTTTTTTTGTGTGTATGTTTTTACTAGAGATGGGGTTTCACCATGTTGGTCAGGCTCGTCTCGAACTCCTGACCTCAAATGATCCACCCCCCGCCTTGGCCTCCCAAAGTGCTGGAATTACCGGCATGAGCCACCACACCCGGCCACGTTTGAGCTTTGAAATACATTGATAGAATAAAATACTGCTTTATTCTTTTTTTGTTTGTTTTTTGAGATGGAGTTTCACTCTTTAACCCAGGCTGGAGTGCAGTGGCAGGATCTCAGCTCACTGCAACCTCTGCCTTCCAGCTTCAAGTGATTCTCCTGCCTCAGGCTCCCGAGTAGCTGGGATTACAGGCACCTGCCACCAAACCCTGCTAATTTTTGTATTTTTAGTAGAGATGGGGTTTCACCATGTTGGCCAGGCTGGTGTCGACCTCCTGACCTCGTAATCTGCCCTCCTCAGCCTCCCAAAGTGCTGGGATTACAGGTGCAAGCCACCACACCCAGCCTAATCTGTTTCTTATGTTATAGATGCACATAAAATTTCATTTAGAAAAATGTTCTTGTACTACAATATTTAAAGCTATTGAATTATGATTCATAAGTTTTATTTTGTAGTTAGCATCTCTAGGGGAATTTCAGGGACACTGTTGGCTGTCTTGTGATTACCGATCCTTTTAAAAACTCGTTGTATTTGAGAAGTAAAATAGTAGAATATATATGACAAAATCGGGAATTAAAGTAGACAGTATACTCAATTCCACTGTGTTTAAAGAGTTTGATTAATTTCTATACATTGTGCCAGTGGTTAAGATCTGGGACTCTAGAGTCAACCTGAGTTGAAATCTTGGCTCTGTCACTTGATCTCTTGTCTCAGCTTCTTCCTCCATAAAATGAGGGTAGTAATAGCGTTAACTCATAGGATTATTGTGAATATGAAGTGTACCAGTACATGTAAATAGTCCTGGTGTCTGGCATAAAGGTACTCATAAAACATAGTTACTATTATTTTAGAACATGGTTTAGATCTTCCTGTATGTTTAATTTGTCTTTTCCTCACTTAACATATCACGGCAGGGCACGGTGGCCATAATCCCAGCACTTTGGGAGGCTGAGGCAGGTGGATCATCTGAGGTCAGGAGTTTGAGACCAGCCTGGCCAACGTGGTGAAACCCCATCTCTACAGCCTGGCCAACGTGGTGAAACCCCATCTCTACTAAAAATACAAAAATTAGCTGGGCATGGTAATGCACACTGATGGTCCCAGCTACTTGGGAGGCTGAGGCAGGAGAATTGCTTGAACTGGGGAGGCAGAAGTTGCAGTGAGCCGAGATCATGCCATTGTACTTCAGCCTGGGCGACAGAGTGAGACTGTCTCAAAAAAAAAGAAAATATTACCACTATTTTCCCATGTTGTTAAAAATTCCACCAGTAATGGAAGAGAATATTGGGTGCCCTGTGCCCTTGCCAAATTGGGCATTCTCATTTTTTAGATATTTGCCAATATGATTTATGAAAATTGTCATGTTATTGTTTTGATTTGCATTTTCCCCAAGCATCAGCAAGATTTAATGGTTTCACATTTAAAAAATTTATTTTTTAATTTATAATCACCTTGTTTGATAATGAGGTTTTCATGTTTTTATTAACTGTGTTTCTTCTCCTGCCTGGATAAATTTTAGAATTTTTCACATCGATTTAGACGAATGCTAGTACAAAGGTTTTTTTAAGTCTATGATAATTTTAATGATTTTTCTTGGTAATTTTTGTCTGTAGATTCAAGTTCAGACAGGCACTTCCCATTCTGATATTGTGTAAATATATGTAATTTGTTAGTTCTGAAAAACATGACTTCTTTAACCTCCTAGAATGTAGTTTACTGGGTGTTACATGAATCTACAACATAATTTTTGTACAGACAAAAATTTTGCATTTCTTCTGGATATTGCCTGTTCATACCTTTGCCCATTTTTTCCCTTTCTGGGTTGTTTATCTTTTCTTCTTATTGCTTTATAGGAGTTCTTTAGATGTCACAATGGTTAATCTTTTGTTATATGTGTTACACATTTTCTCTTCATTTGTTATTTGTCTTTTAATTTTGTGTTATGGTGTCTTTACATAGAAGTGTTAACTTAGGTGGTCAGATCTTTCACTTAAAAAAATTCTTCATTATTCAACTGGAAAATCTTTCACATATTTATAGTTTTTTTTTTTTTCTGGTTTAGCAAAATCTCTACCATCCCAAGATTATCTTTAAAATATTTTCATATACTTTATATGAAAAAATTTTTTTCACACTGAGCTCTTTTAGTTTGTATGGAATTTCCTTTTGTATCTAGTGTAAGGGTAGGGATCTAAATTTTTCCTAAATGGATAGGCTTTTGCCTCTCTCAGTTCATTGACTTGTTCATATTTCAAATGCCACAAGGCTTTTCTGCATACATAAGGCCTCTTTCTGGATTCTCAGTTCTGTTCCAGTGACAGGTCGGTCTGTGTTTATTCCATTACCACCCCTCCCCCGTGGCTTTTTATAGAAGTTTGATATCTGATAGGGCAAATATGCTCATTTCCAAATTTTTCTTTGCTATTGTCATGAATTTACTGTTTCCGGTGAATTTTAGAATAATTTTGATGAGTTCTAAGACAAATCCCACTGAGATTTTGATTAGAATTGTGCTAAATTTATAGACGAATATGGGAAGGAGTCAGTTCTCACTAGCAGGTCTTTCCATCAAGGAGCATATTGTATCTGTTTATTCTGGAATTGCCTCTCTGATAACGGTTTTAACTTAGATGCTCATTGTGGCATTGTTTTGTTCTAAACACATGTATTACAAAGATAGTGTTAGAGTAAATTAGTTGAGGGAAAAGCCTTATATCATCTATCCCTGTTTTCATTTCTCTTTTCACCTTTACTTTTGGTCTAAAGAGTCTTTATCATGATATATGGTATATGTATACTCAGGTTCTTGTAATAATCGGCAGTATATTATGATCTCTTTTTCTTATAGTCATTAATTTAATGATTAAGGACCATTTAATCAAGTTGATACCTGTACTTAACTCTTATTGTTAGATATGAAGGATGTTTCCAGTTTCTGAAGGTACACATTGAGATAGTGCCTTTACTTTTGTTTTATTTGAAAAATGTTTCAGGAGGGGTTGTTTTATTTTTTCAAAAAACCTCTTTGAGGTAATACGCAATTGTTGTGAAAATGTCATACAATATTGCAGCATATAAAGAAGAAGGTGCCTTTTGAGAAGGTGAGAGCTTTTTGTTTTTTTATTTTTTTATTTTTTTGAGATGGAGTCTCACTCTGTCGCCCAGGCTGGAGTGCAGTGGTGCGATCTCGGCTCACTGCCACCTCCGCCTCCCGGGTTCACGCCGTTCTCCTGCCTCAGCATCCCGAGTAGCTGGGACTACAGGCGTCCGCCACCACGCCTGGCTAATTTTTTATATTTTTAGTAGAGACAGGGTTTCACCATGTTAGCCAGGATGGTCTCAATCTCCTGACCTTGTGATCCACCCACCTTGGCCTCCCAGAGTGCTGGGATTACAGGCGTGAGCCACTGTTTTTGTTTTTTTTTTTCTGAGACAGAGTCTTACTCTGTCACCCAAGCTGAAGTGCAGTGGCGCAATCTTGGCTCACTGAAACCTCTGCCTCCCGGGTTCAAGCTATTCTCCTGCCTCAGCCTCCCAAGTAGCTGGGATTACAGGTGCATGCCACCACCCCTGGCTAATTTTACATATTTTTAGTAGAGACGGGGGTTTCACCGTGTTAGCCAGGATGGTCTCGATCTCCTGACCCCATGATCTGCCCGCCTTAGCCTCCCAAAGTGCTGGGATTACACGCATGAGCCACCATGCCTGGCCGGGAAGGTAAGAGTTTTGTTCTCTAAACTTTCAGTCATTGGAGTACCTCCTTGTTACTTTTGCCATATGCTTGTATCATCTGTACTGTTAATTCATAACACTTTTCTTAAAATTTACTAAAGAAACCCAGAAATCCTTAGTGATAAGAGCTGTGAACTCTTGATCTATATTAGATAAATACATAACTTTGATATTATGTACATTGCTGTATATTAAAGAAATATAACATTGATCCATATTAAATAAATGAGTTTTTCAAAAGTATGTATACTTTATGACACACTGGCACAGTGAGTGGAAGTGTAGGTTCTGAAATCAAGGTTTCGTGGTTTTAGATCCTAATTGTGCTATGTCCTCCCTCAGTGATACTAGATAATAAACTTAAGCCTCCACTTCCATTTTATTTGTTAAATGAGGTTAGTATGCCACCTGCCTTGTAAGGTTATTGTAAAATTAAACAGCAAGTGTACAAGCAGTCAGCACAGCCCTAGTACATAGGTGTTGCACAAATGCTATCATTCAATAGAATAATTTGTAAATACCTTGCGCCTCCTTCAAAGTTAGTTCTCACACAAGCATCTCATTTTTAAAGTGTTTACATAGTATATATTGTAAGAATGTATTGTGATTTATGAAACATAGCCTTTTTAAATTTTGTTTCTTTCTGTCATTTAAAAATAAAAGCAACAAATAACAGGATAGCTTCCTACTATGTATCACCATATTTCCCTCCCAAAGGACTGTACTAATTTGCTGTTCTGTCAGTTTAGACTTTATCACTTAAATATTTGGTGAGGGGTGATAGTGGGTTTAAAAATAAAAGTTGTTTTTGTTTTAGTTAACATTTTATTATTATTCACCAGCCATTAAGGAACACATTAATTACTATTTATTCTTTCTTGTTGAATCTGTGCAATTTTCTGAGAAGTAGGTAAACCCGCCCCTGTGTGTGTATGTGTCTGTGTGTGTGAGATGCAATTTGTGTGGTGCTAGAAATTGAGAAATTATGGTAATTTCTTATTATTCTGGTCAGGGATCCCTGGAATATCAAAATTGTCTGCAATCTATAGCCACTATTTTCAAGTCTATAGGGTCCCTGGGAGAAATATTTATATTAAATATTTGCACTGACAAATGGACAACAAAAGGACTCTACATTTTATTCTTAACTAGGACTTGGGCACCAAACTCCAGGGTAAAAGACTGGAATGAACCCAGCTGGTTCAGGTGGAAATGCTGTTTTTTTGGAATCTAGTTAAGCTTAAATTGTTTCAAACTAAAGCAGGCCATGAGATGAACCCTTTTCATCTTCCCAGTTCTCAAACACACTGAGATCTTCCCCACATTTCACTCCTTTCTGTCAGTTGCTTGAGGTCATGTAACCAGAGTGAGCCCATTTGCCCTGGCTGACTGCTGATCTGGCCTTGGACACCTGCCCTGGCCTCTTCTACCCAAGCTGCAGGTTTGGCCCTGTCTCTCCCTTACTGCGGTGGTGAGGGGGGTGCAGGGGGGAGTTGACAACCTTCTTAACCACTTCAGTCACATGAAAGAAGCAGACAAGTGAGCTCGCATCTGTGTACTGACCTTTTAACAGTGATGCTGCCCAGTACACTCAGACCCAATCAGTGTTCTCATATCTGCCTTCCTCCTTCCTGAGAATTAGGAGAAAGAAGAGCTCAGCCTTGATTTCTTACCTCAAAAGACAGCAAAAAAAAAAAACTTGCAGCCATTCTCAGAAATATTGGTTTTCTGTTGGGTTGTTGCTTGTGTCAAGTCAGCCAGAAAGAGGTGGAGTAAAAACTAGCCTGCTGAGTAGTACACATAATCCATGTCCCCCTCTAACCCCCCAACTACACATCAACCTGCAGGGAGTGACTTCTTACTCTTGAGACGCTCTTTCCTCTTGCTTAATGGTTCGTGACAGTTCTTCATTTTCCTCCTACCACTCTCAATTTTTTTTTTTTTTTGCTGGCTTATTCTGTATCTGGCCATTAAATGTTGATGTCCCACCAAGCAGCCTTAGGCCCTTCTGTCATTCTTCTTTCCCTTAACAGTCACAGCCATGTCCATGGTCTCACTCATGGGTGAATCCAACATTTTTATCTCTACCCCAACCTCTGCTATTGAGTACTTCATTTGCTAATATCTAATTGCCTACTAGACATCTCTACTTAGATGTCCCAAAACTAATAAATTCAGTATGTCCAAGATTTATTTCATACTCTTCCTCCAAAAATGCTGTTGGCTATCTCAGTGAAAGGCATCACCACCTAAGCAATTGTGCAAGTCAGAAACCTGGGACTTGTCCATGATTCTCTTCCTCCCCTCCCCCACCAAATTCAATCAATCACCAGGCCCCATTGATTGTTTTTCACGTTCTTTTATTGTGAACTATAACTTACAGAAAAATCATTGAGTGGTGCATCTTTTTGTTGTTGTAATCACCAAAGTATAACCCTGTAACCAACATTCCGGTCATTAAATAGACCAATGCCAGCACTCCAGAAAGCCCTCCCTTAACTTCCCCCTAATCAACTATATGCGTACGCCTTCTCAAAAGTTACCTCTGTCCTGACTTTTTATGGAATCATTTTCTTACTTTTCTAAGATCGCACCCAAACTTGGTAGTTTAGTTTTACTATTTGAACTTTATATAAATGGAGCCATTTAGTTTGTTTTCTTTACTTGGCTGCTTTCACTCAGTGTCATTTTGTGAGATTCACCTGTGTTTTATGGAGCTGTAGTTTGTGCATTAGTCATTGCTGAATAATACTCTATTATGAATATAACACAATTGATATATTCATTCTCTCTCTTTTTTTTGTTTTTGTTTTTGGAGACTGAGTTTCACTCTTGTCACCCAGGCTGGAGTGCAATGGCATGATCTCAGCTCACTGCAACCTCTGCTTCATGGGTTCAAGCGATTCTCCTGCCTCAGCCTCCCAAGTAGCTGGGACTACAGGTGCACACCACCACACCCGGTTAATTTTTTTTTTTTTTTTTGAGACAGAGTCTTGCTCTGTTGCCCAGGCTGGAGTGCAGTGGTGCGATCTCGGCTTACTGCAACCTCCACCTCCTGGGTTCACACCATTCTCCTGCCTCAGCCTCCCGAGTAACTGGGACGACAGGCTCCCACCACCATGCCCGGCTAATGTTTTTGTATTTTTAGTAAAGGCGGAGTTTCACCTTGTTAGCCAGGATGGTCTCTATCTCCTGACCTCGTGATCTGCCCGCTTTGGCCTCCCAAAATGCTGGGATTTCAGGCGTGAGCCACCACGCCCGGCCCCTAATTATTGTCTTTTTAGTAGAGATGGCATTTCACCATGTTGGCCAGGCTGGTCTCAAACTCCTCACCTCAGGTGATCCACCTGCCTTGGCCTCCCAGAGTGCTGGGATTACAGACGTGAGCCACCACATCCAGCCTTCACTCTCTTTTTGATGGATATTTGTCTCCAGTTTGCAGCAATTATGAATACTGCAGCTATAAACATTTTTGTATATCTTCAGTTTTACTTGGTAATGCCAGACTATTTTCCAAAGTGGTTGCACTAGTTTAGATTCCTACCAACAGTGTGTGAGAATTCCTGTTTATCCACCTCTTTGCCAAGGCTTAGAATTGTCAATCTGTTAAATTTTATTAACCATTCTGGTAGGTACATAATGGGTTTTTGTGTGTAACTGAGGTATATGTCATACACAATAAAAACAAAAATGTACAGCCTGAAGAGTATTTTACCTATAAATGTATCTATAACCACTACCCAGATGAAGATATAGGATATTTCCGTCACCCAGAAAGTTCTTTCATGGTAATTTCCAGAAAGAAGCTGCTATTCTAACCACACTGTTTTGACTTTGGCCACTATACATGCGTTTGGCCTGTTTTTGAACTTCATATGAATGGGCTCAGACAGTAAGGACTCTGCTGTGTCTGGCTTTTGCCCAGCATAATTTTTTTTTTTTTTTTTGCAATTTATCCAACTTGGCGGTGGTATGAGTTACTCTTTTTTTCTTGCTGAGTTCTGTTGTATGATTATATTACCCTTTGTTTATTCATTTTCTTATTGATTGTTTCTAGGTTTTGGCTATTGTGAATTAAGCTGCTATGAACATTCTCATATATACTAATTTCTCTTGTGTATATATCTAGGAGTGGATTTCTGGGTCATGGGATAGGTGAGTGTTTAACTTTATTAGAAACGACAGAGGCAAGAGGATCGCTTTAACCCGGGAGGCGGAGGTTGCAGTGAGCTGAGATCGCAACATTGCGCTGCACTCCAGCCGGGGCAACAGAGCAAGACCCCTCATCTCATAAATAAATAAACAAACAAACAGACAACCTAGACATGGCAAAAACTAGTATAAACAAAATTGGGACTCCAGTGATAAGCTGGGAAGAAATAGTTGCCATGCAGCATGTTCAAAGGGCTAATTTCCTTTAAAAAGCAAGATCGCTTGCTGATAGAAAAGACCAACAACTCAGTAGACAAGTGGGCACATTCAGAGACAGTTCAAAGGAAAGACAAGTGGCTCCTAAATGTATGAAATGATCCTCAGTTGCAGTCAATGTAAGAGTTAAGCAAATTGAAACTATACTGAAAGCATTTTAAAAATACCCGATTAACATGATTAAGAAGTTTGATTAGCTATTGACTAAGGTGTAGGAAGACAGCTACTTCCGTATATTAATGGTAAGTTTCTAAACTCTATGGAGAGCAGTTGAATAATATCCATTAAAATTTAAGAATGCACATACCTTATGTAGTGTAGTATAGTTTAGATCAGTTGTGATGTATTTACACAATGGGATATTATAGAGCAATAAGAATGAATGAATTACAGTTCACCCAACATGAATGACTCACAATCATAATGTTGGGTGAAAGAGCCAAACACAAATATAAATTCAAAAAAAGACAAAATTGTGGTGTTAGAAGTCAGGGTAGTATTACTCTTGGGGAGCTCACTGGATGGAGACATGAAGGGCTTTTGGAGGCTTATAATCTTTTTTTTTTTTTTAATCTCTGTGTTAGGTGTAATTATATTGAGAAAATTCATTAAGCTATGAACTTAAGAATTATGTACTGTTCTGAATGTATGCTATACTTCAATACACATTTTAATATAAATAAAAATAGTGTGTATACATCAAGTCACACATCACACACATCACACAATCACACATAAAGAATGCACATAACTTTTGTTTTAGCAGTTTCATCCTAGGCATGTAACATATATTTACACACACTCTTGTATATGTGGGGCTTAAAAATAGCATGAAGGTATTCATTGCTGTGTTTATAAGCACAAAAACTCATGCAAAACCTAATTACCCATTAGTAGGGAACTGGTAAAATAATTGATATAGTCATGCAGTAAATTTGTAGCAGGTTTTTTTTTTTTTTTTTTTTTTTTGAGACAGAGTCTCGCTTTGTTGCCCAGGCTGGAGTGTAGTGGCACGATCTTGGCTCACTGCAACCTCTGCCTCCTGGGTTCAAGCAATTCTCTGACTTAGCCTCCTGAGTATATGGGTTACAGGCACCTGCCATCATGCCCGGCCAATTTTTGTATTTTTAGTAGAGATGGGGTTTCACCATCTTGGCCAGGCTGGTCTTGAACTCCTGACCTCGTGATCCACCCACCTCGGCCTCCCAAAGTGTTGGGATTACAAGCATGAGCCACTACGCCCGGCCAGGTAGCAGCTCCTAAAAGGAGTAAGGCAGTTGTATATGAAGTAATTTAGAAAAGTCTCTAAGATACGTTAAATGAAAAGACCGAAGTGCATGAACAGTACGTGTAATATGCCACTGTTTGTGTATGGGTGTGTTTTATCTCTATAGGCATATATTTGCAAGCATATATAATTAGAATGTATTTCTAATGTATTCCCAAATGGAAAGATGGGAAGATATACTAACACTGGCTGTCTCTGAGGAGTGGAACCGAGTGGCCAGAAGGCAGAATTGGGTGATACTTTCTACACTAATTTGTGACTTAAAATTTTTAAAAATTTTTAATTGTGATAAAATACATGTAGCAAAACTTACTATCTTAAACATTTTTAAGGGTACTGCTCAGTAGTTTAAAGTATATTCATATTGTTGTACAACCAGCCTCCAAAACTTTTTCCTAGCCATTAAACAAGTACTTAATACTTCCCCTACCCTTGGCAGTCACCATTCTACTTTCTGTTTCTATGAATTTGACTACTCTAGATAGCTCATGCAAGTGGAATCATATAGTGTTTGTCCTTTTGTAACTGGTTTGTTTCACTTAGCACAATGTTCTCACGGTCCATACTATTTTGTGACTTTTGAATATTTTGTTTATTACCCATTTTCAAAAGAGCACTAAAGTAAAAAGACATGTCCTTATTCAGAGCTGGTTAATTACATGGTAAAAAGTTGATGGCTGGCATGTCTTATTCATTTCAACCAATATTAAATGCCAGTTTGGGCAGCAAAACAACTTTCTGCCAAAGCGCCATTTGAAGCCTAGTTTATGACATGTTTCTCCTTTTGTCATCTTTGGGTGCCACCCAAAATGCAGGCTCAAGGCCTCAGCCTCTTGACTCTCTTCAACAGTTTCCCCCCTTGGCTTATTGTCCAACTTTGGCCTACTCTTCCAAATCCACCTCTTTATCCCAGGAACAAGCGGCTTCTATGCCAAGGGCATGGCTTCCTCTTTGCAGATTGTCTCATATCTCTGACCTGGAAAAAAGGGGATTTTTCATTCTGCTAGCTGTTTAGTGCTGCTTTGAGATCATTATTCTAGAGCCCTCTGCAGTAATGTTTTTTCTCATGGATTGAAATTCATTGTTTCCAGTAGGATTTTTGACTAGATGTGGAAACAGAAGGACAAATTGAAATGACTCAAGCTTATGGGACGACTGAATATCATTAACTGGCACAGAGGGAGAAAGGCAGGCTCTAGGTGGAAGATATGTGACTTGCTTTTGAAAACAGTGGTGTGAGATTCTGGCCTGTGAAAACAGCTGGAGTTATGAGCTAGAAATGGGGACTTAAAAAATAGCTTCGTACCAGACATGGTGGCTCATGCCTGTAATCCCAGCACATTGGGAGGCTGAGACAGGCGGATCATCTTAGGTCAGGAGTTTGAGACCAGCCTGACCAACATGGAAAAACCCCATCTCTACTAAAAATACAAAAATTAGCCGGGCGTGGTGGTACATGACTGTAATCCCCGCTACTCGGGAGGCTGAGGCAGGAGAATCACTTGAACTCGGGCGGCAGAGGTTGCAGTGACCCAAGATCATGCCATTGCACTCCAGCCTGGGCAACAAGAGTGAAACTGTCACACACACACACACACAAAAATAGCTTCGTGTGTGTGTGTGTGTGTGCGCGCGCACGCACGCGTGTATGTGTATGTGTGTGTGTATTGAAAATACAGAAAAATAGCCAGGTGTGGTGGCTCATGCCTGTAATCCCAGCATTTTGGGAGGCTGAGGTGGGCAGATCACAAGGTCCGGAGATCGAGACAATCCTGGCTAACACGGTGAAACCCCGTCTCTACTAAAAATACAAAAAAATTAGCCAGGCGTGGTGGGCACCCGTAGTCCCAGCTACTCAGGAGGCTGTGAGGCAGGAGAATGGCATGAACCCGGGAGGGGTGGCAGAGCTTGCAGTGAGCTGAGATCGTGCCACTGCACTCCAGCCTGGGTGACAGAGCAAGGCTCTGTCTCAAAAAAAAAAAGAAAGAAAGAAAATATAGAAAAATAAAGAAAATGTTACCCACAAAACAGATCATCATTCTTAATACCTTAAGTGAATTAACTGCTGTTTTTTCCTCTGGTTGTATATGTATAAAACTACATATATAGCTGGGCATGGTGGCTCACGCCTGTAATCCCAGCACTTTGGGAGGCTGAGGCTGGTGGATCACTTAAGGCCAGGAGTTCAAGACCAGCCTGGCCAACAAGGTGAAACCCCATCTCTACTAAAAATACAAATATTAGAACTGGGTGTTGTGGCACATGCCTGTAGTCCCAGCTACTCGGGAGGCTAAGGCATGAGAATCGCTTGAACCCCAGAGGCAGAGGTTGCCCTGAGCCAAGATTGCACCATTGAACTCCTGCCTGGGTGACAGAGCAAGACTCTGCTAAAAATAATAATAAAAATAATAATAATAGAAGTACATACATAAATTTTAAAGTGTAGTAGAAATTATATTTTGTATTCACCCTTTTCCCCTCTGTGAATGAAGAAGTCCAAGGCCAGTCACGTAGACTTCTGCAAAAGAGGTTATGAATGAATTTGTGGGACTTGTTGAAATTTCACTGGTGAGATCCTACACAGATGGAGAAGAAAATGCGGCAAGAATAGGATTTTGGAAACTTGCCTAGAACTTTCAAGATTCAAGAATCAGAAATGATAATCAAAGAGGTAGGAGAATTAAGAGTTGAGTGTCAAACTAAGAAGAGCAAATTCCAAGAAAAAAAGGAGGAAAATTTTTTTTTGGTGTTATAAAGAGGTAGAGCTGGATGAAGGCTAAGCATTTAAATACTAAGTTGAGGGCATAGTGGCTGGCACGTGCCTATAATCCCAATGCTTTGGGAGGCCTAGGTGGGAGGATGCCTTGAGACCAGGAAATTGAAGCTGCAGTGAGTTATGAGCCAATGCACTCCAGCCTGGGTGAGAGTGAGACCCTATCTCAAAACAGCAACAACAACAAGATACAAATTGAGAAACTGTTACTTGATTTGCGATATATATTCTGTCCAGCAGTGATAGAATAACAAGGACTGGATTTACCTTGCTATTTTAAGCAACAATATATGAAATAGCAATTTGTGGGCATTGGGTAACAGGCAAAGCAAGACTGTGGTCACTGAAAGATGGGAAACAAACCTACTGAGCTCTATGGTTGCCCCAATTTATTATCTGGAGGTAGTTTTCAGGCTGCAGAGCAGGGATGGGGAAGTCAAATAGAGCATGGTGTCTTAGAATTGGGAGGACAAGATGGGGGTTGGCAGGAAGGGAAGGTTGTCATCATTCGTGGGGCAGAGTACCAGAGGGGTGGGAGTTGTACACAGAACTCCAGAGATAGGTGGAGGAGTCTCCTGAAATCTGGTTGAGTCCTGATCTACAGGTGCATGAGAGGAGAGCACCTGAGGCCAGAGAAAGAACCCCACTGGAAAGCAGCAGGCCAAACAATTCCTGGGACTCACACAGAGCTGGGAATAGTCTGTGTTCCCATTAGCCAGAGTATATGCAAGGGCATCAAAAGGGCATTGTAATGAGGCTAAATTCGCCCTAAGTTAAAGGCTACTCTGGATCTACTCTAACAATGAAAAAGCAAGTCTTGGAAGATACAGCCGATTTAAAGAATCTTACCTGTGTGTGAGAACAAAGTCCAGCCCTATTTAAAGAAAAACACAAAATCCAACACCCAAAACACAAAACTCATAATGTTTGGCATTCAGTAAAATGACCAAGCATGCAAAGAACCAGGAAAATATGATGTAATCAGGAGAACAATCAACAGAACTAGATCCAGAAATGACAGAGATGATGGAATTAACAGACGAAGACATGAAAACAGCAATTATAAATATGCTGTCAGTTCAAAAAAGTAGAGGAAATGGTTAACATAATGGAAAGAGAAGTGGAAGGTGTACTTTAAAAGTGACATGTAACAGTGACAGTAATAGTACTGACTGTGCCTGGAGTCTGACAGCCCTGTCTTTGAATCCCTGCTTTTTTGCCATTCACAGTCTGGGCTAAAGGACTGTAATTGTACATTAATTATAATAAAATTTGAAAAAGTAAGGGTGGTTGACACAATCACATGGGCAAAATGCATGAGGATGGTTTTTCTCTTTATGGTTTTTTTTAAAGACAGAATCTCACTCTGTCGCCCAGCCTGGAGTCCAGTGGTTCACTGCAACCTCCGCCTCCTGGGTTCAAGTGATTCTCCTGTCTCAGCCTCCCAAGTAGCTGGGATTACAGGCTTGCTCCACCATGCCCAGCTAATTTTTGTATTTTTTGTAGAGATGGTATTTCACCATGTTGGCCAGGCCGGTCTTGAACTCATGACTTCAGGTGATCCGCCTGAGTCAGCCTACCAAAGTGCTGGGATTACCAGGCATGAGCCACCACATCTGGCCAGGTTTTCTCTTTTTAAAACAGCAATTTCTCTGTTATGTCTCATCTCCATCTCCAACTGGAGGGGAGAGAAATCTCTTTGCTTTAACATTTTTAAAGTCTTAGGGGATGGAGAATATGAGATTATTGAAGGGAGTATGCATTTTACTCATCCCGAAATTCCCAAAACTTAGCAGTTCAAATCCAAGAAAGGGAAATGATTTCCTGCTGATTTGAGTTCAGAATAATTAGGGTTTTGCTAGTAGTATACCATGCTATCAACATCCAGATGAAATATCTTTAATAAAGACTTGCTAATCTAGGAGGTGTTTTTGTTTTTACTGGGTTCAGTGGTGGCCCATGTTAGCAGAAAAGTGGAGCCACGGTTAAACTTGACGTCAGAATTGTTTTGGGGCTGGGTGCAGTGGCTCATTCTTGTAATCTCAGCACTTTGGAAGGCCGAGGTAGGTGGATCACTTGAGGCCAGGAGTTCACGAACAGCCCTGGCCAACATGGTGAAACTCCGTCTCTACTGAAAATACAAAAATTAGCCAGGCATGGTTCTGTATGCCTGTAGTCCCAGCTACTCCAGAGGCTGAGGCAGGAGAATCGATTGCTTGAAGCTGGGAGGCTGAGGTTTCAGTGAGCCAAGATTGTGCCACTGCACTCTCCAGCCTAGGCGACAGAGTGAGACTGTCACCAACAACAACAAAAAAAATTATTTGGGTTTTAGTGTTTGAGAAATACAGCATAAGCACATAGAACATTTACAATTTAGGAAATAATTATGAAGTGGACACACACAACCACCATTGTAGTTAAGAAATAAATTGTTGCTACCACCTCAGAAGTCCCCTCCCACTGGAACCTCTCTCCAATCTCCAGAAGTCTGTTTTTCAGTTTTCATTGAAAAAATTACAAACCTGTGAAAATAATAATTATATTGTGTGTGCCCTTTACCTAGATTCACCAATTGTTTACATGTTGCTCCATTTCTTTTCTATTTTTCCTCTGAATCATTTGAAGGTAAGCTGCAGACATGTCATTTTACCTCTAAAATACAATTTTTTTCCGCTTTTTTTTTTTTTTTTTTTTTTAAGAGACAGGATTTTGCCATGTAGCTCAGGCTGGTTTTGAATTCCTGAGTTCAAGGGATCCATCTGCTGTGGCCTCCCAAAGTGCTGGGATTACAGGCATGAGCTAACGCACCTGACCTTTCCTTTTAAATTATTTGGCCATTGCAGAGTAACAGTGGAGGCTGCTGAGCTTTCATTTTAGGAGATACCTGGCTTATTGTCACTAGAGCCCTACACTTGCCTAAAGAGGCAAGGATGTAAAATTATCTGTTACTGTTAACTGTTAGCTGTCATCTTGAGTAAACTTTTACTGAGCCTCAAGCTTCCTCATCTGTAAAGTAGAGATAACCTGGGAAATAAATTACACATAAAAATGTTTCCATCATTATAATTTCATGCACGTGATAGCTAATTGTGACTTTTTAATCTTAGTAATTTGTAGCCAAACACTTGGGTAGCTTTTTCAAGTAGATAGTACTTAAAGAGGCCCTTCATGCATTTTATTTGTGGTATTTTTAGACTGTTTCATATTGTTTTAAGTGATTCATTCTTTTTCTACTTTCAGCAAATTCAACACCCAACAGCTTCCTTAATAGCAAAGGTAGCAACAGCCCAGGATGATATAACTGGTGATGGTACGACTTCCAACGTCCTAATCATTGGAGAGCTGCTGAAACAGGCGGATCTCTACATTTCTGAAGTATGCACAACTTTTTTTTGTTTTGTTTTTTTGAGATGGGGTTTTACTCTTGTTGTCCAGGCTGGAGTGCAATGGCATCTCGGCTCACTGCAACGTCCGTCTCCTGGGTTCAAGCAATTCCCAGCCTCAGCCTCCCGAGTAGCTAGGATTACAGGCATGCGCCACCACGCCCGGCTAATTTTGTATTTTTTGTAGAGACGGGGTTTCTCCACGTTGGTCAGGCTGGTCTCAAACTCCTGACCTCAGGTGATCCACCTGTCTTGGCCTCCCAAAGTGCTGGGATTAAAGGCGTGAGCCACCACGCCCGGCACACAACTCTTGTTTCTGTAATATTTTATTGTATATAGGATGTGTCAGATACTTATTTATACAAATTGATGTGTTAATACTAGCGGAGGCCATACAGTAGAATTAGGGGGCTTAAATCTGGGTCTTTGTCTTGGTCTAAAACAAATTTGTTGTGAGCTTGGACAGGTTATGGAAACTTTTTTGGCCTGAAAATAATTTTGTAATCAAGTTGAATTGCCTATGTGATTTGTATCTGTCTTTAGATTAATAATGGAGATTTTAAAATGGGATGTTTAGGACTAGGCATATTTATTTGTTAGGAAAAATACAACCAAAAGCTTACATTTAGATAAATTCCACTTTTTTAGCCCTGACTAGTTCCAAGGTTTAAAACAAACCTCAGTGACTACGAATCTATTGTCAGAATTTTCTGGTAAAAGAGAGCAGACAGTCTTTATTTATTTTTATTAGTAAATGATGTGAATTAGTTTGAGATTACCTATAGAAAAGATAGAATAATGCTACCATCTGTGAGTTGTTGGGACACAGTGTCGGTTTTGACATGATTCGGAGTGGTTTGCACAGTGAACACCCAAGTGTGCTTTATAGTTCCCTTGGCTTTGACCCTGTGCTAGAGCATTGCCTGCTCTTCTCCTCTGCATTGAAAGGAATATTTATCCCTTTAAATGTATTCAGAAAGCCAGCACATTATATTACCTCGTGTTCAAAGATATGATGATCAGAATATCCCTCCAAGAATTATCTGAACTTTATCATGAACTATAGTTGCACCTAATTGAAGATGCAAGTGTTATTGTGTGTTTACTGTAGGGCCTTCATCCCAGAATAATCACTGAAGGATTTGAAGCTGTGAAGGAAAAGGCCCTTCATTTTTTGGAAGAAGTCAAAGTAAGCAGAGAGATGGACAAGGAAACACTTAAAGATGTGGCCAGGGCATCTCTTTGTACTAAAGTTCATGCTGAACTTGCAGATGTCTTAACAGAGGTATGTATTAAATTTTGTCTGTGTCTCGTATGGTACACCTGTATAGAAAATCTCTGATAGTAGAAACGTGAATATAATTACCAATTTCAATCACAAGGTGCTATGTAGCTTCATTTTTGTGGCAGTGATACCTAATCTGTGTCTCTAAAAAGTAAAATGAGGAAATTCAAATAATAGTATACCTAACCGGGTTTTAAAAGTAAAATTGGAGCTTTCATTAAACGGTTTATAAAGTGGAGATTTTGTTATTAGAAAGCGTCCAGTTATCAGTATTTTTAATGAAACACCAGGAGGAATATTAATGTTAAGGAATGTTAATGTTTGGGAATTACAGATTGAGATTTCAGAAATGTAACAGCTGTTCATATATAATGTATTCTATCTGCTTATAGAAAAAGACTTATATCAGTGTAGAGATTATAAAATGAAGAAACTGTCTACTTTAGCCTTCTGAAAAGCAACATGTTTCTGCTGCTGCAAATTGAATTTACTTAATGGTTATCCTTCTCCTATTGCAGGCTGTAGTGGGCTCCATTTTGGCCATTAAAAGAAAAGATGAACCTATTGATCTCTTCATGATTTTGTGATCATTGACAAGAAACATAAATCTGAAACTGATACGAGGTAGGTGGTAGAAGACTATGAAATACTAACGGTGGGGCCTGGTGGCTCAGGCATGTAATCCCAGCACTTTGGGAAGCTGAGGTGGGTAGATCACCTGAGGTCAGGAGTTCGAGACCAGCCTGGCCAACATGGGGAAACCCCGTCTCTACTAAAATTACAAAAATTAGCCAGGCATGGTGGCGGGCTCATGTAATCCCAGCTACTTGGGAGGCTGAGGCAGGAGAATTGCTTGAAACTGGGAGGCAGAGGTTGCAGTGAGCCAAGACCACACCATTGCACTCCAGCCTGGGTGATAAGAGCAAAACTCCATCTCAAAAAAAAAAAAAAAACTAATAAAGTGTGTTTTGAAATTTAGGGGTGCTTTGTACAATATATATTGTTGGCAAAATTTTTAATATATTTGGATATAAAATGTTGTATATTTACCTGAAGGTATCAGTTGGATAAATTGCTCGGTGAAGATATAAGTTGGATAAATTGCTAGGTGAAGATTGTTTTTACTTTTAGTAATATTTTCTCCTGAAATAAGGTGAATGTTATGTTGTATTTATGGGTAGAATTATTCCGAAAGGTGAACAACATCAGTCATTTGGCGTTTATTGAATTGCTAGGTACAAAGCATAATGAGAAGCAGTAGAGGAATTAAAAAAATTTTTTTTTCTAAAGACTTAGTTAGAAAACATGTATATGTTCATTTTTCCTTTCTTTTTATGGAGAATGGAGTCTCCTTATGTTGCATAGCCTGGTTTTGAATTCCTGGGATTAAGGTGTCCTCTCACCTCTGCCTCCCCAAGTGCTGGCATTACAGGCACTTGGCAGAAAACATGTTTTTAAAAGATATCATCACAGTTTGACAGCCTATCAGGGAGACTATCTCTGCAGACTTTTCTGTACAGCATAGGATCTTCAAGTAATTCAAGAAACAACGCTGACTGCATGAAAATTATCAGTGCCTTCTCAGTTCGGTGTTTAACGTACACCCATCTGGAAATCAATAACCATAATTTTGTGTATGTTTGAACAGCTTAATCAGAGGGCTTGTTTTGGACCATGGAGCATAGCATCTTGATAGGAAGAAAAGGGTGGAGGATGCATATATCCTCATTTGTAACGTGTCATTAGAATATGAAAAAACTTAAGTTTATAGCCCCTTAACTTAAATGGAGGAGCTTCGTGTTTTAGGTGAGTTACTTTTTTGTGAAACTTCGTTTCCCACTCTAAGGACAATAATCCTCAAATTGGTTTGGGAGAGTTATAGGAAACAGCCTCTGAAGATGTGCAAGGGGTAGGATTGGAGCTCAGTGAGCTGTTTGTTAAATCTTAGGACTAATCCAGTTTCAGAAGCTATTTTCTCAAAAAATAAATGTTTCCCTGCTTTCTGTAACTTTTTTTTTTTTCTTAATAGAGAAGTGAATTCTGGCTTTTTTTACAAGAGTGCAGAAAGAGAAAAACTCATAAAAGCTGAAAGAAAATTCATTGAAGATAGAGTTAAAACAAATAATAGAACTGAAAAGGAAAGTCTGTGGTGATTCAGATAAAGGATTTGTTATTAATCAAAAGGTGAGAATGAAAATCCAGTGTATAAACTAAATAGTATGTATCATCCTTTTTACTTTTAAGGTGAAAGATGTTGAAACTAATTTTTATTTTTGTTATAGGGAATTGACCCCTTTTCCTTAGATGCTCTTTCAAAGAAGGCATAGTCGCTCTTCACAGAGCTAAAAGGAGGAATATGGAGAGGTATGAGTAGCAGATTTATCCAAGTAATTTGACTTTTACTTATTTTGCAAATGAATTGGGATTATTTGTTTTTCCTTATACTTTATTTTTGGGTTTTCAACTGTACAATTAATTGGCATTAACTATATTCGCGTTATTTTGCACCCATCAGCACTGTCCATCTCTAGGATTTTTTTTATCATCACAAACTGAAACTGTATACCCATTAAATAGTTACTCCCCATTTCTCATTCCCTCTATGCCCTTGTAAACATTATTTTACTTTTTGTCTCTGAATTCAGTATACTTTCTCCCAAAGAGCTCACCACAATAAAAGTTTTTTTAAAAATATTATTTTATTATTTTTTTGAGACAGTCTTGCTCTGTTGTACAGTGGCATGATCGTGGTTCATTGCAACTTCTACTTCCTGGGTTCTTAGGATTCTTGTGCCTCAGCCTCCCGAGTAGCTAGGATTACGGGTGTCTGCCACCATGCCCGTTGAATGTTTCGTTTTCGTTTTGCTTTTTTGGTAGAGGTGGGGTTTTGCCATGTTGGCTAGGCTGGTCTCAAACTCCTGGCCTCAAGTGATCCACCCACCTCAGCCTCCCAAGGTGTTGGGATTACAGGCGTGAGCCACCATGCCTGGCCAATAAAGAGCTCTTGTCCATCTTTAGATTTCATTTGCTGACTTGGGGAGAGTGGTTTAAATGGAGGGTTAAAAGACTGGTTTTCAGCTGGTTGATGGCAAATGAAAAGGCTTAGGTTAAAGTACATTTTAAACTGTAATTTTGTGTGTAATTCTGAAAAATTCCTTCCTAGAAATTACTGGTCTTCTCTTTGAACTTCACTGGTAACATTGCTTATTCATTTCCCTTAAAATGCTATTTCAGGCTGACTCTTGCTTGTGGTGGGGTGGCCCTGAATTCTTTTGAGGACCTAAGTCCTGACTGCTTGGGACATGCAGGACTTGTATATGAGTATACATTGGTAAGTGTATTTTCTTCCTGAGGGTAATAGAACTTTTTAGCTCATGAATTATTTTTGTTTTGTTTGAGATGGGTTCTCACTCCTGCCCGGGCTGGAGTGCAGTGGTGTGATCACAGCTCACTGTAGCCTCCTCATCCTGGGCTCAAGTGATCCTCCTGCTTCAGGCTCCTGAGCAAATGGGACCACAGACATGTGCTACCATGCCTGGCTAAATTTTTTTTGTAATTTTTGTAGAAACAGGGTGGTATTGTGTTGCCCAGGCTGGTCTTAAACTCTCGGGCTCAGGCTGTCCTTCACCCTCAGCCTCCCAAAGTGCTGAGATTACAGGCAGGAGCCACTGTGCCTGGTTCATGAAGTCTTTAGCAGAAAAATCAATTGAAATTCAGGATCAGATTTTTGTTTATATACATTTTGAAGGTTTATGTGTAGTAATGGGAAGCCATTTATATGTGATTTTTCAAAAAGATAATTTGGTTTGATGTGATCAAGTTTGTTCCTTATTAATATGCTGCTTGTCATTCTCTGTAAGTCCCTCTTCTCTCTTTGCACACATCGTGTTTTTGAAAATCATGTTTCTTCTACACAAAGGGAGAAGTTCACCTTTATTGAGAAGTGTAACAACCCTCGTTCTATCACATTATTGATCAAAGGACCAAATAAGCCCACACTTAGATCAAAGATGCAGTAAGGGATGGCTTGAGGGCTGTCAAAAATGCTGTTGATGATGGTAAGATCCTCACCATATTTCAATTCTATTAAATTGTTTTGCTGGTCTGAAAAGCATGGCTGAATACTGTGTTCTTTTATCAGTAGTTTACACAGCCAGACACCATGCAAAAGCAGTCTTCCCTTTAGAATGACTGATGGTATGCTAAGGTTTTTCATAGCATATCATTATTAAAGGTGAATACAAATAAATGAACTAATACTGATCTGCTGAAAGGCTGCCAGTGGCCAGTGAAGCCATTCTGGTTGGACCATTCTCCTATTTGATATGTTAGTCGCTTGTATTGTGGCTTTCACATGCAGTACTTAAATTGATGTGGTCATAGTGAATTTGTAAGAAATTAATGGCTTTCATATGTATATTTTGTTATTCATAATTAGTTCTACAGTTTTCTTAGCATTTTTCTTTTTCCCCCATCCAACAGGCTGTGTGGTTCCGGGTGCTGGTGCTGTGGAAGTGGCAATGGCAGAAGCCCTGAATAAATATAAGCTCAGTGTAAAGGGCAAGGCACAGCTTGGAGTCCAAGCATTTGCTGATGCGTTGCTCGTTATTCCCAAGGTGTGTATGCCTTAAACAGTCAATCTTCCAAAAGATTCAGCTGATCAAACCCTTTTGATAATGTAGGCTTTATTCATTCATAATACGGATTTTGGATAAACAGGATTGATCAGTTTTCTTCCTGACTCTGGAACATCCAAATGTATTTGGTTTCTCTGGGAGGCCTGAATAGCTGACGTTTCAGATGGCAAGAGAGAACCTGTAGCTTAATATTTGCAGTATTAGGGGTTATACTTGAGTACAAACTTGCTTTTTGTTTTGGTTTTAGCTAAACTGATATCATTGTTTTTTATTATATACTAATTTTGAAGTATAGCTTATGACTCGTGTATTGCTGCTGGGTTTGGGGTAGATGAGACAGTTGATCAGTAACTTGTGTCTGGTTATTCTCTGAAGGGAACATAAATGTTCTGTCTTCATGCAATGAGATTCTTTTTTTGTTTTGTTTTGCTTTTAAGAATTTTGAGAGTTTTGCTCTTGTTGTCCAGGCTGGAGTGCAATGGTGTGATCTCGGCCCACTGCAACCTCAGCCTCCCCAGTAGCTGGGATTACAGGCGCCTGCCACCACACCCGGCTAGGTTTCTTTTGTATTTGTAGTAGAGGTGGGGTTTCACCATGATGGCCAGACTGGTCTCATACTCCTGGCCTCAGGCGATCCACCTGGCTTGGCCTCCCAAAGTGCTGGGATTACAGGCGTGAGCCACTGCATCTGGCCGAGATTTTCTTTTGCTCTTTTTTTTTTTTTTTTTTTTTGAGATGCAGTCTCTTGTCGCCCAGGCTGGAGTGCAGTGGCATGATCTCGGCTCACGGCAACCTCCACCTCTCAGTTTCAAGCGATTCTCCGGCCTCAGCCTCCTGAGTAGCTGGGACTACAGGCACGTGTCACAATGCCCAGCTAATTTTTTGTATTTGTAGTAGAGACAGGGTTTCACCATGTTGGCCAGGATAGTCTCGATCTCTTGACCTTGTGATCCACCCGCCTCGGCCTCTCAGAGTGCTGGGATTACAGGTGTGAGCCACTATGCCCAGCCTTTTTTTTTTTTTTTTTTTTTTAAATATCAATTCTTCCTGTTTTCTCAGGAATTAAATTTGTTTACTTTAGGTTCTTGCTCAGAATTCTGGTTTTGACCTTCAGGAAACATTAGTTAAAATTTAAGCAGAACATTCAGAATCAGGTCAGCTCGTGGGTGTGGACCTGAACACAGGTAAGAGAATGCAACTGTTTGTAGAGGAAAAACTAGATGTAGTACATGTGAGTTGAAGCCAGGAAAGATTCAAAATGGGGACCAAAAAAAAAAATCTTTTGCTTTGCAATTTGACACCAGTACTATTAGGGAAGTCTGGGTTCTAAAATGGGATAAAATAGGATATTAATAAAAAATGGAATGACTAAGTATAATAATTAAGGGAGTAGAGTAGACTGAGTAATTTTGGTATAGTTTTGTTGGAGATGTTGAGTGGTGGTAGGTGGTTCAGATTAATGTTGAAGGATTTTCATATTGCATTTGCCTTAAACTCAGTTGTTTCTTTTTTTTTCTTTTTTTTTTTTTTTTTGAGACGGAGTCTTGCTCTGTTGCCCAGGCTGGAGTGCAGTGGCAAGATCTTGGCTCACTGCAACTGCTGCCTCCCAGGTTCACGCCATTCTCCTGCCTCAGCCTCCCGAGTAGCTGGGACTACAGGCACCTGCCACCACGCCTGGCTAATTTTTTGTATTTTTAGTTGAGATGGGGTTTCACCGTGTTAGCCAGGATGGTCTCGATCTCCTGACCTCGTGATCTGCCCGCCTCAGCCTCCCAAAATGCTGGGATTACAGGCGTGAAGCACCGCACCCGGCCACCTTACTCAGTTTTTAATCAAGTACTATGATAAGAAAATAGATTGGGTGATTATATTCATGGGTGAAAAACAGCTAAAGATAGCAAATAATGCCAGAAGAGGGGATCTAGAAATCTAATGAAATGGTGACAGCCCTGATCTTAGGCCCCTGTAACAAAACAACACAAATTAAGTACAAAGTAGGAGACAGATAACAGGTACATCCATGCAGTATGTGCAAGACCTATTGCTGTCAACATTATTATTTAATAAAAAAGATTTCTGGAATGAGGGAAATGATCAGTCCATTTTAGCCAGATTAGAGTTGCAGTGCTGTACTTTAGTATGGGTAAACAGAAATGTATCCAGAAGGAGAGAGGGGTGTTCAGGTCTTCTAAGTAGAAGTCAGACACTCCTCAAATATTGTGGACAGGGGTCATGGTTTAGAGTAGAAAATTGGGCTAACAGAGAAGCTTTGAATTCCCATAGTTAATACTGGAGGAAATGAGTCATCGGTGATAAGCAAAGCCACACACAGTATTGTTGGTTCTTATTGACTGAACTTACTTTGGTTGCCTTTTAGGTGAGCCCGTGGTAGCAGCAGAAGCAGGCATTATGGGATAACGATTGTGTAAAGAAACAGCTTCTTCATTCCTGGTAAGTTTGGGAAAATGAAAACTAAACTGTTAGAGAATCATCATACTCTTTTCATTTGGTGTTTTCTGTTTAGTCGCTCATTTTCCCCCATGAATAATGTAATCAGCTGAAAAGTATGGAAACCGAACTCGCCCTCTGATGTGTAGAGGGGAAGGGGGAAATTTAATTGGATGTTAACGTGTGCAGCTTAGTTGGAAGTGGGAAGTTGAGTCGAATTAGGGCTCCTAATCATCTGAGCTATCTAATTTTTATCCCCCTTTCAGCACTGATTGCCACCAACATTCTCTTGGTTGATGAGATCATGCGAGCTGGAATGTCTTCTCTGAAAGGTTGAATTGAAGCTTCCTCTGTATCTGAGTCTTGAAGACTCTGCAAAGTGATCCTGAAGAATACAGCTGTGGAATTTTTGTCCAAGCTTCAAATGAGTTTCAAGGGAATTTTCCCATGTGAAAAAAGGAGAGAACACTGGCATCTGTGGAAGTTCTGAAATTATAATTACAGTATTTTTTAAAAATTGCACTGAAGTGTACACAGATAAAGCAGGTCTTTCACCCAGTGAACAGGATGTTTTGCTTTAGCAGCAGTGACATAAAATTCCATGTTAAATAAGCATATATTACCTACCTTATTAAATATTCCTTGAAAAAGCAGATTTTAATGGTTTAATTTTATGTGGACATATGTTAAATTATTCAGCAGTACCCTATTGTTAAGCATCTGGTTTTAAAATTTTTATGCTAATATAAATAACGCTTAGTAATTTAAAATTTTGGAAGCATCCCGTTAGTGTAAATTTCTGAGTAAATTTATTGATCAGTTGGACTTTTCACGCTTTTGAAATAGCTTTGCTAAAATGCTCCCCCTACAAAGTTGTAGGAAATGGGAAGAGGAGTAAACTAGAGGCAAGGGAGTTGAGAGAGCTGGAAGGCATGGTGGCTAAGGGCTACGGTTATCAGGTGAAATTTGAGATTTGTAGGCTGACTATATTTTCAAGCTTCTGAACTTTTGCTTATGCAAAATATTCATCCCAAAGCCTCTAGCGTCATAGTTTCCTCACCCAAATTACTATGTTTCCACAAGATTTATATAGTTGGTCTATCTCTGCGGTCCTTGAAAGTGAAGTTGGTGTTACTAGGCTGTGGGTTTTGGGGGCTCAGCAGTGACCTGGAGTGTGCAAATAAATGTTAAGTTGAAACCTCCTTTGTGGTCTTGCAATGGTTTGACACACAGAAGCAATCTTAAAGGGAATGAAAGCTGTCCAAAGGTTCAAAAAGTAGTGAAGGGGCCTCTAGGGACCCTCAACCTGCTTTTCCTTACTTCCCTGGGCAGCCTTGCAGGTGGTATGGCCAGTCCTACACCTCGTGTCCGTCAGTTTCCCCCGCTGAACCGTTGGGTGAGGGGCGGTGGTGGAGCAGCATGCGCATGTGTGGAGGAGGCGACTGCCACCGTGGTGCGTGAGGGCGGATGAGCAGCGGGGCCGTGGGTGTGCGCGGCGTGGCGCGCCAGTCCTGATGCCAGCATGGGTTGTTCATCACCGCTGCTGTCCCTGCTGTCGCTCCTGGTTGGTGCGTGGCTCAGGCTAGGTCATTGAACCGCCGGCCACGCCGGGGGCGCTGGGAAAGGGGATGGGGCCCTCCGCCCTGGCGGGAGAGAGCCTGAGGCCCCTCTGCCCGCTTCCGGGATGCGCCTGCAGCCGCCGGCTGGGGAGGTCGCTCTCGGTGCGCAGGGTGCCTCACCGCCTTGTGCTTTCAACTTCTTGCTCTGGAATCTTTCAAACTTATAAAAGGGAAAGAGAGGCCGGGCGCGGTGGCTCATGCCTATAATCCCAGCACTTTGGGAGGCCGAGACGGGTGGATCACTTGAGGTTAGGAGTTGGAGACCAGCCTGGCCAACATGGTGAAACCCCGTCTCCACAAAAATACAAAAAATCAGCCGGGCGTGGTGGCGTAGGCCTGTAATCCCAGCTACTCAGGAAGCTGAGGCAGGGGAATCGCTTGAAGCCAGGGGGCGGAGGCTGCAGTGAGCCGAGATTGTGACACTGCACTCCAGCCTGGGAGATAGAGCGAGACTTCATCTCAAAAAAAAAAAAAAGGGAAAGAGGAGAATGTAACGAGGAACGACCCCTGCCCTCACGTACTCGTGGGCCACCTTAAAGAGCTGCCAGTTTGTGGCCAGTCCTGCTCCTGTGGAATCGCACTCTCCCCGTCTCCTGGAGCCATTTTGAAGTGGGTCCAGACATAACCCATTTTATTCTAAACCTTCAGCTGGAATAGTCAAAAGAAGTCACGAAAAAATAATTACCCTTTCTCAACTAAAAAACTGGCAGTGCTGCTTAATAATATATCCAATCTGTTCAAATTCATCTATTATCTCATAAAGGGTTTTTAACGTTTGCTGGCTGAATTAGGGACAAAATAAAGCTCATACATTGCAATTGTATGTTATTTCTTAATTCTGATTCAATCTGATTATTTCCCTACTTACTCCTTTTATTTATTTGTTTTTTTGGTGGGGCGGGGGGACAAGGTCTCACTGTGTTGCCCAGGCTGGAGTGCAGTGGTGCCATCATAGCTCACTGTGGCCTCAAGCAATCCCTGCCTCAGCTTCCCAAAGTGCTGGGATTACAGGCCTGAGACACCATGCCAGGATGATCCATTTTTTCCCCTTGGTGATATATTTGTTGAAGAAACTGAAAATAGGCCAGGCGCGGTGGCTCAAGCCTGTCATCCCAGCACTTTGAGAGGCCAAGGCGGGTGGATCACAAGGTCAGGAGTTCAAGACCAGCCTGGCCAATATGGTGAAACCCCATCTCTACTAAAAATACAAAAAATTAGCTGGGAGTGTTGGCACGCACCTGTAGTCTTAGCTACTCAGGAGGCTGAGGCAGGAGAATCGCTTAAACCCAGGAGACAGAGGTTGCAGTGAGCCGAGATCATGCCACTGCACTCTGGCCTGGGCAACAGGGCAAGGCTCTGCCTCAAAAAAAAAAAAACAAAAAGAAAGAAAAAAAATGGATGAAATCAGTGTGAATGTGTCAGAATAAGAGAGCCAAAGACAGGATCTTGAGGAACATCAAAAGACCAGGACTCTGCCTTGAAAGAAGTTACAGTGCTTAGACATCCTTTCTTGTAAAGACACTGAAGTGGTGCATCAAGCTGAAGAAGTGTGGCCTATTGGAAACAGTACTGTAAAGAGACCCGAATCTAGTCCTGTCAGCTGCTAACCAGCTCTTTAAGTCATATTTCTTTTTTGGGTCTTGGTTTCCTCCTGTGGAATAAGGAGTTTGAAGCACAGACCCTTTTTTATTTATTTTGAGACAGAGTCTCGCTCTGTCCCCCAAGCTGGAGTGCAGTGGCACGATCTTGGCTCACTATAACCTCCGCCTCCCAGGTTCAAGTGATTCTCCTGCCTCAGCCTCCCAAGTAGCTGGGATTACTGGTGTGCACCATCATGCCTGGCTTTTTTTTTTTTTTTTTTGAGATGGAGTCTCGCTCTGTTGCCCAGGCTGGAGTGCAGTGGCACGATCTTAGCTCACTGCAAGCTCCACCTCCCGGGTTCACACCATTCTCCTGCCTCAGCCTCCCGAGTAGCTGGGACTACAGGTGCCCGCCACCAGGCCCAGCTAATTTTTTTGTAGTTTTTAGTAGAGATGGGGTTTCACCTTGTTAGCCAGGATGGTCTTGATCTCCTGACCTCGTGATCCGCCCACCTTGGCCTCCCAAAGTGCTGGGATTACAGGTGTGAGCCACCGCACCCAGCCTAATTTTTGTATTTTTAATAGAGATGGGGTTTCGCCATGTTGGCCAGGCTGGTCTTTAACTCTTGACCTCAGGTGATTTGCCCACCTCTGCCTCCCAAAGTGCTGGGATTCCAGACGTGAGCCACCATGCCTGGCCGGTCCTTTTTAATTCTATGATATTTCTGAGGCATTCAAACAAGTCTAAAGGTGCTCATTTAACTATTTGGCGATAATCATTGCGCATTTATGGCAGGGACCAGGTATATACTGTCAAAAATATATATGTATTATATACTTCCCTTCTGGAGCATATAATGGTGAGAATCACCAAGAACTGTAAGAGTTCAGTAAATGGAGAGGAAGAGGCAGAGAAACAGCATGAGCAGAAGGATGGGTAGAAAGTGCTAGATGTATTTTAGGGTAGAGTGTCTAAATTCGCCTAGTTGGGGCAAGGGTTTGTGTAGAGGAAGAAAGAGGTAAGTGCAAATCTATCATGTGCGCAACATTTCACCCATGCTATTTTATTACTATCTTTTTATTTTTTATTTTTTGAGACAGGATCTCACTCTGTCACCCAGGCTGGAGTGCAGTGACATGATCATAGCTTACCGCAACCTTGAACTCCTGGGCTCAAGCAATCCTCCTGCCTTCGCTTCTGCACCCTGTCTCTGAGCCATTGAACCTGGTTCCATGTTACTTTAATTGATACAGCTACTACCTAAGAGATAGTGAGATAGTATCCCCATTTTTCATACTTATTTTTTTTTTCTTTTATGAACAAGCTACAGTTGTCCATAGGTATCCTCATTTTTCAGATGAAGAAATTGAATCTCAGCCGGGCGTGTTGGCTCACACCTGTAATCCCAGCACTTTGGGAGGCTGAGGTGGAAGGATCACTTGATCTCAGGAGTTTGAGACCAGCCTGGGCAACATAACAAAACCCCATCTCTACAAAAAATACAAAAATTAGCCAGGCGTGGTGGTGCACACTTGTGGTCCCAGCTCTTAGGAGGCTGAGGTGGGAGGACTGCTTGAGCCCACGGGGGCAGAGGCTGTAGTGAGCCAAGACTGCATGACTGCACTCCAGCCTGGGTGACAGAGTGAGATCCCGTCACAAAAAAAAAAAGAAAAAAGAAAAGAAATTGAATCTCAGATTAAGAAATTTGCCTAAGGTTTCCCATCAAACTAAGTGGCAGAACAAGAATGTGAAGGCAAACAAAATGCAAAAGGAATTTAAAGCCAGATTTTTAAACCTCCACATTTTTTGTTTTGTTTTGTCATACCATCATGAGTATTGCATACGATCCAAATATTACCACTTGTTTTATATATATGCATGTATTACCGATACCTCTCTTTTTTATCTGCAGGAAATGGACAGGCTACTAGCATGGTCCCACTGCCAGGTGGGAGATTCCTGATGGGAACAAATTCTCCAGATGACAGAGATGGTGAAGGCCCTGTGTGGGAGGCAACAGTGAAACCCTATGCTATCGACATATTTCCTGTCACCAACAAAGATTTCAGGTACATCAGGTGTTCTTCCAGGAGGAATGAAGGCCCTCTCTAATCTCATTCTTTTTTCCTTTCTTTTTTTTAGACTGAGTCTCACTCTGTCACCCAGGCGCTGGAGTGCAGTGGCGCAATTTCGCTCACTGCAACCTCTGCCTCCCGGGTTCAAGCGACTCTCTTGCCTCAGCCTCCCAAGTAGCTGGGATTAGAGGCGCCCACCACCACACCCACCTAATTTTTGTATTTTTAGTAGAGACAGGGTTTCACCATATTGGCCAGGCTGGTCTCGAACTCCTGACCTTGTGATCCACTCGCCTCGACCTCCCAAAGTGTTGGGGTTACAGGTGTGAGCCACTGCGCCTGGCCTAATTCTTAATATTTAAACGGAAACTAACTTGTTCACTGTCACGTGTCATCTTTGCAGTGTACTATGGGATAAGTGTTATCTACGTTATTCAGATGAAGAATCTGAAATCCAAACAAGTTTGACTGACTCTGTCAGTCAGTGGATGAGCTTGGCCTGGAACTGAAATCCCTGGGCTCTTGAGCCAGTCTGTGCCTTTTCCATTACACTGGGCATAGCACTGAGAAATATAAGCAAATGCCAGTCACTCAACAGAACCCTCTTCTACATGCGGAAAGGGATTGGGAGAAGGGACATCATAGTAGAGAGTCCCTTAAATTCCCCTTATAGGCCAGGTGTGGTGGCTCACACCTCCAATGTGAGCTTCCTTTAGGAACCCGAGGCAGGATTGCTTGAGCTCAGGAGTCTAAGACCAGCCTGGCAACATAGGGAGACCCTATCTCTGCTAAAATAAATAAGTATATAAATATACATATTATATATATAAATGTATATATAACAATCCATCTTACCCTGACAATCTGCCTGCTGAAACTTACTAAACCATACCAAACTATATGAATTTATTTTTATTGTTATTATTTTTTTTTGAGACGGGGTCTGGCTCGTCACCCAGGCTGAAGTTCAGTGGTATGATCTCAGCTCAATACAGCCTCTGCCTCCCGGGCTCAAACCATCCTCCCATCTCAGCCTCCTGAGTAGCTCGGACTACAGGTGTGCACTATAATGCCCAGCTTATTTTGTGCTTTTGATAGAGACAGGGTTTTGCCCTGTTGCCCAGGCTGGTCTCGAACTCCTGGGCTCAAGCAATCCTTCTGCCTTGGCCTCCCAAAGTGCTGGGATTATAGGTGTGACCCACTATGCCTGGCCTTGAAAATCCATTTTATTTTATTTTTTTAATTTATTTATTTTTTTGAGACGGAGTCTCGCTGTCACCCAGGCTGAAGTGCAGTGGCACGGTCTCGGCTCATTGCAAACTATGCCTCCCGGGTTCACGCCATTCTCCTGCCTCAGCCTTCCCAGTAGCTGGGACTACAGGCGCGCGCCATCACGCCTGGGTAATTTTTTTTTGTGTGTATTTTCAGTAGAGACGGGGTTTCACCGTGTTAGCCAGGATGGTCTCGATCTCCTGACCTCATGAACCGCCCGCCTCGGCCTCCCAAAGTGCTGGGATTACAGGCGTGAGCCACCATGCCCAGCCGAAAATCCATTTTATTTATTTATTTACTTATTTAGGTGTGACCCACCATGCCTCGCCTTGAAAATCTTATTTATTTATTTAGAGACGGAGTTTTGCTCTTGTTGCCCAGGCTGGAGTGCAATGGCGCGATCTCGGCTCACTGCAACCTCCACCTCCCGGGTTCAAGCAATTCTCTGCCTCAGCCTCCCGAGTAGCTGGGATTACAGGCGCCCGCCACCACGCCTAGCTAATTTTTGTATTTTTAGTAGAGACGGGGTTTCACCATGCTGGCCAGGCTGGTCTTCAACTCCTGACCTGGTGATCCACCCACTCGGCCTCCTAAAGTGCTGGGATTACAGGTGTGAGCCACCGCACCCGGCCAGTCCCTTATATAAATTTTTAAAAAGATGTTTTCTTCGTTTCCTAGCCCCTTCTACCCACCTACAAAGTTCCAAAGGCTTTAATGCTATTGCAACGGCAGTCAGAGGTCAAGCTGGTGGGGGTGCGGTGCAGCTCCCTAACGCGGGGCAGCCTCAAAGGGGGCCGACCCTGCCCAGCACGAATGGCACCGGGCGGTGGGGGACGCTCCCGAGGTCCCGGGAACATGGCTGGGGGAAGTGTTGGGGGGTGCACATACCCAGGCTCAGCTGAGGCGAGTGCGCGGCCAGGGCTGCAGCTGGCGCTGGCTGGCACTTGCGCCGGCCATTGAGGAGCTTCTGGGCGACCCTGCACTCGTGCCTACCAGGCGCCAGCCGGTAGGTGCGCAGCGCCTGCTCCAGCAGCGTCAGGCCTTTGCTGCGCGGACCCCTCAGGCCGGGAAGTCACGCAGGTGGTAGTAGTCCAGGTGGTCGTAAACTCCTCCTCATAGCTTATGGGTGGTGGCGGCTGGGCTGAAGACGGCGGACAGGACATCCCGCCCGGCCGCCTGTGGTCACCCTCCCGCGCAGGCGCTCTCCTGGAAGACCCAGCACCTGGAGTTCCGATTGGCTCTGCGTGAGGGGCGGGCCTTTGCGACATCTTGGGGGGCGCCTTCGGTGACGTCACAGGGGCGGGCCTTCTGTCACGTCACAAGGGCTGTACAGTGCCTGGAGCTGGGCAGTCTTCTCAGAGTGGAGCCTGGTAACCGCGACCTCCCCGCCAGTTCCTGTGTGTTGCTGGCTGGAAAGGGGTAGTTGACAAACTCCCACCCAGCACAGTATTTATGTCGGTCAAAAATGGAAAACTATGTGTCCGGGCGTGGCCAGGAAGGAGGATCCCTTCAGGCCAAGAGCAGCCTAGCAATATGGCGCAACCCCACCTCTGTAGTCCAACCTCAGCCTCCCAGCTACTTGAACCCCAAGATTCAAGGCTCCAATGATCTGTGATCTCACCACAGCACTCCTGCCTGCGAGACTGAGGTAAACCCTGTATAAAAAAATAAAAAAGAAAACTATGCAAGTGTACAACCGGGAGGGACTGCTTAAAGAACACATGAGGCTGCCTGGGCCGTGCTATCCCGGCACTTTGGGAGGCCGAGGCAGGAGGATGGCTTGTGTTCAGGAGTTCGAGATGCGCCTGGGCAACATGACGCAACCCCGTCTCTACGGAAGATACAAAGATTAGCCAGGCGCGGTGCACGCTTGGCCTAATTTTTGTATCTTTCGTAGAGATGGGGGGGTCTTGCTATGTTGCCCGGGCCGGTCTCGAACTCCTGGGTTCAAGCGATCTTCTCACCTTGGCCTTTAGAGTTGTTGGGATTACAGGCGTGAGCCACCGCACCCTCCTGGGCTAGGCTATTTAATAACATAAGAAAGTGCGGTGGCTCACGCCTGTAATCCCAACACTTTGGGAGGCCGAGGCGGGTGGATCACCTGAGGTCAGGAGTTTGAGACCATCCTTGCCAATATGGTGAAACCCAGTCTCTACAAAAAAATACAAAAATTAGGCCGAGCGCGGTGGCTCACACCTGTAATCTCAGCACTTTGGGAAGCTGAGGCGGGCTGATCACCTGAGGTTGGGAGTTCAAGACCAGCCTGACCAACATGGAGAAATCCCATCTCTACTAAAAATACAAAATTAGCCGGGCATGGTGGTGCATGCCTGTAGTCCCAGCTACTCAGGAGGTTAAGACAGGAGAATCTCTTGAACCCAGGTGGCGGAGGTTGCAGTGAGCCGAGAAGCATCACTGCACCC
This sequence comes from Homo sapiens, assembly GCF_000001405.40. Classification (NCBI taxonomy): domain Eukaryota; kingdom Metazoa; phylum Chordata; class Mammalia; order Primates; family Hominidae; genus Homo; species Homo sapiens. The sequence continues at coordinate 65,082,482 of NC_000007.14, forward strand.
TAGTCAGGGCGACAGAGCAAGACTCCAGAGCTTGAGACCAGCCTGGGCCATGTAGTGAAACCCTGTTTATACAAAACAAACAAAAAAAGCCAGGTGTACCTGTGTCCACCTGTGGCCCTGCTACTTAAGAGGCTGAGGCAGGAGGATAAGTTGAGGCCAGGAGCTGAAGGCTGCAGTGAGCTATGGTCATCCCACTGCTCTCCATCCTGAGCAATAGAATGAAACCTTGTCTCTAGATAGCTAGCTAGCTAGGTAATTGATACGTAGTTTTCTATCGGAAATCTTTTTCCTAGACTTGAACATGTTTTTCTAAAGTAGCATTCAACACATCAGCATTTTACAGTGTTATTAGTTGTTAATATGATTATGTTTTTCTGAAATACAGTATTCTTTACCAAAGCAGTGTTGTCTTTCAAAGCACATACATAGGTCCTCCAGTGAATTTGTCTGATGTTGGCGACCTTCACTTTCTGGTGACTGAGTCAACAGTATCTGTTTCATAAATAATGTAGCCCTATTTTTTTTGAGACAGGGTCTTGTTCTGTTACCTGGGCTGGAGTGCAGTGGCATGATCTCTGCTCACCATAACTACCGCCTCCTGGGTTCAAGCGATTCTCCTGCCTCAGCTTCCTGAATAACTGGGATTACAGGCGCCACCACATCTGGCTAATATCTTTTTGTTTTTGTTTTTGAAACGGAGTTCGCTCTTGTTGCCCAGGCTAGAGTGCAATGTCGCCATCTCGGCTTACTGCAACCTCCACCTCCCGGGTTCAAGCGATTCTCCTGCCTCAGCCTCCCGAGTAGCTGGGATTACAGGCATGCGCCACCATGCCTGGCTAATTTTGTATTTTTAGTAGAGACAGGGTTTCTCCATGTTGGTCAGGCTGGTCTTGAACTCCCTACCTCAGGTGATCCGGCCACCTCAGCTTCCCAAAGTGACAGGTGTGAGCCACCGCGCCCAGCCTAATTTTTGTATTTTTAGTAGAGATGGGGTTTCACCATGTTGGCCAGGATGGTCTTGAATTCCTGACCTCAAGTGACCTGCCTGCCTTGGCCTCCTAAAGTGTTGGAATTACAGGCATAAGCCAACATGCCCGGCCAACCCTATTTCTTTAAGCATATACATTTTGCACTTGTTAAAAGTATTTGAACATAAAATTATCCAGCTTCCCTTGTTTATGTATGTTTGAATTTTGTATAAGCTTAAATATTTTTTCCAATCTAAGCTTAATTATATTCCCTTTCTTCTATATTTGTATAACTTCAGGTGACTGTCTTTGTTGAAAGTTTTTTCTGAAAAGCCTTAAAACAATATAGTTATTGGCAGCAATTTCAGAGTTACTTGAGGGCAAGGGAAGATTTATAATGATGATTCAAATGAAGCAAACTAAAAAGTAATGAAGCAAGACAGAGGATAAAGCAGTATTCACTTGAGCACATCCCAAAAGAATAAAATTTCAAATGTAACTAGAAAAAGGCATGCTAAAGATCATAGTACAGGAATAATTATTAATATTCAAAATAGCTTTAAAGCTGCTCACCTTTTGAATGTTGGGAATTGACCAGGAGGTGGCTGTAACCTAGGATTGTTCCTTCATTAATGACCATTTTCTTTTTCAACATGATGATGATTCTCCACCTTCTAAGAGACCAAAGACCAACGAACTACCACAGCTGGCAGGCAGTGACACACAGCCTGTTCCGGAGCCTGCCAATGATGGGCAGTTCCGGAACCTGCCAATGATGGGCAATGGAAAGTGAGGGAGTTCAACTCTGGTAAGTTCTCAGTGAAATCCACAACCTTTTCCCTCATCTTCTGGACTCTCAATGTGGCTGATGAAAGTTACAACATGCTCATCTGCAGGGGGAAATGCTTTAGCATGTATTACTATGTTATAATCTCACCTTTGTAAAGCCAGGAGCTTTTTGAAAGTCACTTTATAGCCATTGTTTAAACATGGTTTGAATTTACCAAAGCATAGGACGTTGTTTCATCTCATATTAATTAGTTGGCTCAAAATTAGTGCTAATGACTTAGTAATTCAATGGTTTCTCTTAGCTTTAAAACTTTCTTTATTTCAGAACTATTTCACCTGTTGGTTTTCGTTTTTGCTGTGTGTCACTGCCTGCCAGCTGCTATTGTGTTAACTCCCAGTGGATCATGTGTCCTGTGAAGGGACTGAATGAGATATTAATGGCAAATTATGTTGATGATTCATATTTTGAATATAAATAGATCATTAAGCTTGTATACATTTTGAAAATAGTATGTTAATATTCTGTTGTGTCATAGTCACAATGATTGGCTACATATTGAATTTATATGTACATTAAGTTGTTGTATGTTTATGTTCTTTAACATTCTAACTTGCAACTGTATATCTGTTAAGTCTTTTTTTTTTTTTTCGAGAAGATCAGACTCTGATTTATTGAGGCATCTGTTTGATGCCAAGTTAAGTGGCCCAGGCTCTGTGTAGGGGGTGAGGTTAACGCAGGAAGAAAGATGGTGAGGGGCAAGGGTGCAAGGATTATGTTGGAATGAGGCTCCCCAAGTTTCCCTGGCCCTGGCTGGTTGTGCTGCTGGCCTGAACATCTGATGAGCTTGCAAGGGTGACTCCGAGAGGTGGGTGGTCCAGGGGCTAGGGCAGGGATTTTGGAGTCACGCTGTTGGCTTTGAATCCAGACTCCTACACTTGGTAGCTGTGACCTTTCCATGCCTCAGTGACCTGCAGAACTGAGCTCTGTCTGAGCCAGGTCCCATCCAGGCACTGCAGATCCATCCAGAGTTAAACCACCCCAGGTTGCTGACTATCTGCTGCCTTCTCAAGCAGATCCTTGTCTCCTTGGAGGCCTTCACAATCCAGTGGAGGAGGCGAAACTCATCTGCCTCTGTCCCTCTGGGTGCGCCTCATGCCAGGTGCATCTGTGGGCACGGGCCATGCTCCTGGGCTTCCAAAGCTGGAGAAAGTTGCCAGGCTCAGGTGGCTATATCAGAGCAGCTGCTACCCTCTGGACACAGTGACAAAAGAACACTCTGGGCCTAGAGTCCTGGTCTGGGGCACTGGGCAAGGCTCTTGCACCTCTCTGAGCCCGTTTCCCCATCTGGAAAGTGTGCTGATTGAGTCTCCCTTTGGGCACTGAGGGCTCAGTGTTAGTTTGAGAGCCAGCATCTGGGGTTTGGGCTGTAATTCCCCTTCAGCCCCATAGCTGGGGGGAGACAGGGACTTTGTCGGGATTACCCTAGGCATCAGTCCAGCTTCCTGCTCCTGGCTTGGGCTCAGCATCTGAAGTAGTTTGGGGGGCAGGTGGTCCTGGTGGGGGTTGGGGCTTTTCCCCAGACTTAGGTCACACCCAGAGCCAGAAATCTTGGCACCTGCTCTAGGCTAAGGATGCATCTGGCCCCCAGGGTGCAGGTAACTGCCCACCTTTCCTGGTTTCTGCCTGCCAGGGCCAATCTTCAGACCTCAGGACTTCCCAGCCTATCCCATCTCCCTCTCTGGCCAGCCTTGAACCCTCGTGGGTCCAGCACTTTTTCCAGGCCGTCTCCTGGTTGTCCTCCTGCCCCGAGGCCTGGCTCATGCTGCTCCCCCTCCCACTCACCATGACCCACAAGGACCACTCCACACCCAGCTCAGCCCCAACCCCTTGGATAGTCCTTTCTCTTTCCTCAGGTGACCAGGTGCATATCTTGGTGTCAGGACCTTCCCTGCACCTGGGAATGCCTACTGGTCACCTCGGTCACAGAGACCAAGGCATTTACTTGATATGGGTGCCTTTGGTTCATTGTCTACATGGCCAGGGAGGGAGTCAATGTTAGGCTTTTCACTTGCTGCAAGGGCCAGTTCTCCTGGCCCCATGGCCCTAGGAATGGAGGATGCTGCAGGATACACACCCCTCACTTCCCAGCTGAGTGCTGTGGGTCATCTCAAGGCGATTTCACAGTCCCACATGCCCCACCCCCTCAGCTCTGCAAATACCAAGCAGCACAGCCTACCTAAGGGACAGTGGGCTCAGGACTGCCCAGGTGGGCTCAAGACTGCCCAGGTAGTCCCCAGAGTGCCCTTGGCAGGCCCCTCACCTAGCTGCTCCCACAGCTCTGTAGCAAGAGTCTAACCTTTTTTGAGTGTGGAGCCTGCTGAGAATGAGAGCTGTGGGCTGTTTTCCCGGAAACGCATGTGCACACTCTCCACACAAAACCTTGCATCGTTTCAGGGGGCTCACACCTCCCTAAGGGCCCAGTTATTGAACCCCTCGGACCTGAGAATGAGAAACCTTGCCTCAATAGAGTCTTGCTCTGTTGCCCAGGCTGGAGTGCAGTGGCCCAACCTCAGCTCACTGCAACCTCCGCCTGCTGGGTTCACGCAATTCTCCTGCCTCAGCCTCCTGAGTAGCTGGGACTACAGGTGCGCACCTACCACTCTCAGCTAATTTTTTGTATTTTTAGTAGAGATAGGGTTTCACCATGTTGGCCAGGATGGTCTAGATCTCTTGACTTCGTGATCCGCCTGCCTCGGCCTCCCAAAGTCCCAGGCATGAGCCACCACGCTGAGTCAGGGTCCCTCTTAAACTTGTATTTTTAAGGTCTGGTGTCCCTCTTACTTAATCTTTTTTTTTTTTTTTTTTCTTTTTTGAGACAGAGTCTTGCTCTGTCACCCAGGCTGGCAGTGGCACGGCCTCGGCTCACTGAAACGTCCGCCTCCTGGGTTCAAGTGATTCTCCTGCCTCAACCTCCTGAGTAGCTGGGACTACAGGCACCTGCCACCATGTCTGGCTAAGTTTTGTATTTTTGGTATAGACGGGGGCGGAGGCAGGGGGTTGGGGAGGGGAGGGGGGATTTTGCTTTGTTGCCCGGAGCTCGAAGTGATCTGCCCACCTCTGCTCTCAAAGTGCTAGGATTACAGGCCTGCACCACTGCACCCAGCTGCTGTAAAGCCTTATTTCCACACAGCTGAGACATGTTTTAGGAAGTTTGCGAAAAGGCCTCTGGAGACCTCCTCATTGTGGCCTCCCTGTTGTCGTGTTTAATTTGATTGATCTTTTCTGCCCTCCTGCTTTTCAGAAATTAAAGGCTAAAAAGAGGCATTAAACTTTAAAACTTCTCTTGTAGTCTCCTATTAAACTAATTCTAAGAACCACCAAAAAAGGGAAAAATGTTTTCGAAAGCAGTAAAATGATATGGACTGTTAGTATGTAAAATATAGGAAATAAGTCATTATATATTAGTGCTGCTCTGACATAGGGACATATTATTGAGAATCAACTTTTGCTCAGTTTTCAGAGAAATGGAATAATCATATCGCTGATCTATGTAAACAAGTTGAAGAATTGTCTGACAGAAAATACGGTATGTTTAAATTGGAAAAGTCCTGTAATACTTTGTTCATAAGCATTTACACAATGGAGTTATTGTTCATCATGGGGGTACTGTGGACAAGCCCAGGGCTGCTGGTGAATCTTGCCATCCTTACACGTCTCTCCTTGTAAGGTGCTTTGTAGTTTCTGTCTAAATATTAGAAACATTCTTTGTTTCTAGATTACTGCAAAACTAAGGAAAAGTTTTATTTCTTTAGCATTTCTTTTAAACTTTCAGCATGGATATTGGTGATTTATTTACATATTTATTGCAAAGCCCTGGATCTTAGAGATTTAATGGAATATTATTTTTTGAAACTAATTGTTTCTCTTAATCTGCTTTGTTAAATTCGGTATTCACCAAGATGCCCCTATTGTCTCTACTTTTATCCTTTTTTTTTTTTTTTGAGTTAGAGTCTCACACTGTTGCCCAGACTGCAGTGTATTGGTGCAATCTCAGCTCACTAAAACCTCCACCTCCTGGGTTCAAGCGATTCTCCTGCCTCAGCCTCCCAAATAGTTGGGATTACAGGCAATTCTGCTGCCTCATCCTCCCAAGTAGCTGGGATTACAGGGGTGTGTCACCAGGCCCAGCTAATTTTTATATTTTTGTAGAGACAGGGTTTCACCATGTTGGCCAGGCTGGTCTCGAACTCCTGACCTCAAATGATCCATTCTCCTCGGCCTCCCAAAGTGCTGGGATTACAGGTGTGAGCCACAACACCCGGCCTATGTTTTTATTATATTGTTAATTTAGTACTATTCTGAGTAAAAATAATTTGCTATTACAGTTTTATAAATTGACTATGACAATTTTATAAATGTCAGTGCTTTTTATAAAATGAAACAGATTATGTTGTGGGGCTCTTGTTGTGATGGTGATTTACTATTTAAAGACATTAATATTCAGTTGTTGTGAAACTATAAAAACAATCTTCACATTTTATATATATATATATTTTTTGAGACAGTTTCGCTTTTGTTGTTCTGGCTGGAGTGCAATGGCGCAATCTCGGCTCACCGCAACCTCCGCCTCCCAGGTTCAAGCGATTCTCCTGCCTCAACCTCCAGAGTAGCTAGGACTACAGGTGTGCACCACCACGCGCAGGTAATTTTTGTACTTTTAGTAGAGACAGGGTTTCACCATGTTGGCCAGGATGGTCTTGATCTCTTGATCTCTTGATCTACCTGCCCCGGTCTCCCAAAGTGCTGAGATTACAGGCGCGAGCCACCACACCTGGCCCACATTTTGTAATTTTAAAGCAGTATTAATGGTAATTGCCTTAGAGAAAGATACATTTGTTGTGATATATAAGTATGATATTCAAGTATAGTGTACAGCAAAGGACATTAAACCTAAGTCAGCACTAATGTGTTATAGGATACACTTGAAACTTTAGTACAAATAGTAATGTTTAGCAAATAGACCTTAACACATAATGATAGCAAAAAAATGGAGCTGTTCAGATGAGAGACCATTGGTTATGTCTGTTTTAATACTCCCTATGCTCTTGACTTTTTCTTTTTTTCCTTTGAGACAGAGTCTTGCTTTGTCACCCAGGCTGGAGTGCAGCAGCGTGATCATGGCTCACTGCAACCTCCACCTCTCAGGTTTAAGCGATCCTGCCGCCTCAGCCTCCCTAGTAGCTGGGACTACAGGTGAGAGCCACCATGCCCAACTAATTTTTGTATTTATAGTAGAGACGGGGTTTTGCCATGTTGGCCAGGCTGGTCTCAAACTCCTGACCTCAGGTGCTCCACCCGCCTTGGCCCCCCAGAGTGCTGGGGTTACAGGCATGAGTCACTGCACCTGGCCATCACTTGACTTTTTATAGTTGTTGTAGTATTTTAATCATGAGTAAATAAATGCTAGTTGAAATGATGCAGTTCAGGAGAATCTTCTGCTTCTCTTACTAAAAAAAAATATTTTTTTAAGTCCAATAAAGTTACACTAATGTTTATGTGTGGAAAATATTACCTTTTCCAGCCAGGTGCGGTAGCTCACACCTGTAATCCCAGCACTTTGGGAAGCTGAGGTGGGTGGATCACCTGAGGTCAGGAGTTCAAGACTAGCCTGACCAATATGGTGATACCCAATCTCTACTAAAAATAAAAAAAACTAGTCGGGCATGGTGGTGGGCACCTGTAGTCCCAGCTACTCGAGAGGCTGAAACAGGAGAATTGCTTGAACCCAGGAGGCAGAGGTTGCAGTGAGCCAAGATCGTGCCATTGCACTCCAAGACTCTGTATCAAAAAAAAAAAAAAAAAAAAACACGAAAATATTACCTATTCCATTTAGTACTATATATTTTAAATGATATTAGCTGGTTTTTTTTTTGGGGTTTATAATGTGGTTCAGATTTCTGTAGAAATTCTGGCTGTATCTACATTGCCTTAAAGTAATGGGATATTTTTTTTTTTCTTTTTCTTTTTTTCTTCAGCTGGAGTTCCACTGTTGTCGCCCATGCTGGAGTGCAACGGTGTGATCTCGGCTCACTGTAACCCCTGCTTCCCAAGTTCAAGTGATTCTCCTAGCTCAGCCTCCTGAGTAGCTGGGATTACAAGCACCTGCCACAATGCCTGGGTAATTTTTGAATTTTTAGTAGAGATGGGTCTTACCATGTTGGCCAGGCTGGTCTCGAACTCCTGACCTCATGATCTGCCTGCCTCAGCCTTTCAAAGTGTTGGGATTACAGTCATGAGCCACCGTTCCCAGCCTGTCTTTTCTTTCCAAAGCCACCCTTGGTGATTAAATGTTAAATATGTACTAGTGGATATTACTTTGCTGAATATTGCCTAGTGAATATTAAGTATTTATTCTCACTTACAGACATGAACTTGTGAATTCAACAAGTGAAGATTTACAACTTGATAAACCAGCTGCAGGAGGTAGGTCTTCAGTCTTAAGTCAGATTAGAAGATTATGTGAAATAATTATTTAATGCTTAACATTGATTTTTTAATGGTATCTTCCACATGAAATAATATTCCTCTAACATTTAATTACATGCCAGGACAGGAGAATTCATGTTGTCAAAATTCTAATACTCTCTAGAACAGTAAACTCATTTTATTTGTATTAACCCATTATAAATACATGTAAATGTTGCATTTATGGGTAGACAGAACTAAAAGAACAATATTTTTCCTACTTTTGAGATGCAGAATTTGTCTGGCATAATGCATTGAACAGGTTATTATTGAAGCTTGCACCAGACAACTGAACAAACATTCCTCAAATGTCCATGATACCCAGGACATAAGAGGCTTCCTTTTAGAGTATGGAGCCATGCATATCATCTCTTAATTGTTAGATGTGTTTTGAAAGAAATAGAAATATAACGGATTTTCTTATTTGTTTTGGCTCTGGAGTAGAGTGGGGACAAAACAGAATGGAATCACACTGTTTAGATTTACTAAAATGGAAGGATTGCTGCAAGATTATATCCCTAGTCTCCCCATAGCAAATGGCACCTGCTAGCTGTTTTTTGTTTGTTTGTTTGTTTGTTTGTTTGTTTGAGATGGAGTTTTGCTTTGTCGCCCATGCTGGAGTGCAGTGGTGTGATCTCAACTCATTGCACCCTCCACCTCCCAGGTTCAAGCAATTCTTCCTGCCTCAGGCTCCCACGTAGCTGGGATTACAGGCACCTGCCACCACGCCTGCCTAATTTTTGTATTTGTAGTAGAGCTGGGGTGTCACCATGTTGGCCAGGCTCTTCTTGAACTCCCAACCTCAGGTGATCTGTCCGCCTCAGCCTCCCAAAGTGCTGGGATTACAGGTGTGAGCCACTGCACCCGGCCTGCTAGTGGTTCTTGAGCACACTGAGTTCTGCTTTTTCCCAGCTTTCATGAATGTCTGGTTCTTCCTTTTTTGTGCAGTGTGTGTCAGCATTGTTTCAGTAATAAATACATTCTGGATATTAGAAATAATTTTAGTCACAGGAAAAGAAAAAATAATACTGTCTATTTTATAATAATAATATTTAATAACCCAAGCTATTAAGCCCATTAAATTGAGAAAACTTGTATTCCTGTGATTTCGACAGTAAAGGAAGAATGGTATGCCAGAATCACTAAATGAAGAAAGATGGTGGATCAGCTTTTCTGCAAAAAAATTTGGTAAGTCTCTTTTTTCCCCTTTCAACTAAAGTATATTACTGAGTAATGTTTTTTATAATGTTGTTTTATTTTAGGAAAGTAAATATAATGAGCAGGACTCAGCTCCAGTTTTTTCTTACTGTTTTGTTTTTGAGACGGAGTTTCGCTCATGTTACCCAGGCTGGAGTGCAGTGGCGCAGTCTCAGGTCACTGCAACCTCCGCCTCCCAGATTCAAGCAATTCTCCTGCCTCAGTCTCCCAAGTAGCCGGGATTACTGGCACCTGCCACCATGCCCAGCTAATTTTTGTATTTTTAGTAGAGATGTAGTTTCACCTTGTGGGCCAAGCTGGTCTCGAATTCCTGACCTCAGGTGATCTACCCACCTCAGCCTCCCAACGTGCTGGAATTACAGTTGTGAGCCACCACGCCCAGCCTCTGTTACTATTTTTTTTTTTTTTTTTGAGATGGAGTCCAGGCCGGAGTGCAGTGGTGTGATCTTGGCTCACTGCAACCTCCGCCTCCTGGGTTCAAGCAATTCTCCTGCCTCAGCCTCCCTAGTAGCTGGGATCACAGGTGCATACCACAACACCCAACTAATTTGTTTTTGTATTTTTAGTAGAGACGGGGTTTTACCACGTTGCCAGGCTGGTCTCAAACTCCTGACCTCAGGTGATCCACCTACCTTGGCATCCCAGAATGCTGAGATTACAGGTGTGAGCCACCGCACCTGGCCAGGAGTGGATTATTTTTATGGTTCCCCTTTTTAGACCATATAGGGTAACTTCCTGATGTTGCCATGGCATTTGTAAACTGTCATGGTGTTGGTGGGAGTGTAGCTTTGAGGACAACCAGAGGTCACTCTTGTCACCATCTTGGTTTCGGTGGGTTTTGGCTGAATTCTTTACTGCAACCCATTTTATCAACAAGGTCTTTATGACCTGTATCTTGTGCTGATCTCCTCTCTCACCCTGTGACTTAGAATGCCTTAACCATCTAGGAATGCAGCTCAGTAGGTCTCAGCCTCATTTTACCCAGCTTCTATTTAAGATCGAGTTGTTCTTGTTCAAACACCTCTGACAGTATTGCTGCTTTCTTTAAGTTTCCTGAAAGGGAGAGAGGAAATCTTAGGTTTGTCATTGCTGGGAACCACTGCAAGTATTCAGGAAATATTCACTACTTCCAACCTCATAATCCTGAAGTCATTTGGCACCTCTGAGTCAGGTGCGGGGGGAACTGGGCAGTGCAGAAGACAGTGGCCTGCCCCGTGCATTCTGGAGCATTCAATCTGGTGGGGAAATGTGTAGTAAGTAGGAGATATTTACTCTGTAAGAAGGTATAAGGTCTGGGAAAGAATTAAGTGGATTAAGGGAAATGGGGAGGCAGGGGGTGTGATTGGGGCAGCCTTGATGATATGTGATGAGCACGTTCTGTAGTTGGCCTCGCCTCTTTCTAAACTTCCACTTTTCACTTTCAACTCCAATTGGTTCTTTTTTATTTTATAAAAACTTTGTTAGAATTAGGTTTATATATTTCCTTGTTGAATTAACAGAATAATTTTATTTAACATCACTCTCTAGTGTGACTGAAAGCCTCTAATCCTTTACTATGATTTGTTTATGGGCATATTTCTTTTTACAGCTATGATAATTATTTCATTTTGTGTGGTTTCTCAAAAATACATGTGTTTCTGATCTCAGAGAGTTCCTGTACTAGAGCCCTTCAGATTTGGTGCTAATATCATGAAGTTAGAATTTAAGACAAATCTCGAGATGTTAGAGGAAAGCCAATCTAAGAACAAAGACATTAATTATTAATAAATAATTAAATTATTTATTAATTAATTTCAAGTTGACATTTAAGTTGAGGCGTGGAGGTGAAGGAGACAGTTGGATAAATAAGTCTGGAAGTAAGGAGAAAGATCTGGCAATAGACATAATTTTGGATTTTGTTTTTTTGTTTTTGTTTTTTTGTTTTGTTTTTTTTGAGACGGAGTCTCGCTCTGTCGCCCAGGCTGGAGTGCAGTGGTGCGATCTCGGCTCACTGCAAGTTCCGCCTCCTGGGTTCACCCCATTCCCCTGCCTCAGCCTCCCAAGTAGCTGGGACTACAGGTGCCCACCACATGCCCGGCTAATTTTTTTTTGTATTTTTAGTAGAGACGGGGTTTCACTGTGTTAGCCAAGATGATCTCGATCTCCGGACCTCGTGATCCGCCTGCCTCAGCCTCCCAAAGTGCTGGGATTACAGGTGTGAGCCACAATGCCCGGCCTATAATTTTGGATTTTATAGTTGTGTTTTGATAGCAATTGTTGATATCACCAAAATAATTCATCAGTGAGCTCCCTGACAGCTCCCTGACTTTTCTTTTTAAAGAAACAGGGTCCACTGGGTGCGGTGGCTCACACCTGTAATCCCAGCATTTTGGGAGGCTGAGGTGGGTGGATCACCTGAAGTGGGGGGTTCGAGACCAGCCTGACCAACATGGAGAAACCCCATCTCTACTAAAAATACTCAGTTAGCTGGGCATGGTGGCGTGCGCCTGTAATCCCAACTAGTTGGGAGGCTGAGGCAGGAGAATCACTTGAACCCAGGAGGCAGAGGTTGCAGTGAGCCAAGATTGCACCATTACACTCCAGCCTGGACAACAAGAGTGAAACTCCATCTCAAAAAAAAAAACAAAGAAAAAAATAAAAAGAAAAGAAAAGAAACAAAGAAACAGGGTCTTATGTTGTCTGGGATGGACTAGAACTCCTGGGCTCAAGTTATCCTCCTGCCTCAGTCTCCTAAGTAGCTGGGGCTACAGGCACATGACACCATGCCCAGCTTTGAGCCACTCCCAACCATCAGGTTACAAAATATTTAAATGTTACATACAGGGGTGCAGGGGAGATCTATATATAAATAGCACGATATAAATTGCTTGAATCTTTCTTTTTAGAGTTTTGTTTGGATGTGGCTTCAGAGCAGGGATTAGTCAATTCATTTTTACTTTTCTTTTTTTTGGTGGATTCTCACTCTGTCACCCAGGCTGGAGTGCAGTGTCACGATCTTGGCTCACTGCAGCCTCTGCCTCCCAGGTTCAAGCAATTCTCTTGCCTCAGCCTTCTGAGTAGCTGGGACTACAGGTGCCTGCCACAACACCCAGCTGATTTTTTTTTTTTGGTAGAGACAGGCTTTCACCATGTTGGCCAGGCTGGTCTTGAACTCCTGACCCAAGTGATCCACATGGCTCAGCCTCCCAAAGTGTTGGGATTACAGGCATGAGCCATCGCTCCTGGCACTTTTTTTACATTTTTAAATTACAGTTTTTATACCTATTCAAAAGTAGAGAAAATAGTACAGTGAACACTAAAATACCCATTCCTCAATTTCTGTGATCATTAAGATTGTCCTACGTTTTGTTCTTCTATTCCTTTACCTCCCTTTGCAGGAATATTGTAAAGCAAATCAGTCATCACCATCATTTTATCTGTTCAGTGTGCATCCCCGAACAGCATTAACATTTTCTTACACAGCTACTATCTCATCACATCTGACAAAATTACAATGATTTTTTGGTGTCAGCTCATCTGTAACCCTTAGTTGAGTTTCCTCACTCTTTTTTTTTTTTTTTTTCAGACAAAGTCTTGCTGTATCACCCTAGGCTGGAGTGCAATCTCAGCTCACAGCAGCCTCTGCCCCCCGGGCTCCAGCAATTCTCCTGCCTCAGCCTCCTGGGTAGCTGGGATTACAGGCGCACGCCACCATGCCCGGCTAATTTTTGTATTTTTAGTAGAGACAGGGTTTCACCATGTTGGCCAGGCTGGTCTCGAACTCCTGACCTCAGGTAATCTGCCCACCTCGTCCTCCCCAAGTGCTGCGATTACAGGTGTGAGCCACTGCGCCTGGCCAAGTTTCCTTACTCTTACCTGAACAGTATCTCATTTCCTCATTATCTGAAAAATTTTGCTTTAAATCTGGGTCCAAACAATCTTCATGTGCTAACTTTGGTTGTTATGCCTCTTTTAATCAAAACTGGCCTCTGCTTACTATTTTTATTTCCCATTTCATGAATTCTTTGTGGAAAGTTATTTCTTTTAAAACAGCATACTCATGAGGTTGAAGGGGTAAAGAACATTGATCTTGTGGTTGCAGTGTGGATGAAAATTCAGCCTGAAATATGCCTGTTTGCAGCAGCCAGTGGAGGAGGGTTATTAATTTCACAAGCAGATAGTGGCAAAAGGCTGCTTCCAAATAGTATTTGCAGGCCAGCTGCGGTGGCTCACACCTGTAATCCCAGCACTTTGGGAGGTCAAGGTGAGCAGATCGCTTGAGGTCAGGAGTTTGAGACCAGCCTGGCCAACATGGTAAAACCCCATCTCTACTGATAAGTACAAAAATTAGCCAGGCATGGTGGCGGGCACCTGTAATCTTAGCTACTCAGGAGGCTGAGGCAGGAGAATCACTTGAACCCAGGAGGCGGAGCTTGCAATGAACTGAGATCATGCCACTGAACTCCAGCCTGGGTGACAGAGCGAGACTCCGTCTCAGAAACAAAACAAAACAAAACAAACAAACAAAAAAAAACAAATAGTATTCAGGTTGTGTTCTTTATTGTCTATAATTTTTTTCTCTTCTTCCTAAGAATATTGAAAAACAAAGTTTAATCTTTTAAGATCTTAGAGTTATTAAGATTGTCTTAGGATCAGGACACTTAAATCTGCCAAAATCTGATTGGTAATGATGGGTCATTTATTTTTATTATTTTTTTTAATTTTTAAAATTTTTATTTCTCAGCCTTGGGATTCTGATATGTAAAAATGCAAGTATCTTCAAAGATAGAAAACATATACAGATATCATTAAGATGGCAGAACTCAGTATATACAATCATGGAGCAGTGCCTTCTACCAGCCCTCCAGCTAACTGCAGCTGCAAGCATGATTCTCATGCTGTCTTGTACTTAGTGTTCAACTAGTGACCCAGCTTCCTCAATCATAGGGAAGGGCCATCAGCAAATGGCACTCAGACATGGGGGCTTGAGAAAAGATCCCACACACTCGAGGCCATGTTAGACATTTCATGAAAGGATTAGGTGTGTTATCCCCGGCTTTCTCCCCCAGAGTTTATCGAGAGTGATAATAAAGTAAATGCATTATAAGCCACACATACAAGTTGTGGAGTCAAGGAAACAGAGTGACTTTTCTGTGTGTCCTATTTTATAGGCTTTAATTAAATTATTTGTGGCCTTGGATTGGGGGCAGGATTTGGTTATTATTATTTTTTATTATACTTTAAGTTCTGGGGTACATGTGCAGAACGTGCAGGTTTGTTACACGTGCCATGGTGGTTTGCTGCACCCATCAGCCCATCATCTACATTAGGTATTTCTCCTAATGCTGTCCCTCCCCTAACCCCGCACTCCCCGACAGGCCCTGGTGTGTGATGTTCCCCTCCGTGTCCATGTGTTCTCATTGTTCAACTCCCACTTATGAGTGAGAACATGCAGTTGTTGGTTTTCTGTTCTTGTGTTAGTTTGCTGAGAATGATGGTTTCCAGCTTCATCCATGTTCCTGCAAAGGACATGAACTTATCCTTTTTTATGTCTGCATAGTATTTCATAGTGTATATGTGCCACATTTTCTTTATCCAGTCTATCATTGATGGGCATTTAGGTTGGTTCCAAGTTTTTGCTATTGTGAATAGTGCCGCAATAAACATACATGTGCATGTGTCTTTATGGTAGAATGATTTATAATCCTTTGGGTATATACCCAGTAATGGGATTGCTGGGTCAAATGTTATTTCTGGTTCTAGATCCTTGAGGGATCATTACACTGTCTTCCACAATGATTGAACTAATTTACACTCCCACCAAAAGTATAAAAGCATTCCTATTTCTCCACATCCTCTCCAGCATCTGTTGTTTCCTGACTTTTTATTGTTTCCCATTTTAACTGACATGAGATGGTATCTCATTGTTTTTGATTTGCATTTCTCTAATGACCAGTGATGAGCATTTTTTCATGTTTGTTAGCTGCATAAATATTATATTTTAGATTATTCCTGCTTTCTCTTGTGGGCATTTAGTGCATTAGTCACTTAGTGCTATAAATTTCCCTCTAAACACTGCTTTAAATGTGTCCCAGAGATTCTGATATGTTGTGTCTTTGTTCTTACTGGTTTCAAATGACATCTTTATTTCTGCCTTAATTTCGTTATTTACCCAGTTCTCATTCAGCAGCAGGTTGTTCAGTTTCCATGTAGTTGTGCGGTTTTGAGTGAGTTTCTTAATTTTGAGTTCTAATTTAATTGCACTATGCAGCGAGAGCCTGTTTGTTATTATTTCCATTCTTTTGCATTTGCTGAGGAGTGTTTTACTTCTAATTATGTGGTCAGTTGTAGAATAAATGTGATGTGGTACTGAGAAGAACATATATTCTGTGGATTTGGGGGTGGAGAATTCTGTAGATGTCTATTAAGTCCGCTTGGTCCAGAACTGACTTCAAGTCCTTAATATCCTTGTTAATTTTCTGTCTCATTGATCTGTCTAATAATGGGTCATTTATACTTGCCTTTGCTTTAAGCCTGCTTCAATAGTTAGTAAATATGTTTCTAGACTTTTTCCAATTTAAAAAAATTGACCTGCACCTTGCTTTGGATTGTACTAAAATCTGATTTCAACACAAGCATAGTCTCCTGAATTGCTTTGGTTTTGTTCAGCTGAGGCCTTGGGGAGCGCTGAGGCCTTGGGGAGCACTGAAGCCAAGGCTCTACTGTACCAAAAATTTGAAGGCCATGCGAATGATCTGTATGTGGAAGGACTACCAGAAAACATTCCTTTCAGAAGTCCCTCGTGGTATGGAATCGCAAGGCTGGAAAACATCATTCAAGTGGGCAATCGAATTAAATTTCTTATTAAAAGGTAAGATGATAATCTGCAGAAACAAATTCAGTGTCTTCCCTAAGGAGAGATTAATTCGATGAGGAAGGGCCTTTTGTTCCCCTCTCATTATGACTTCCTTATATTTACAATTAACATTTAGATTCACTTATTGAACAAACATGTATTTAGTATAAGTATCAGATGTGCAAAATTGGGTCTAGCAAGAACCCTGTCCTTGGGAGGCTTAATATTATGAAAAATGCAATGAAGAGTTATTGAGCATTTTTAGGGGAGAAGGCAAGGATGGCATACCCAGATCAGTCATTTGTGCATCCAGAAGGGAGGGAACGTGTTCCAAATATGAGTAAAGGCAGGGAGATGTCAAATATGCCCACATATTCACATACCTCACCCATTCTGTGTGGAGTGAGGAGTGCCATGTGGGCATGGTGGGATTGCATAGACTTGGGTGGCCAAATGGAGGAAGGCCTTAGATCCTACAAAAGCAGTGGCAGTCATTAAATGGTCTCATAGCAGTTCCCTCTTAAAATAATTTGGATCTGCCCTTTAGAAAGGTTATTCTGGCTTAATTTTGAAGGGTAATACATGGGTAGTTTGAGTGTTGGGGATAGGAACAGAAGGCCTCTCTCTACTCATGAAAGGAATGTTGAAGTGGGTTGAGTCTTGCTTACTGATTGAGGTTGTGCATCTGTGTATATTCATTGGGAATGAGTTGTATATGGAGAGGAAAGGTTTAAGATGATACAGCAAGCTGCTTCTGGCTCTGCTGTGACACAGTTCATCTAAGATTCAGAAACAGAATTGAGCTGGTTTGGGGGAAATGTGACTCTTGCATATTTATCTTTAAAAAAGATGACTTTGGAGACATCCAGCTGGTCTCACCTGAATATCTGAAAATTGCTATTTTCAAAATTCAAGTCACCAAAATGATTATTTTCACTATAAAATGAAGGCAGAATGGATTATGTTTAAAAATTGGCCAGGCACAGTGGCTTACGCTTGTAATCCCAGCACTTTGGGAGGCTGAGTTGGGTGGATCACCTGAGGTGAGGAGTTCGAGACCAGCCTTGCCAACATTGCAAAACCCCGTGTCTACTAAAAATACAAAAATTAGCCAGGTGTGGTGGCGTGTACTTGTAGTTCCAGCTACTCGGGAGGCTGAGGCAGGATAATTGCTTGAACCTGGGAGGCGGAAGTTGCAGTGAGTCGAGATCGCACCACTGTACTCCAGCCTGGACAACAGGATGAGACTCTGTCTCAAATAATAATAATAATAATTAGCAGTGCACAGCTGTGTGAGAAAGGCCTGTAAATTTCTTCTAAATGCTTTATTATAATATTAATATCAACTATGTATTTATGGTCCAGAACTTCTTACTCACAATACAACTGTAGTTACTCAGCCAAGAACAAATACAACAGGTAAAATAGTTGTGAAATCCTTTTTAAAAGTACAGATTAATCTTGAAGCTTTTAAAAATTAATCTTTTAAAATGATGGAACTGCTCCTTCCTTCACCTCCCCAAAAAATCTTTTGCAGAAGCTCAATACAGGCACTTCTTGATTTATCAATATGCACATATGCAGTGTAGGGATAACTGAAGCTTTTTTTCTTTCTTCCTTTTTTTGATACAGAGTCTCACTCTGTCACCCAGGCTGGAGTGCAGTGGTGTGATCTCGGCTCACTGCAACCAGGCTCAAGCAATTCTCCTTCCTCAGCCTCCTGAGTAGCTGGGATTACAGGCGTGCGCCACCATGCCTGGCTAAGTTTTGTATTTTGTGTAGAGACAAGGTTTCACCATTTTGGCCAGGCTGGTCTCAAACTCCTAGGCTCAGGTGATCCTTCTGCCTGAGCCTCCCAAGGTGCTGGGATTATAGATGTGAGTCACCACACCCGGCATTAAGCTTTGAACTTTGGCCAGTGGTATCCAAGAGAAATACAATGTGTGCTGCAAATGCAAGCCACATACATAATTTTACATTTTCGAATTCAACCTGAAATCATTATAAATAAATACACAATGAAGTATTTCACATTCTTCACTTCATTTGCATATGTTCTTTTTGTTGAGAATTGATGTGTCTTTCATACTCACAGCATATTTCAGTTTCAAGTAGCCACACAACTGTTCAGGGATAGCAGTTACTGTCCGCATTTGAACCTTAATGTTTATTCATATGAGCCCTGTTCCTAAAATGGCAAATACTGTAACTCTGGCCTGCACACGAATATCACAGCCTAATAGGAAAGATCTAAGAAGTCCCCATTGAACAAATAATGTTCTTTTCTTTCTTTCTTTTTTTTTTTTTTTGAGACAAAGTTTTGCTCTTGTTTCCCAGGCTGGAGTACAATGGTGCGATCTTGGCTCACCACAACCTCCGCCTCCTGCGTTCAAGCAATTCTCCTGCCTCAGCCTCCCAAGTACCTGGGATTACAGGCCTGTGCCACCATAATTTTTGTATTTTTGGTAGAGGCAGGGTTTCGCCATGTTGGACAGGCTGGTCTCGGACCCCTGACCTCAGGTGATCTGCCCACCTTGGCCTCCCAAAGTGTAAGATTACAGGTGTGAACCACCGTGCCCAGCCTATTTTCTTTGTTAGAGCTCTTTATTAGAGCTTTCTTTCTTTCCCATCTTTTTGTTTGCCATTGTGCACTGTCAGAGTAAGTGACCACAATTTGTAGATTATCTACCACCTTAGGAACTTAAGTTGCCAAGAACCAATAACTAGCCATTTAGTATGAAGTTTTGTATTGTCAGGAAATAAGTGTTGGGAATCAAGTATGAATTATGTGTGCATATTAGGTGTTTACAAATTTGTGCAGTTAATCATTCTCATTAATACTACAGTGAATAAATGTTCTCAAGTTGGGTTAATGGGTGTGTCCTGAAATATTGCTCCTTCAGCTCTCACAGTACCTTGGGGCAATTAGTGAAGGTCAGTCAGTGTGCCCAATAGATTTTGTGTGGATTATGGCATGGAAAGTGGTTGAGAAATTCTGTAGTAGGGTAAGAAAATAATCCTTGTCCAGGAGTCCTGCAGTGGAGAAGACAAAACTCAGTGCTTAACTCATAGGTTAAGCATGTTTTTTCTTTCTTTTTTTTTGTTTGAGACAGAGTCTTGCTTTGTTGCCCAGGCTGGAGTGCAGTGGCATGATTTTGGCTCACTGTAACCTTCACTTCCTGGGTTCAAGCAGTTCTCTTGCCTCAGCCTCCCAGTACCTGGGATTACAGGTGCACACCACCATGCTGGCTAATTTTTGTATTTTTAGAAGAGATGGGGTTTCACCATGTTGGCCTGGCTGGTCTTGAGCTCCTGACCTTGTGATCAGCCTGCCTTAGTCTCCCGAAGTGCTGAGATTACAGGTGTGAACCACTGTGCCTGGCCCTCAGCATGCGTTTGATTTAGCCAAAGAATCAAAGCATTGGTGAAGAATTGAAGATTGGAAGTTACACATTTTTTGCTAAGGGAAGTAATAGAGAAAGAAAAATATTCCTGGAGGTAAATCTTCAGTTTGGATTAATGTGAACATGAAGAAACCTGTAGAAACCTTCATTTCTCAAGACAAAGCTCAAATTCAAGGTTGTGAGGAATGCAGTCACTGCTTTTGTTAGGGGCAGTTGTGACAGTGATTGCAGAAACTGAGATTGCAAAGCCCGTATTATATAAAGAATGTGCAAGTGCCATAGAAGACACTGCAAGGATTGGGTGCTGGAGCAGTGCTGGACCTGCCGTCATCACCAGAGTGCAGCAGAGAGAATCTCCTCCTTTGCCATCACTAACCCAGCACTTGACTTTGTCCCACTCCTAAAAGATCTTGGAAGGAATTAAAGGTGCTTGGTGGTTTCTCATTCCAGCATAACCTTACTTGGCCTGACCATGAACCATGCATTAGTCTTTGGACAGGGCAATTCAAATCACAGACCACATAACAAAAGAATTTTGTGGCCATCAGAACTGTCTCCTTAAACACACCATGGGTGCACTGTGTCCTCAGCTTGGTGAAAGGTAGATGTCACACGCGAGAAGGTGGTGGAGCCAGGCACGTGATGGAGCCTCGAAGAGTGGGAGGTGGCAGCTGGCTCTGTGAGGAGGGTGTGAAGTCCTCCCTGGGAGGAGCAGATGCCAGAAAAGGAGGTGAGGGTGGGCAGAAGAGGAGGCTGAGCAGCAAGTGAATAGACGTGCTCGACCTCAGAGGAGGAGAGTCCCGTGTCTTTATTGGTAATATTTAAATGTGGTTGATACCAGAGTTATTTTCTGTGGCTGAATGGTTCAACTACTCTGAAATCCATGGGGAAAAACAAAACAAAACAAAACAAAACAAAAACTCATACTAAAAACCCTTGAGATGCTAAGTTTTAAAGTAAAGGAAATGTTACAAGATTTTCTGAAACCACCAACCTTTAGCAGTATTTTCAGACCTTCTCCAACATTTTCCACTGCCTTTGTCAGCAATCAGAGATGACCTTCACACTGAGGCAATCTTCCACTTCCCTTACCCTTTTCCTTTTCTCTCTCTTTCTCTCCTTTCCTCATCCAGTAACTCCAGTCAAACTCCATTGTCTCCAAGTCGACTTTCGTCCTCACCCACAACTCCTCCACACAAGCCCTGAACATGTGTCCATGTAAGTGACATCCTTTATGTCTTTATTTTTGTATTTGATTTGATTTGATTTGATTTTGAGTGCAGTGGCACAATCTTGGCTTACTGCAACCCCCAACTCCCGGGTTCCAGCATTTCTCTGCCTCAGCCTCCTGAGTAGCTGGGATTACAGGCACCCACCACCACACCTGGCTAATTTTTGTATTTTTAGTAGAGACGGGGGTTTCACCATGTTGGCCAGGCTGGTCTTGAACTCTTGACCTCGTGATCCACCCGCCTCAGCCTCCCAAAGTGCTGGGATTACAGGCGTGAGCCACCGTGCCCGGCCCATGATTTACTATTTATAAGAACATGGGCTTACTACTTGTGTAATACTTATCCCTGTATTTTAGGTGGGAGTTGCTGAGGTTTGGTGACTACATCTGGCCTCTCAGGGAAATGGCCAAGTTGTTCACATCTCACCTGTATAATGTGAAGTTGTTTGTCAGCTTCATTGGTTACTACTGTGAAATGAGTTATAAAGGGAAATTTTTATTTTTATTTTTTTATTTTTAGTAGAGATGGGGTTTCACCGTGTTAGCCAGGATGGTCTCAATCTCCTGACCTCATGATATGCCCGCTTCGGCCTCCCAAAGTGCTAGGATTACAGGCGTGAGCTACCGTGTCCGGCCATAGTAAGGGAAATTTTTTATAAAAAGAAATAGATTTAGGCTGAGCGCTGTGGCTCACACCTGTAATCCTAGCACTTTGGGAGGCCAAGGTGGGTGGATTGCCTGAGCTCAGGAGTTTGAGACCACCCTCGGCAACATGGTGAAACCCCATCTCTACTAAAATACAAAAATCAAAACAAAACAAAAAAATTAGCTGGGCATGGTGGTGAGTGCCTGTAGTCCCAGCTACTGGGGAGGCTGAGGCATGAGAATTGCTTGAGCCTGGGAGGCGGAGGTTGCAGTGAGCTGACATTACGCCATTGCCAGCCTGGGCGACAGGGAAAGACTCTGTTAGTAAAATATGTCTAGTACCAGATGCTTTTTGGTCTCCTAATGACCTATCAAACTGCAGGTTTTTTGGCTTTGTAATATATTCAGTTCCACATTTATTCAAGAATTGAGGACTTTTTATATCTTCATTATGTGCCAAGTACTGGGTGGGACACTAGGTGACAGAGATGAACAAATCCCTGATCCCAGGATTTCACAGTGGATGTTGGAATTTAGTGCCATTTAGCTTCATTCAATTCTGCAGAAGTCCCAAGATTTTCCAAGATCATCCTGTCCTCCAGTGTCCTGTTGATTCAACTTCAGAATATATCCCAGAGTCTGTCCCTCTTCATTCCTCACTGCTGCCACCCTGGACCCATCTGCCATCATCTCTCACCTGGTTTATCTCAGTAGTCTCCTAACTGGTTTTCTTGTTTCCATGCTTGCCTCCTTCAGTCTATTCTGTCTTTTTTTTTTTTCTTTTTTGAGACAGAGTCTTGCTGTCTCGCCAAGGCTGGAGTACAATGCTGTGATCTCTGCTCACTGTAACCTCCGCCTCCCAGGTTCAAGTGATTCTCCTGCCTCAGCCTCCCTAGTAGCTGGGATTACAGGCACGAACCACCATGCCCGGCTAATTTTTTTGTATTTTTAGTAGAGACAGGGTTTCGACATGTTGGCCAGACTGGTCTTGAACTCCTGGCCTCTAGTGATCCGCCTGCCTCAGCCTCCCAAAGTGTTGGGATTACAGGTGTGAGTCACCGCACCCAGCCTGTCTACTCTCAGTACAACAGCTAGAACAGTCCTCTTTCAGTGGAATTTAGATCATGTTTACCCCTCTGTTCAAACTCTCCAGTGGCTTTCTGTTTTCTACATGATCTTGCCCCCTACTACCTGTCTCACTGTGCTTCCTGCTATTCTCCTGCTCTTACTCCTCTGTATAAACATTTAACATGCCAGGCATGCTTGTCTCTGTCCTGTCTCTGGGCCTTGCTGTTCCCTCTGCCTGGAACATTCTTCCCCTAGTGTCTGCATGGCTCACTGTCTCACTGCTTTGGATTGAGGCTCAAAAATCACCTTATCAAAAGTGCCTCCAGGGTGCTCTGCATAAAATGTATCCTCAACTCATTTCCTATTTGATGTCTGACACCCCCACTCTTCTTCACTAAAACGTAAGCTCCATAAGGAAAGGGATTTTGTCTGTTTTGTTCTGTTGTATCCCTAAATACCTAGAAGGTTTTCAGTAATATTTGTTGGTTGAATGACTAAATCAGCCTATTATTGAATCAGTCAATGTCCTCTGTAGGAGGGACTTCTCATACCAGTGGTGCATATCTGTATATTAGCTGGTGTAGGGAGGGACATGGTCAGAATGGCCCTGTCTGTGTGGAATAGTTTTGTGTAGCATAATCCCAGCAGGCTCCTATTGGGGTTAAGCCACAGTTTTAGCCTTATTAGTATCACTCTTTAATCATAAAGTCAGAGGATGTTAAAATTGAAAGGGATTTGGGAGACTATTCAGTTTGCTTTCTCATTATTGATGTGAGAATAACAGAGCCTAGCAAAAGTAAGTTAATTACTCACAATCATAAAGCTGTACAGGTCAATCTGAAATTAGGCTTCTGACATCACTCTGTAGTCTTTCCTACGTGTGTTCTCCCCTGGCTGAGACAGTTCATGGGCTTTCAGGTTTGACAATTTTCTCTCCAGTCACTAAACAGGAGCTTTTATCTGGACATTCTAGGTTAGCCTAGATGGATGATGACCCTGTGAGGTGTGGAAAATCCCAAAGGTTGACCACTGTGAATAGGAACTACCCTAGATGTGTCAGGAGCACCGCAGGCACACTCACTCCTCCATTTGCTGGAGCCGTGTAGGGTGGAAGGAAACCCACATCAAGACCATTTGCTGTTTCAGTTCTTTTATTGCATGTGACAGTCCAATGTGTCTCCATTTAAATTCAGATTTTTTGATGAATGGTCAGACCAGCTGCAGGCCCTTTGGGCCAGAAGTCTTGATCTCGCCAACTGTTCATATTCTTTTCTTTTTTCTTTTCTTTTCTTTTTCCTTTCCTTTTCCTTTTTCCTTTTTCTTTTCCTTTCCTTTCCTTTCCTTTCTTTTCCTTTCCTTTCTTCTTTCCTTGGTCTTGAACTCCTGATATCAGGTGACCCACCAAGCCTCGGCTCAAGTGAATTGACACACAGGCTCAAGAAATTGGCAAAAAAACCCACAAATATCCACCTTGGGGATGAAAGTGTGATTCTAAATTTGGTAATCCAATAATATTAATAATCGTATTGCTTAGCCCAAATAAAAAATAAATAGGGTATTCTCAGTACATGCAAAAATATATTTGTCAAAAGGTAATATTCATGTCTTTAAAGATTTTAAATGCTATAAAGAGTCTGATATTCTATATGCAAACATGTGTATGTCCATTAGAAGAAGAGAGGCCTGATTTTCATATGTTACTACATAGAGATAGAGAAGTGGATAGATTAATTTGCATATGCATAGAGAAAGCATAAAATAGAAATTTACTATCATACTTAAAGGAATTTAAATTCAACAATAAAATAATTCAAAGGTACAATTTTAAACATTTTTAACAGTTCCGTTATTAATATTAGATATTTATAATAATTGTGAAAATATTCAATGCTAAAATAAGATAGAATGTCTAAATCTCAGTATTAAAACTAGTATAAATATTTGTTTGTTTATACAAGGAAAATTCAAGCTCAACCTAAAATTATATAGGAAATAAAAGAAAAATTTTAAGGGAGCTCTTTAATAACACAAACAAATATATATACACACACATATAACATGTATACATGTTATATGGGATAGATATAGATTTAACATGTTATATCTATATTTGTATCTATCTATAACTACAGCTGTATGTATCTACATTTCTATATATTTACTCAGTGATATAAATATAGACTGGAATAAATATAAAGGCACATATGATTCTTGGATAAAAAGGATTTAGTATCATAAAGACAAATTCTTTCCAAATTCACCTATGAATTCACAACAATATATAGTTCCATTAGTATAATTTAAAATTTTTAAATAAATTCCAAGATTCATTTAAAGGAATATACATGTATACCAGCAGTAAAGAAAGAAGCAAGAGTGCACTAAACTAACTTGCTATTAAAATACATTTTTAAACTTAGTAACTAAAACTGAGCAGTACTGATTTGGAGTACTGGAATTTAGGTATATGGGATCTCAAAAGCACAGAGCTCAAAGGAGACCCCTGTATGCACCAGAGCTTAGGATGTGCTTTAGAAGGCATTACCAAACCACGGGCAAAGTTACTTTAGTGTCTTAGTCTTACTAGGTTTGAAAAGCCAGAGAAAAGACTCAAGGCCACCATATAAGAGCAAAACAAAAGGACAGGGAGAGAATGTGAAGATACTGAAACATTTTACATAAAGTTGTATAAAACATACTTTAAAGAAAATGTAAAGTTTAGGATATACATCAAAATCAGCAGAACCACTAAATAAATAGGCACTGTAAAATAGCAAGAGAAAATTTAAATGGATTTCTAAAAAATATTGACACCTATGATTTTTAAAATATGTTTAAGAAATCCTGTATTTCACAGGGCAGCCTTTCACAACATAGAAATATTAGGACATAAATTTTTAATTTACTAGCGTTTATAGGGTTAAAAATGTCTTCTACCCTTGTCGTTTGTCTGATGGTGCAAAAAATTTTCATAAGCATGTAATTCTGAATGCCTGATGGATTGACATATATAATATGCTGCCAGTATTAAAATATGTGACAGAAAACGCATCTAATCTTCTCACTGTTTACATAAATTCTAGGTTTCTCCTATTTACCTCAAGCACGTATGGAGTGAATTCTTACCTTTTAATATTGCCATGGCATTCACATTGAATGTAAGTTGAACTCTCTCATATGGTAGCTGGGTTCAGATTCCCTTGACAATTTCCAGTTCTAACCCTCACAGTTCCTCAGTGTGGCTGGCCCAGATACTGACCCTACACAGTTGCCTCCCCCTGGTGACTACCCGCCATGGAACCGTTGGATACAATCTGCATGACTCACCCCACAGACCTCACAGCCCACTTGGACAGCCCCCACACGCCAGAGTGACCTGCTCAGTTGCAGCGGAAGCCAAGAAATGTGCCTGCTGGCACTCACCCCACCGACTAGAGCCCCGTGGAAAACTTATTTGGGTACTGTTCTGGGCCCAATAAAGGCTGGAGTCCCACAGACCCCTTTTCTCTCTCTTGCTCCCCACTCATCTTCTCCGTTTTGTTCAGCCCTATGAGGTGTGCTACTGTATTTGTCCATTTTCACACCGCTGGTAAAGACATGCCCGACTGGGTAATTTCTAGAAGAAAGAGGTTTAATAGATGCACAGTTCCACATGGCTGGGTAGGCCTCACAATCATGGTGGAAGGTGAAAGGCAGTCTCACATGGCAGCAGACAAGATGAGAGAGCTTGTGCAGGGAAACTCCCCTTTGTAAAACCATCAGATCTTGTGAGACTTATTCACTATCAGAAGAACAGCATGGGAAAGACCTGCCCCCATGATTCAATTACCTCCCACCTGTTCCCTCCCACAACATGTGGGAATTCAAGATGAGATTTGGCTGGGGACACAGCTAAACCCTCTTCTCAGCTACCCTCTTCTCTCTGGATCTGTGAGTAATTAAACTACTTCTGTGATTTCCCATGTTTGGTCCTGTGGCCTCCATGTGTCTGATCTGACCTATACTGGAACCTAACTCTCCTCCTGGCCAGGGTCTCTGAGAGTGGCTCTTGTCAGAAATACACAGGACACAGGTCAGGCAACAGTCACCAGGCATCTCCTAGTCTCAACAGATGTTCTGTGAGAGGGAGGCCTGGTTGTGGGATGGACACCTGGCCATTGCTGGGGTAAGGAAGTGTCCTGTGAAAGGCACATGTTAAGCATCCACAACCCCCTGCCCAGAACCCCAGAAAGGCAGGGCTCCAATTGACAGTCACTCTCCAGAGACAAACCTCAAGCCCTAACTGGAGGAAAATAAAACAATGTAAAAATTTGAATTTATCTTACTATTTCAATGATCCAGTAAAGACATTCTATGCCTGTACACCACATATTTTCGTCGATTGTGGATATATTTTAGATAGAATTTTATGTCTGGCTTTCACTTAAGCCTGGTCCCTATCTCAAGCATAAGGTAAAGATTTTCCATGGGTTCTTTTCTGGTACTACTACCTGCCAGTGTGGGGTCATGTCCTAGTCTATCTTCAGGGAACCCCCCTATTCATTATTGTCAGAGTGAGACTGTTAAGTCTTGATTTCCCTGGACAACTTCATTGCATGACTTTTAATATGATTTTTAAATATAACCTTTACTGGACAATAAATTATATAGTTATCTGAGTAAGAGATATGGTCAGGAAGAGGCATTGCCTCATTCAGCTTTTCTGTTTGGTGAACTCGCATATGTTCTCCTCACCCACCAGTCACCTCTAAACCGAATTGTTCCAAGACAACAAACAGAACTCGAGTGTGTATCTTTCACCACTGGATTTGTCTTTGCTCCATAAAGCTTAATGCTTAATAGGGTTTCTGTTAGCATTTTCTCTATTTTCCCATAAAATATCACAGGCCTTCTTAATGTGGAATTATGGGTGATTTCCTTCAATCTGCATCATATCAAGTTGAGGTTCATGTTGATGGAAAGTAAAACATCCGTTTAAAATATCAGTAATGATGTTTTCCCCTCCTTTTTAGCACATGTGCTTGTGATACAAGCACATTGTAATACAATTCTAGTCTCATGCTTTGATCATTCCTAAGATGAAAATAACATTTTTAGATAAAATATCTGAGTTTTATGAGGCCTTTAGTATATGATGTGATAGAATATCAGAAGACCATACTTTTTTCTAGTTTTCCATGCAATTCTATCATTGTTTCATCTTTTCTCCTACCAGAGTAATTTTCCAAAATAGATATCTTGTCATTCTTCATGTTGTTATCAGTAAATAAGTGAAACGAAAAGCTAGATTATATAATTTATGTAGAACAAGAAAGTAGAATTGAATCTATATTCATTAATGAGACTAACCAGTCAATTACACAGATAGGCATTTTACATTTTAAGATCATATGGGCCCGTTGTCAGATATATTATTATTTATGTCTATATGGACATCACCTGTGCATATTTATGCAGAAATCAATGAGAGCTGATTTTTATTTTTATTATATATATTTTTTGAGATAGGGTCTTGCTTTGTTGCCCAGGCTGGAGTGCAGTGGTGCAATCACTGCTCACTGCAGCCTCAACCTCCCAAGCTCAAGCAATCCTTCCACCTTGGCCTCCCAAATAGCTAGGACAACAGGTGCACATCACCATGCCGACCTTTTTTTTTTAACTTTTGATAGAGACTGGGTCTTGCTGCGTTGCCCAGGTTGCTCTTGAACTCCTGGGTGCAAAGAATCCTCTCATTTCAGCCTCTTCAACTGCTGGTATTACAAGCATGAGCCACCATATGGGCTGGAAGCTGATTTTTAAAATACTGAGATCATATAGATGACAGCACCTGAAAAGTAAACACCAAGCTTTATGTTAAAAGGTGTGAGGGTATAAATATTGTTGTGGCTATTGGGGAGGAAAACATTAGTAAAACCAGTGAGTTAAAGCTGTTGCTTTAAACTTTGGTTTTAATTTAACAAATGTTCTCTGGGGCGACAGTATATATGTAACCATGCTATGGCCATTTACAGATGCAGTAGAGGGAAGAATTTCTCAAAGACAACTGTTCTAAAATTGAAATTAAACCATACTGGGTTTGAAAAGAGAAAGTCCAGAAATTACCAAGTATTTTAGATGTCAGATAAAAGAGAATGCCAGGTATGCGATGATAATCAGCAATGGTTGTTCACACAATACATCAAATCAGGATTTGAATTAGCTTTTGAATTACAAGGACAAATGGATAAATTCTTGACTCTTTAGTAGATAAATCTTATTAGGCTGAGATGTGTTTTCCCCTGTTTTTCCACAAGGAGATTACAAATTTGCAAACCTCAGCTGCTCTCATTTTATGCTCTCACCAAGCCAAAAGCTGAAGTTCATAAATCAGTGTGTCTAAGTGTTCACCAGTTATATAACATTTTGTAGTTTAAGCTAACTTTCCAACTTCCTAAATCATCACCTTCATTTGATCTTGTTTTTTTCCACTATCACTTCTTTATTGACCATATAAAGAATATAAGTAAGTTCTTATTTTGTTATTGTTCATTTTAGTCTAATTTCATCAAAATATCATAATCCTTTAATTTCATTTTAATTTCAAAGATTAAATGAAACCTACATAGAAATGAAAGATTTGCATTTGCGTTATTTTGGCATCAATTTGCTATCCTCCCTCATTCAGATAGAGATCATTTCCATGTATGTGATTTCAAACATCCAAGTGCAGTATTAAAAGCAGTTGTAAATTATGGTTCTCATTTTCATGATACAATTACTATATAAACTTCCTCTTGCTGCTGTAACAAAGTACCACAAACTTCATATCTTACAATAAATTGACTGTTAAGCCTGCAGTTCTGGAGGTCAGAGCCTTAACTGAGACTCACAGGGCTAACATCAAGTTTTGGGCAGGGCTGCAGTCTTTCTGAGGGCTATGTGGCAGAATCTATGTACTTGATATTTTTCAGCATCCAGAGGCCACCTTTATTCCTTGGAACATGACTTCATTCTTATATCTTTTTTTTTTTTTGAGATGGAGTCTCCTTCCGTCACCCAGGCTGGAGTGCAGTGGCACAATCTCAGCTCACTGCAACCTCTGCCTCCCAGGCTCAAGTGATTCTCCTGCCTCAGCTTCCTGAGTAGCTTGGACTACAGGCACGTGCCACCATGTTCAGTTAATTTTTTGTATTTTTAGTAGGGATGGGGTTTCACCATGTTATCCAGGATGGTCTCAATCTCCTGACCTCGTGATCCATCCACCCCAGCCTCCCAAAGTGCTGGGATTAGGCATGAGCCACCGCGCTGGGTCCTCATTCTTGTATCTTAAAAGTCAGTGATGTTGAGTAATTTCTCATGCTGCGACCTCCATGGTTGCCTTTCTTCTGCCTTCTTCTCTCACTTATAAGGAAGCTTGTGATTTCGTTGATCCCACCCATTTAAGATAATCTCTCCATCATTTTATTGCAACCTTAATTTCACTTGAAATCTAATTTCCCACTGCCATGCAACCTAACATATTTGTATGTTAGACTCTGGGAATTAGGACATGAACATTTTTGGGAGGCCATTCTTTTGTCTGCAGCAGACATAATCTATTTACCTGCAGATTAAAGTGTTCTTTATTTTTCTGCCTCCCCCTCTTAATTTTTTTTAAATAATATGAATTGTAGTAAAGAGAAAGAAAGAAAAGAAAAGAAAGAAAAAAGAAGGAAGGAAGGAAAGAAAGAAAGAAAAGAAGGAGGAAATGAGAGAAGGAAGGGAGGGAAGGAGGAAGGGAGAAAGGCAGGAAGGGACTAAAAAGAAAGCAAGAACACAAGAAAGAAAGAGAAAGAAAGAAGAGAAAGTGAGAAAGAAAGGAAGGGAGGAAGGAAAGGAGGAAGAGAGAATGGGAAAAGGGAGGAAGGCAAAGAAACAAAGAAAATAAATAGAAGGAAGGAAGGAAAAAGGAGGAAAGGAAGGGAGCGAGGAAGGAATAAAAGGAGGGAGGGAGGAAAGGAGAAAAGGAAAGAAAACAAGAAAGTGAGAAAGAAAGAATAAGAGAAAAGAAGGAAGAAAAGGGAGGGAGAAAGGAAGGGAGGGAGGAGGGAAGGAAGAATAAGAGAAAAGGAAGGAAGGAGAAAAGAAAGAGGAAAAGAAAAAGGAAAAGAAAAGGAAGAGGAAAAGAAGAAAGGAAGGAAGGCAAGGGAAGGGAAGAGAAGAGAAAGGAAGATGGAAAGAAGGAAGGAAGACCGCAAATATTAGAAATTCTGGGTTTGTTAGAGAATATGCCATACTGTTTTTTTTTTTTTCACTTGAAAGAGTATCTGCCATTGAAGATTGGATGTCTTGTTGGTGATATTGTTGTTCTTATCTTCCATATGATTACTGAGTTTGTGCCTAGTCTGTCCATTACTAAGACAAAAGTGTTGAAGTCTGCAAATATAATTTTGGATTTTTCTAGTTCGCCTTTGATTTCCTTCCTGTTTTGCCTCATGTATTTGGAGGTTCTGTTGTTAGCTGCGTACCCTAATTAGTAGGATGTTTACATCTTCTTGAGAATTGATTATTCTATTATCTATTATCTCTCATCTCTGATACTATTTCTTGTTCTGAACTCTGTTGTGTCTAATATCAATGTAGTCTTTCCACAGCTTTATTTTAGTGTTTCCATGATATGGCTTTCTCCATATCTTGATGATAACCTATTTATATCTCTATATATTTGGAGCAAGATATAAAATTTAGACTTGATTTTTTAAAGATTTTTCAAGATGTAATTCTTATTTATTTTTGTTCTATTTGACATTCTCTGAGTTTCCTATATCTGAAGTTTGATTTTCTGTCACTTCTTTTAGAATATTTTTGGCAGTTATTTTGAAAAATATTTCTTTTGCTCCGTTATTTTTTCCTCTTTTCTTTTTGGGATTTCAATTGTAACTAGGGTAGGTAATTTCATCTCAGTCTTATGCAGGTACTTTTTCTCAGGGTCCCAGGAATGTGGCCTTCTCACACTTCTGTTCTTTTCCTGGCTGTGTTGGTGAGCTCAGTGGTATTCCTCCTTCACCTTCAAGAGCAGTTTTGTTTTTCCTGTTTTCATACTCCCAGCATCAGGAGTATTCTAAGTGTGGCAGTTTTTGTTGCCTTCCCCTATATATTAAGTGGAATATCTTGGTCTATTTGGACTCTTATAACAAAATAACATGAACTGGGTGACTAAAAAACAACAGATATTTCTTTTTTCACACTTCTTGAGGCTGTAAGATCTCAGGTCAAGATGCTCACAAATTCAGTGTTGATGAGAGCCCATTTCATGGTTCATAGATGGTGCCTTCTTTCTATGTCCTCACATAGTGGAAGGCACACAAGAACTCCATTGAGCTTCTTTTATAAAGGCACTAATCCCATTCATAAGGGCTCGGCCCCCAAGACCTGGTCACCTCCCAAGTGTTCTGCTCTCCCTGATCTGTATCATATACAGACTCTCTTGGATTCCTTACCAATTGCTTGAGAGATCACAGTGGGTTTGGGGGGAAAAGTTTTCAAGATGATGGATCTTTCCCAACTTCTGCAGCTGTCAGCGGTCTCCCAATCTGACCGGCCCCACTTTGTCTTCAGGAATTTATTGATTATTCCAGCTTTACTTGTCATAGTGGTGTCTATTTGCATCTGTCCTATGTAAGTGCATCTGTCCTCTTTCTCCTTGCAGGTGCTTGTTTTCCCTCACATTTTGACTCAGTTCTTGGCAACCTGGTTGCTATAAAAATAAAGTCATGACTTTGAAGTTAGTTGGGTTCTTTCATTGTTGTAAGGTTAGGAGCCCTATTCCATCCCAGCTCTCCAAAACCCAGAATTTTTGGGGGGTTGAAATTTTAGGCTTTCTCTTTGAATTGTAGTTTTATCTTATTTCAGTTACAATTTGCATTTCCATAATGATTAATGAGACTAAGCTTTTTTTGTGTAGTTGACTGTACCTTTGGATTTTTTTCCCAAATCCCTTTTCATTTCTTATTTTCTTTATGGTTTTAGAAAATGTAGTTTACATAATTGCAGCTGGATTTTTTCCTCAGTTAATGGCATGCTTAGTGGAGAGAAAAAAGATTAACTATATTTCCCTTTTTAATTACTGTGCTTTTTTCTTTTTTAAGGTAATATTTCATTACATTAAATTTTAGTGTTATTCTACTGAGCTATTCCTTAAATATTATAGTATTTTGGATTTCACATATAAATTTGTAACACATCTTGAGTTTATTATGTATAGAGTAAGGCTATTTTCTTTTTTTTTTGTTTTTTAAGGTAAAAATCACATAGTATAAAATTAATAACAACCATTTTAAAGCATACAATGCAGTTGCTTTTAGTATATTCACAATGTTCCAGGACAATTTCATCATGTCCCTTCTAAAAACCCATTATCCATAAAGTTGTTACACCCTATTCTGCTTCCCTGAGCCCTAATGACCACTAATCTGATTTATATCCCAATTGATTTGCCAATTCCTGATGTTTCATCTGAATAAAATCAGGTAATATTTGTCTTTTTGTGCACTTAATGCTTTCAAATTTCACCCACATTATACCATGTATAAGTACTTCTTTCTTTGTTATAGCTAAAAATTGGGTGTCCATTTATGAGTCAACAAGCATATGGATTGTTTCCACTTTTTGACTGTATGATTATTACTGCTGTAAATATTCATGCACATGTTTGTTATTTGAGCACCTATGTTTTGTAAGATTAACAGCTGACTTAACAGAAACAATGGAAGGCAAGAGGCAGTAGAATAATATATTCAAAAGATGCAAAGGAAAAAAAACTGTCAGCCACCAATTCCTTATCCAGCAATTATTTTTCAAAAATGAAGATAACACAAAGACTTTGCCAGATAAACAGAAATATTAACTGAAGTTGTTGCTGCCAGACCTATCATACCAAAAAAAAAAAAAAAACCAAAAACACCAAAATAAATTCCTAAGGCTAAAAGCAAGTTACACAAGACAGTCATTTGAATCCACATTTTTAAAAAAGCACTGGTATAGGTAATATTAACATTATAAAAGACAGTAGAAATGCATGTTTTCTCTTTATCATAAATTGTTTATAAAATAATATGTGTATAATGGCCGGGTACGATGGCTCACGCCTGTAATCTCAGCACTTTGGGAGGCTGAGGCGGGTGTATTACGAGGCCAGGAGATCGAGACCATCCTGGCTAACACAGTGAAACCCCGTCTCTACTAAAAATACAAAAAATTAGCCGGGCGTGATGGCGGGCGCCTGTAGTCCCAGCTACTCAGGAGGCTGAAGCAGAAGAATGGCATGAAGCCGGGGGATGCAGCTTGCAGTGAGCGGAGCTCACTGGAGTGGCACTGGAGTGCCACTGCACTCCAGCCTGGGTGACAGAGGGAGACTCCGTCTCAATGATAATAATAATAATAATATGTGCATAATGTATTGCTGAGTATTTGACATGTAGAAATGTAATATGTCTATAACATATTTCCCAGTAACATCAAAAAGGAGGTGGTTGGAAGAAAAATGTATCGTGATAAGATAATCACTCTAGATGGTAAAGTGATAATTACTAAAATGTATTGTTGGCTTTGTAACTTTAATAGATGTAATGTGTAAAGTGATAATACTTTCAAATGGAGGAAATAAAAGAGATTTGTATAAGAATGATGTTTCTATGTATTACTAAAAGTTTACTAGTATAAATTGGAAGATGATTTGAGTAATTAATTTTCCATATACCTACATGGTAAACTTACAACAACAACAAAAATTCTCAAAAATATATAGTAAAATATTTCGTTAGTAATCTAAAGTTCCCTATTTTAGAAAATATTCATTCATTGCAAAATAAAGCAATAAAGAAAAATATTTGAGAAATATACAAAACAAATAGTAAAATGGCAGACAAATAGAATTATACCAATTATAATATTAAATGTGAGCAGATTAAAATCCAATCAACAGGCAGAGATTGTCAGACTGGATTAAAACAAGTGATCCCAATATACGCTGAGATGCAAGGATACTAATGGATTGAAAGTAAAAAGATGACAAAAAATATGCAAAGAGCAATCGTAAAAACACTGAACTCATTATACTCATAACACAATATAGACTATTAAAAATGTGAATAGGATTTTTAAAATTTTTATTGTAGGAATAAGGGGGTCAACGCTTTAGGAAGACATAGCTATTACAATCATGTATGCACAGATTTGAGCTAAATTGTTTCCTCTATACAGATGCTGAAATCCTAACCACTGAATATGACCTCATTAGGAAATAGGTTCCTTGCAGGTGATCAAGTTAAGATAATATGAGATGAGCCTGAATTCAATATGACTGATGTCCTTATAAAAAGAAGAAATTTGAGTAGAGGGAGACATACACACAGGGAGAGTTCCATGTGATTATGAGGGCAGAGGTTAGCCAAGGAATGCCAAAGACTGCCACAAAACCACCAGAAGCTAGAAACAAGGCATAGAACAGACTTTCTCTCGTAGCCCTTGAAGGGACCATCCCTGCCGACACCTCAATCTCAGACTTTTAGCTTCCAGGACTATAAGGCAATAAATGTATGTTGTTCAAGGCACCCAGTTTGTGTTACTTGGTTATGGCAGCCCTAGAAAACTAATACATGAACTAATAACAAAGCATAAGAACATGAAGCAAAAATTCACAAAAGAGGAGCATCAGCAAAATGGCAGTGGAGACAGCTGCAATCTTTCATTTCCCCACAGAAACATCACACAACTAAGAGAAACTGTCCGAATAAACTTTGCCAAAACTCTGGAAAATGGTCAAAAGATTACAACAACCAAGTGAAAGCAGACTCAAGGAAAAGACAACTGGAAAACTTTACGACATTTTTAACTTGCCTTTGCCCCAGCAAATTGGCAGTTCTGAAGTGTCAGAAGCCCACGTTCCCAGTGAGGAAGCCTGGTCCATCGCCCAAAGGAACAAGAGAAGATCTTACCCGCAAATTATTATGTGTCTGTTCTGACTGGTCTGGGGGATACCTGAAGGACTAGTGAAAGGCTTTTTTTTTTTTTTCTGTGTTGCTAGAATACAGAACAGATAAGGAATGGACATTATTAAGAAACTCAGCAAGGAGACCTAACAAACCACAGACGCTTAGGGCAAAAATTAGAGTTTACACATATAGTAGATCACCTTCGGCACAGGAAGAAAAGTTGGAGAAGAGTATTTGGAAAACTAAGACATTCAAAATCATTCACGTACATGGGAGAGTCTAGAAAGTCACATGTATGCATAGGTTAAGCCACATGATGACAAATGTCATAAGAAGAGCCTACACTTTTACCTTGGCCGATTCCTCCCCTCAGTGCAAGCTCTGTGCAAGAGTGAACTTGAACTTCACTCAGTGCAAGAGTGAACATACACTTTGTGCCGGCTTTAAAGAACCCAGCACAAAGCCAGTCTGCATGGCCTAGAGACATATTTTGCTGGCTAATGATTACTTGTTTTTCTTTTTGTTTTTGTTGTATTTGCCTGTTTGCTTAGTTCCTGACATACAAGAAAATCACTGTCAAAACATTAGCTTAACATTTGTTAAGGAAACAAAAAGACTTCGGTGACCGCACCTTATAAAGCAAACAGTTTTGTAAATCACTTTGGAAAATTTCACTAAAAATAGAAACTTTAACAATATAATAAGTAAATAAAATTTAGAACCACAAAACATTAGTGTGTTTGTAGGGGGGGGTCTGCCCAGAGTAACCACATAGTAATTATAATTATTATAATGTCCAGTTTTCAAAAAAAGTTACAAGGCATACAAAGAATGGGAAAGTATGGCTCATTCAAAGGAACAAAATAAGTTGACAGAAAATATCTCTAAGGAAACCCAGACATCAAACTTACTACACAAAGACTTTTAAACAACTCTCTTAATTATACTCAAATGTCAAAAAGAAAACATAAACAGAGAAATAAAGGAATTAGAAAAAATATTAAAAAGTAGGAATATCAACAAAGAGATAACAGAAATTCCTGAGTGGAAAACTACAATGATAAAAATTAAAAAATCAACAGAGGGATTTAAGAGTACATTTGCACACGCAGAAGAAGTCATGAACTTGAAGATAAGAAAATGGAAAATACTGACTCTGAGAAACAGAAAGAATAAAAAATAAAAAATGAGCAGAGACTAAGGAATCTGTGGGACACCATCAAATAGACCAACATTCATATTCCAGAAGGATACATTATGTTAAAAACTTTACCATTCTTTCTTTCCACCTTTCTTTCTTCCTCCCTCCCCCTCCTCTTTTTACTTTTCTTCCTCTTCCTTTCTCTTCTTCTCTCCTTCATTATCCCTTTCGCTCTGTTTCTTTCTCCCTTTCTCTTTTTTCTTTTCTTTCAACTTTCCCAATTACTAAGAGATGTTTAAATACCCTTACCATGTTAGTAGATATGGTTATTTCTCCCTTTAGTTCTCTTTTGAGATTTATAGTCATTCTAAGTAAAGAGATAACCCAAACATAAGCCTCACAAACAGGCTTCCATACCATTCTTAATTTGGTCCTGTAATTCTTCATTGCTGTATTAACTTTCTGATGCTTTTAAGGATGTTTTATAACAAATTGTTTAGTTTTTTCCAATGGAATGTTTATTCTGAATTCTCTAATTCATATTGTACGTATATAGGGAGTTTAATATAAAATTATTCAACTAACACTTCTGAAAGAATGTATTTGTGCATTTAACAAATATGTTAATCCTCAAACTGTTATTGGGCAGCTGAGCATACAGCAGTAAAAATAGCATAATTTTTAGGTGTACAATATTTATGGAATACATTACTGGAACAAATAAATAATTTAGTTAATGACATGACAAAGAACAGTTGTATACACTATAGAGCATAGTAATGGAATAATGAGTGATTACAGTTATTAATATTAGGTAGAAAATGAAGGGTATCTTTGAGAGCAGAACTCAAGGAAGCAAGCAATTCACCTTGTGAGGAAAGAGTTACCTGTGGATAAAGAAGAAACTGAAAAATTTACAAGTCAAGACTTTTTGAACAAAAACAAAAATATGACTATTAGTCACCAATTCAGTACAGTGAAAAAAAATTTGAAGAGATATCTTGGAAGTAAACCATGTTGTGGAAGAGCATGTAGGGTTTTGATAATCATGGGATGATTCTGAATTAATTTTAAATGCGATAGGAATGTATGAGATAATTTCACCAGAGAATAACATGATTGTGTTTGCATTTCAAAGGGGTGTATCTGGTGCACTGTGTAGAATAAATGGTTATGTGAGCAAATAAATTGGGAGGCTATTGTAATCCAGAGAAAAAAGGTAGTGACTTAGGTGAGAATGCTGTGAGTATGAGTGGTATTAGTGGTGAGAAGTCGTTAGGCCAGGATGTATTTCATAGGACTGGCCAAGAGAACTGCAGCTAAATTGGAGTGTAGGGAGTGAAATGGAGAACTCAAAGATGACTCTCAGCACTGGAAGGTGACATCTGTCACTGAAGCATGCTGATGCCTCTTATTAAGAGAGTTACTTGGGAATGGCAAGATCAAAACTTCTCACTTTCAATTTTATGAAAAATATTGTTTTCAGAATGAATGACTTTGGGATCAGAAAGCCATCATTCTAATTGATGGTTCCACGACTACACAGGCTCACACTCCTAAGAGCAAAAGTAAATCATCACAAAGGTGCTTCCTGATAATTCTAGAGAATGGAGAATTACTGTAACATCTTTCTGATTTTAGGAGAGGTAGCAGTTCCCTTTTTAGCCTAAACGCTATTTTTTTTTAAAGCTCAGCCAAGAGACTCCATTGTAATTTTCAAATATGTGTAACTTAAATTCTCATATTAAATACCACTATGCTTAAATTAGTCAAAACATTTTCCCCATCTACAACTCTATCTTTTCACTGCAATCATTTTCACAAAAGTGACTGCAGCTAACAGACCCTAAAAGGGGAAAATCTAGGGTAGGTTATCTGATCTAGTTAGTTTTGAAGACAGGATCTAGAGATTATTTCACATGAAATAGGTCACCTGAAATGAAGTGTTTACTGAAAACAGCTTGGATCAGCCCAGTTTTCTACCACTGAACCATGCATTTGGTTTAAAAAACACAACAACTCTAGGGAATATTTGCTGCTTCCAACTGTGTTGAAGGTGTAAAAGAAAAGAGCATAAAATTATAAATGATCGTCTGAGGGCTTTATAGTCTTTGCTCAAGAGACTAGAGTCTTCCATTCTTAACGAAACACCCAAATATCTTAATAATCGGGCAAAATCTAAATATCAGAGAGATAATTTTATCTTGAAGATTGTTAAATTATAATGGTGATTCACTACCTTGCCACGTCTCTGAGTCAAAAATTAGATCTTTGTTTAGGAATCAATAGTACTCTGCAACTTGGAAATAGGAAGATTTTAGAAGACTCAAACATTGACTTTCTTGTGTGCAAAAAAAAGACGTATTGAGATAAGACAAGTCTTTCCTTGCAAGGATACCTCTAATGCTCATACACCACCTCCCCTGACGTTAATATAACTTCCAGATCACTAACCAGTGTCAGAGAGCAGCCTATGCAACTACAAATTCAAAAGATGTCGAACACAGGGTCAAGCCTAGAATAAGAAGTCTTAGCTAATTAAGTATGCTTTTTTCCCCAGATCCATATTAACAAAAACTTGGATATGTCAGAGAATGCATTCTAAGTTCACTCAACCTAGGAGGGACAAACATAATTTTAAATTAAGAGCTGAAGCATTCTTGTCCTAACAAAAAGCAAGGAAAACGAAATATCACACCGCAAGAGGGATTTCACAAGTTAGTGTCAACATCCAAACCTTAAAATAGGCAAGGAAAATGCAGATTCACAATTAACTCTTGTACTTGTTTTGTTCAGAGAAGAGATGGTTCTGAGAGAATGACAGTGAATTAACCCTAGCTGGTTTAGTTGGTACTTTCAATTGCTGCTTCTGATAAACTCCTTTAGCTAGAATAAATCTATGAGGATTTTGGCATGTGGTATTAGAGATGGTTATTAATTTTTTCCTCTTATTTGCATTGTTCAATGTAGTAAATACTAGCTGTATATGGCTACTTAAATTCAAATTAATTACAATGAAATATACTTAAATATTGAATTTTTTAGTCACTGTCGGTTCATTACTGAATATCTTCAGCTAAGATTTCCCAACTAAATACACTAAGAGGTGGCTTAGTTAACTGGTCCTCCACAAATATCGAGGCTGTTGTTAACTCCTGATATATTCTCTGCAAATAGTATATTCATGAACAACCTCCTGAAACCAGCAGCCTAGAGATAATTTTATAAATTG
The DNA here is from genome assembly GCF_000001405.40 of Homo sapiens. Classification (NCBI taxonomy): domain Eukaryota; kingdom Metazoa; phylum Chordata; class Mammalia; order Primates; family Hominidae; genus Homo; species Homo sapiens. The sequence continues at coordinate 65,122,489 of NC_000007.14, forward strand.
GACACAAGTTGGAAATCTATACTCTTAAAGTTTTTGAAATATCAGCTTCCCAGGGAAGACAATCAAATTCATAAGATATGTTAGGACAATTTAACTCAAGATGTTCAAAACTGAAATGACATATTCTACAATTTGTGATAAAACCACCCCCTAACAACTTAAAGCAAAACAGGGATTGACCTTAAAGACCTGCCTTTTCCTCATCCCCTAGCCAATCAGTTTTCAAATCTTGCATTTTATTTTGAAAGGTCTTTATTCCCCTAGTCTCTTGTTTCTAGACTTGGCACATGTTTAAGTTTGTTACCTCTATCTACTGACTTTCCTCTCTTCAAACAGTATCTATGCCTGCCAAATGTGAACATACAAAAAACAAATCAGAATGTGCCATTCGGATTTAAACTGCTTATTAGTTAATACCCTCAAGATAACATCTGGGTTCTTAGCTGCACTGAGTCAAGCCTACTTACATCTTTTTTTGTCTTCGGCTGCACTTTTCCTATCACATCACACTCCAGCAATGCCAAGCCGTGCCGGCCTTCTACCCCATTTCCACTATTTTGCCCCCGCCGCCATGGCTTTTTGCCCCCACAGCCGCGGCTTTCTCCCGCTGCGGCTTTCTGCCCCCACACCGCGGCTTTTGCAGCTTTTTGCCTCCGCCGCCGCGGCGTTTTGGTCCCCGCCGCCGCGGCTTTTTGCCCCCGCCGCCGCGCCTTTTTGCCGCCGCGGCTTTCTGCCCGTCGCGGCTTTTGGCCCCCCGCTGCCGCGGCTTTTCGCCCGCTGCGGCTTTTTGCATTTTCTAAAAAATTATTACCTTATTAGGGTTTTTTTTTTTTTTTTTTTACCCTGCAAGAACATGAGCTTTATGTAGGAAGAGATTTTGTTTCATTCACAGCTGCATCTCAGTGCCTTGGGTGGCATCTGGCACAAATAGGCTTCCTTAAAATATTTGTGGAATAAATGAAAGAATTAAATTCAGCTTATTTTCTGCTCTTTGTCAAGCACTAGCTATTAGATGTCAAGGACATGTTCGTGAGCAAAACGAAAATGGTTATTGTCCTCATGGGGCTTATAGTCTAATTGGGAAGGTGAATAATTTAGCACAGTTCCTGCAATGCAATGTGTTATGTTAACTGAATAGCCAGCATATAGCAGGGAGAACTGATGTAGCCTAAGGGCGAAGATGGGTGTCATTGAAGTTGAGACTAAAATATGAGCAGAATTAAGAAAAAGAGGTTATCAGTAGTAGTATTATTTTAACCAGAGGGTGGCACAAAGAGCAGTGGGCAAGAGAAAGGATGGCAGTTGTAGAGACTAGGAGAGGGGGATAGTAAGAGAGTAAGGATAGAGACCTAGGCAAGGGACAGATCATATAAGACTTTATATGTGTCAAGAGGCAGTTGAAAAATGTTTTGAAAGTCAATGAATGGGCACCAGAAGGTATTAAGCAGAATAATAGAATCACCATCTTAGAAAGATTATTCTGGCTGTAGTATGGATAATGTATTGGTGAGGCATAACACTGGAGGAAGGGAGACCCATGAGATACTACAGTAATTTTCCAGAAATGATAGTGGCCCAGCCTATGATGGTTGCACTGTACTAGGAATGGACAGAAGTAGATGGATATATTAATAAAAAGACATTTTAGGGATATATGTAGGGCTTGGCAATTAATTGGATGTTTAAGGAGAGGACAAATCAAGGATGATGCCTTGATTCTTGGCATGGGAAATTCGGTCATTGATTGAAAGAGCATTCCTGATATAATGAATGATTGGGGAAGAGGGGGAAGGAGGATGATGAATTTTGTGGGATATACTGAGTTTAAGGAGCCTATGAGATATACAGCTGCAGATGTCTGGGAAAGGTTAGTTGGTTATGTGAGTCTGAAGCTAAGAATACAAGGTCTTGCTGAGACAGAGAATTGGGGCCTCACTAGTATATTAATGGGACTTGGTGAGACAGATTCAGAAAGTATGTGGGGTGGAAATTGCAGAGGGCCTGAGATAGAGCCTTGAGGACTCAGAAATGTGTTGAAGGAGAGGACCCTGGCATTCCAGTTTCTCTAGAAATCGTTTTCCCTGTCCATAAGTGGAGCCCCTCCGGCCATGTCTCTATTCTACAACCCTGATCCTCTCCCTGGTGTCTCTTCAGCCACAACTGATTGATTTAACACTGAGCTCTTCACTAAAGCTAAATTATCAGAGTCCTTCCGAGTAATATCTAAAATGGGAGTGAAAGGAGGAGGATCATTCTCTCTCAGGGGGTGGGAGGCAGTAGTTTGAGGCTGTGAGATATGAGGCTGGGAAGTTTCCACCACAAGGGGGAAGCTGACCTGGAAGAATAATACTGACTTGTGCAACAGAATAAAGGTGGCAGATGGAAAGAGTTCTGATGGTGATGAGGACCTTAACCAGGCTTTTCTTGTAGATATGTGAGATAGTTCAAGGTTCTCCTAATTATGTTTTCCCATTTTTAGCTAGCAACCTAGAGTCCAGACTAGTACATTATAATAATAGTTGCCTCATAGAGCGGTTGGGAAGTTAAAGGAAATAATATGCATAAAGATTATTGCCTGCTACATAGGGAATATAACAGATACTGTTGCTTACTGATTTAACAACTTCCTTTTCTTTGAAGCCAGCACTGTCTAATAGAACTTTCTGAGGTGAAGAAGATTTTTCCATATCTGCATTGTTTAATAGAGCAGCCATTAGTGACATGTGGCTATTGGTCACTTGATGGAATATGGCTAGTGCAAACTGAAAAAATTGAATTTCAAATTGTATTTAACTTTAATTACTTTACACTTAAATGTAAATGTAACTTTGATTTCTTTACATTTAAATGTGGCTAATGACTATCATATTGGACAGCAGAAGTCTAGGGTGATAGACCTAAAGAACAACAATTTTTAAAGCCATTTTGGATTGGATTTTCTATCATTTGCAGCTGCAAGCATCCTAACTAATACTATGTATTAAAAATAAGTGGAAATGATTTATTTAACATGGCATGAACATCCCTCATTTTAAGATGATATTAAAGAATTAAATTTTTGTTTTTATATAGAAATTCTGAATTAAGTCAGAAGGTGAATGTTTGCCATACACACAAATTATTAAAGTAATTTCTCACAGGTTTCCTAAATACCAACTTCTCAGTCAGTGAATATAAAATGTGACTCGATTTATTAAAATTAAAATGATATACAGCTTTTCAACAACATTTCATTCAGATATATTTCTACATAAGTTGCAGAATTATAAAACACACATACTAGAGATTGTCCCTAACTTTATCAAAATAATTCTCCTTTGGGTTCCTTTAACAACATGCCCTCTAGTCTACCAAAATATTATTTTACAGATGGTGGGGGTGTGCTACTTGCAACCCAGACAGACAATAATTCAGCTAAGCATTTTTCTTTGCAGTAAGTGAAAATCTGTTCAAAGTGCTGGAAGTTTTATCAACTGGACCATAAGACCCAAGAGGAACTAAGTGTTTCTGTTACGCTTTCTGTGTTTAATAATTCCCAGCCTTGTTAGTAGACACTCAAACACTGCATCCTAGCTGTGGAATCTTGGGTAGGTAACATAGTCTCTGAGAAATTTTGATAAATGCTAATTTTCCGTGTTTTTAGATTTTGGTGGTGAGACTGGTGGTTGCTACCTCTATGCCTGTCTTTCACAAAGGTCACTCAAATTGCTCTGGTTTCTTTTTATGTTACCAAAATGCTCTATAGCTAAACTATTGAGCTTAAATGTCAAACTTGCATTATGTTTAGAAATGGGTACTTATCTCTTTATGCACCTTTCCCTTACACCCCAACGGTGGGCCGACACAGGATATGGTAGAGGAGTTAGTATTCTGACAAATAGGTGATGTCATTCCACCCATGTATCACTTTCCATTAAATCTTCGACCCGTATATAACCTTTAGCTGCAGGTTTGTTTGCTTACATCACTGTGATCAAATGGTTAGAACTGTAGATTTTCATTTGGGAAAATGATGATTATTTTTTATTAAGGACATTATTGCTGGTTTGAATTATCCTTTTGTTCATGGTTCATGCACAACAAAGCTTTCCCTAGCCCTTCTGTGGGAGGTGGAAAGATGCTCTACACCTGCCTCCTACCCAGATCTTTTTCAGAAAGAAAATAGACAGTGCTAGCTAAGCCGTTGGATGGGAGCAATATTCAGTTCTTTGCCAAGAGAGATCCTAGACTCCGGATACGCCAATTCAGCAAACCTCAGGGAGACTATCTAAAACTGAAAAAGGGCTCAAGAATCCATCAGAATATGAGATAATTTAAATAAAATTTGAATCCTACTCGCCAACAGAGAACCAGAGGACATTAGAGAAGGAAGGAAACTTGGAGGTCATCGTGTCCGATATTTTGCTGAGCGTCACCTCTCTGGCTGATGTAAAATGAGGACAGGGAGTACATAGAAACATTTCGGTTTTTCTGATTCAGTAGTACTCTTGAAGGCCGTTATTGGTGGTGCAAAATGAGGCTTTCTCATTGACTCTAAATAGGCTTATTAGCAGCACACAGAAGGATTTCCACTGTGATCTTTTCTTTGTCCCTAGTCAGAGTGAAGGCATAGGTCTGAAGCAGGCTGATAGCTTTGGAAGTGAAAAGTACTGGCAGGCTGAGGGCACAGAACGGGCTGGCTGCCAGTGTTGGGTCCAGCACCCTGAGGAGTGTCATTTGTCGGAGCCACTTTTATGAAACAGAAGCCCTCTTTTGTGTATTTGTACCTGTGAAAGGGAGCAGTGGTATAGCTGATCCAAAGTAGCAGAAAAACAAACAATTCATATTGACTCAGGATGCTCACCTACCCCCTCTTTTGCAGGAGTGTTAGTTTGCGTGTCAGTACATGGCCAGCCTCCTTGGATTCTGGCATGATGCTTTCCATAGGGGTTTCATTAATTGGTGCAAAAGTTTATTTCAGTAGAGTCCAGGAAACTGTTAGCTTTTTGTTCTCTGCCTAATGACAGAAAATGTCCCTGTGACTGATTTCTTTGTGGGACCAGTCTGCATCATTCCTAAGACTGACACAAAGCCCCGCTCGAGCGTGTGGGATGAACGGCATGACTCACACATTCCCCTGGAGGACTGCAGGTTTGATTAAATGTTTAAATGACATTTTAGGACAGATGATTATGAGGATGGGCAAACAATTTGTTCTTTTAATTCTTAATAACTTCAGTGTGTATTTGGGCGGGGAGGTATATGTAGACAGTTTGGAGGAGTGTGAACAAGAGACTTGGGTAATCACTGGAGATAAGGGTGATGATGATGATAATTTGATATAAATAAGCAGAGAGTAAGATTTGTCAAAAAGGGGCAAACTCATTGCTGTTCTCAATATCTCCCTTCTTTCACTTCAAACACAGACACTCACAGCATGTTCTGTTTCTGATAACTTCCTAATCACACAGGAGCTCCAGGATTTCTGAAGGACCACAGCCCTGTGGCCAAAAATCTTTTTTCCTTGACTGTTCTCTGGGCAGCTCAGTAGTATCTTTAACATGGCAAATATAAAGATAGTAGATTCACTACAAGGACACTTCGAGAAAAATACTACCTGCCTTTGTAAACCATACACAGTCTTATTATTCAATTTGTCTTTATGGAAGCTATCAGTTAGCTACAGGTTTCCTTTCCTATGTCTGATGTACCTATCTCTAGTTGATTCTTTCTCTCTAACTCTAGTTCTTGAAACACTCTCTGCTGGTTTGATTTTCGGGTGCATTCATCCTCTTTTCAGATTCCAGAATGAAAACTTCCTTTTTGAGACACCCAGATAGACTACCTCTTCCTTAGTCCACCTGGCCCTTATCCACATCCCTTGAATGAGTTTTCTTTGTCTGGACACATTTCTGAAGTAATGCTTCTCTGCACTCCCAAAATATAGCTCTTCCTTCTTTCGGCCTTTTGCTGTGTTTTATTACATTATTTCATTGCCACTCAGAATAAGCACTAGACAGACGTCTAAGGTTTAACTTTACATTTTATATATTTTATTATATCAAAAACTGGTCACATATAAACTATAGTACTTGGGAATTGAGGGTATTTCTTGAGTATTACAAGAAAGTATTACTTTCTTGAGAAGATATTACTCAAAAATATATACATTTTGGATAAAGAAATTTTGATAGTATAAGATGAATTAGCAATGATGCTTTTCAGAAAACACGTATGCAGTAACTTCATTTATATGACCATGTTATTAATCGGTAGACATTAATGGATTTATGTAGCCTGTTCAGAAATTAATGAAGCCTGTTTATTCTGTGGATTTTGTTATTAGCTCCTTCCCTCTTCTTTTGTCTTCTTGGCATCACTGTTGACATCACTGATGGGAATCCCACTACTGCAGCCATTGCAAGTGTTTTTGGTGATTATTATCCACTTAGGCACCTTTGTGCACTGGATCTCTGATCAAATTATTTTGAAATTTTAATATGAAATACATAGGAGAAAAAATTGAAAATGTGTAGAGGTAGGCAAGCTTTTCTTTGTTAAAAAAGCGTAATTTAATAGAGTAAGAGGTGTGAAATATGTCAGGAATTTTACTAACATAAAATTTCATCATTTGTCCAGTTGTGTACTTAATGGATTCATGTTAAGTATACAGTAATTCCTGGCAATAATGTGGGGCAGCTCAGATTTACTTTTCAGTGCATGTTAGTATGTAAAGTGACCCCTATCTTCAATATCTCTATGTTTTAACACCTGCTTTGTTTTTACAATAGAGGCCCTTGTTTGGAACAAAGCCACTTAAGTTAAGCTGAACATCATTGTACCTGCACAGTTACCTGGGTTATCTGTGGTTGTGATGAAAATTACACCACCATAATCACCCCAGGCTACTTACAAGCCACCTTCACAGAAATGATACTGTGCCAAGTGCCACAAAGAATATCAAAATGCAGCCCCTGCTTCAGGCACTTATGTTTCCAAGGGGAAAAAGAAACTGGCCTTTGGATTTAGATAAGAAACTTTATTGTGATTACAAATTGGATTTCCTGTCTTTATTTCAGGAAAGTTGTAGAAGATAGCTAGAATTGCCCTTTCTCTCACCCCCGGAGGGTTTGAAACCATTCTTGAATGAGTAAATGTATTCAAAAATTTAAAATTAAATCAGATTTGTTATATGGAATCATTTAAACCTAATTTCTTAATTAAAGGCATTTTAAGTTCACTTTCTGTTCCTTAGGTGTAAACACCTCAAGCTACAAAAAACAAGAATAGATTCCACTGCTGGGGTGAAAAGCCACGACTTTTCTTCCTGTGTTCTGTTTCCCAGGCCTATCAAAGATATTTAAGTACTGAGTTAGGTCTGGCCAGGGAACTCCCCTGACTTCTTTAGGGGCACAGATGATAGGGAAGAAAAGAGTAGACTGTGGGGTTAGTCTTGGATTGATTTCTATACTCCCCTTTGATGTTGATAGCTGCTTCCTGTTAGGAACTTCTGTTGGAAGCATACTTCTTACCTGAAGAAAGTTCTGAGTTGAGACAGTTCTACCTTGACTTATTTACCAAGGCTCCTAAACCATATAGCACATCACTATGAATACATTCAGGGTGGGGGCAATGGATCCTACCCAGATCCCTGTAAAGCCAGCGTGGTTCTGCAACCATCATTCACGGATAAGGACCAAGACTGAGCTGCTCTGGTTGAAGAAGCTGTTGGATGATACGGGGTTTGTGCCACAGTGTGGTGAATTCATTTTCCATGATATGCTGGGCTCACTCTCAGCAAGGCCAGCTGAAAGCTGAGTCTGCTTTGGATGCAGAGGTACGTAGTCAGTGGCTGTGCACAGGACGGGACTTTGGGATGTACAGGAGGATATATTATCCTTACAAATACTTCCTTCACCTGTTTGCCGATGAGCAAGACTCCAGGAATAGGATACAAGGCCCCTAACTTGTCTTAACTCTCTGATTAGGTCAGATCTCCCTACTGTATGCCCATAGTGCACCATACTCATTTTAGCTTTTATTACAGTTACAGTTGTACATTTATTTGTGGGGTTGTTTGATGGATATTTATCTCTTATTAAATTGTAAGCTCCATGAAGATAAGGAGCATATCTTTTTGCTTATCTTTGTGGCCACTGCGCCTGTCACATAGAAGGCACTGGATAATCCTTTGTTAAATGAATAACTAGACCTAAAAAATACTTCAAGGTAGGTGATGCAGTCATTAAGTTCACACTACAATGAAAGACAGTTCTTCCCAACAGGACATTATATGTTTTTTCTACTGTCATTTCTATTTGCTAAATTGACTTTGAGTTTGAGAAATTGGGCTATGACGCAATATGTGCATAAAATGTTCAACAAATACTGTGTTCCATTTTTTTAAAGCAAGGATAAGGATGAAAAAAATAAAACGATGAAAGAGTTTATTTAAGCTACTGATATCCAGTTGTTGGTTGAAAAAATATGTGGCTGTTTGCATTTTGTTTAGCCACAGAACTCCCATATAAACATTTCTATCTTTGACAAAGGTTTACGCAATTGATCTGGCTGCTCATTTTTCCCCCTTGATTTCCTTTTTTTAATTCACAGGTGAATGACATTTAGTTCTTGGTTGTGGAAAATGCTCTTAATGCCTCCATCTTTTAAGGAGATGTTCCTATAGCTCAGTTACTTTGAATATAGTTTTTTGTTTTCTTTTTAATTTATGGCATCAGCAAGTGATTTACACCATAGTGTTAACCAGTGCTCCTGAGGATGCTGATTTTAGCAGAATCCTAGGGAACTAACAGAAAAAAATCACAGCTAATTTTAGTATTTGTAGGGCCTTGTGACAGATATATCTGAATACTATTATTCACCCTTAATAACTTCTTGCTAAGTTATCTGTATTGTCTCCTGTCTAATTTTATTTCTTTCCTGAATACACATATTTTATACATCTGATATTTCAGAAAATGTGCTTAAAAAATGTCTATTTTTCCATTTCTCCATTGATTATCAGTTTATCTAATCTGTGTATCATCCATCTCTAAACCTAATTTTTGAATACATATACAACCAATAGACGTGGGATATACCAACAATATAATTGCATGATAGTCTTAGTTAAAAAGTTTAGTCTGTCTCTGTGAATTTGATTGTTCTGCTTTGCATGATTCTGGCTGAGTCCTTTCATCTGGTGCTGGTTTTTGAATACATATTAGGCTGCTTCCAATCCATCTGAAATGCAGTCTCATGAGAACATAGGTCTACAATCTAAAAAAATATACTTTGATTATTCTTGATACATATAACAATAGCTATTTTTATAGAGTTAGAAGGAATATTAGAGATTATTTATCTTATATCCCTTTTTTACAGATTGAAAAGCTGGAATCAATTGGAGTAAGTAACTTACAAAAGGGACAAAGAAAAGAACCAGGATGAGAAATTCCATATGTCTTCTTATCATACAATTCAATCCTGTGAATTGTTGATTATTTGCTTTACTACTCTAAATGACTTATGCATGTCGTTTTATTTGTCTTTCTACCATCAAAATAGAAGAAGGCCTATTTCTTCTTCTTCTACCAGTTGCAGAGTTAAAATGAGGCTGAACATTCTCTTGTAAATTCAGGGTGTTTACCTAGCCCAGGAAAATCAGTCCTAAGCAGACAAAGGAGACTTGGAATGATTTATCTAAACACCTAAATTAGTTACATCATTATTTATCTGCGAAGCTTCTTGAGTTTTGTTATCATACTCTGGATGGAGGCCAATCAGAAATGACCCTTAAGATCTGACTCTGTCTAGCCAGTCTCCCCTTGACCAAGGAGAACATCTGGGCATGAACTGTAGTTTTCATTGTCCTCTGACCAACTCAGATTAGAAACAGCTACCTGAGGCCAGCCTTTAGTTCTATTTTGATCAAACTGTCTTATAGACACAGCCTTCAGCCTTCCCCATGACCTTTGAAAACTGCCCCAGGGTAAAGGCGAATTACAAATACTATTAAGGTTGATGAGTAATCAACTCAGTAATGAGGATACTATTTCACATTCTTAGGGGTAGATGCTTTTTCTCTGTGGGATGCCTGAGTAGGAAATTTTGATGGCTCCAAATGTGGCCACAACAAACATCAGGAGGCTCTCCTATTGTAGAGATTTCCCTGAAACTGAACTCTGGAGGATGAAACATTTGGTGTAGATACTTGACCTTCTGAAAATAAAGCTTTATGTATGTGTGTATCTATCTATTATTCTCATAGCAGCAATTAGTCTGAAATCTAATGCCTTGTCAGTGAACATAACAATTTTTGTAAATGTTCTCCTCTTAGCTTTTAAGGTTTTTTTTAGCGATGAGTCAAATTTTACTCAGATTTTTATAGGTTATCCCTAGTATTCTTGTTTCTTGTTATTGAAGATATTCAAATGTTAATATATGGTAATAAGAAGTAGCTCAAAAAGAGCAGAATGACCTCTTCCTTACCCCCTTAGTGATACAGACAAATAGAGTATTTGTTCATGTTATATTTTGGCTTTTATTGTTAAATCAAGGAGGTTGAATTAGAGACAGAGCAAAATAAGCAAAAACCTGAAGCTATAAATTTCTAGGTCAATCCAAATACATAAAGCATTAAAAAATGTCAGATGCGAAGCTAGATGCAAACTGACAGGGAAAAAAAAAAACCTCTTTGTGTACTTAAAGCCCCAAACCAAAAGCAAAATTAAAATTTGTGCTGACCCTTCTCCCTTGGGGCTGCAGATGTCACTGCTGTCCAGGGCGCCGTCTGTTACTGAGTGGAAGGAAGAGGAATGGCATCCAAGTCACTAGTGTAAAATAAATCATCTGCCTGCCAAATCCTGAAGATGTCCTGCCATATTTGTTAAGGCCAGGGGATGGAGGGTAGAGGTGAGCAACAAAGGTGACCATTAACACTCATTGATTCTTGTCTTTTATGACTCATTCTTTTATTATTACATGTTTTGTAAGAGGTTTTATACTTATACATATATAATTTTTATTTAGTCAGTCACAGCAGTAGTTACAATTTATTTAGCACTTATGGGACAAGATATTTTATACACATTTTTTCACTGGATGTCCAGGACTATTATACAAACTGAGTATTACTCTTATATTAAAGGTAAGGAAATAGCTTCTAACTAAGCAAAGTTGCTCAAAGTGGCACATAGAGTGAGGTCTGCGGCTGTTCTCTTACTCCAAATGTGGGGTATCTCAGAAATTGCCATCCTCCAGAAGGCTACAGTCTAGCTCAGACTGTGCAAATTGTTCTCCATTTGCCATGCCCCCATGCACTCAACACTATTCCATGTCTTCCGTGTGCTCTGGGAAGCTGACCCTTGTCATTTGCATGACTGGGACTCTCTGCTCTCTGTGTTTGTCTTGGGTGGGGCCTATGGAAGGCTTTAGCAGGATATTGGAGGGCAGGAAGAGAAAGAAGTCAGGGTATTTCTTCTTCATGTCCTACTTCGGCCCTGTGCGCTGGCCGTGATCATGTCCTTTCAGGATATAACTCCCTTCGCCCTGTTCTCCTCTGTACCTCTTCTGATGCAGGGCTTCTAAGGAAACACTGCTCCTTTTCCTTGACTGTTTATCCCTAGGGGTAGTATTATATTCTCACCATTGCTATCCTTTGGGTGCCCTGCCACCTTGTTTGCTCCTTAAGTCTGTCTACAATTAATGCAAATAACTCCTTTATTAAAATCTCTTTATTTGAACACTCTGGGATGAATTCTGTTTTTTTCTGGGACCCTGACTAATACAGAGGCTGATACTACACCCATATGAAAATACATCAAAGATAATTTGCAAAGCATGTTTGAAAGCTCTACGTTAGGATCACTAGCACTGGCATGCCAAAAGGCACAGAAAAGAAAATACAGGGCATAGCAAAATATTGTTTCTTCTTAATAGAGAAACTGCCTCAGGGAGAGACTAGGCTGGTGAGAAGGGGGAAAGACTTTAAGAGTCTTATAGACCAGGCATTAGAGAATTGTGATAGGTTTTTGAGCCTGTGATAAAAGCTGTGTTTGGGGAAGATTTTTCTAGCAACCATTTGTAGGAGCAGTGGAATTAGGAAAAAAGGGTGACAGTAAGGAGAACAGTTAAAAGGCTTTTAAAATAAGCCAGTGTAAAGTGATTGGAGGCAGGTTCACAAAGTGGCAACAAGTATGAAAAATAAGGAATGAAATAAATAGTGAAAGAAACATTATTACTATTGGAATTTGCATTCTTGCTCATGTGATGCATTTGCTTCAAATTGGTGTAAGCTCTTCACATGCAGAGGGCTCATGTGCCTTGATGTAACATTAGATCAAGTGGCAGAAGCTAAATTTGGAATTAAGGCAATATTTGGTTGTAGGGAACATCATTCTCGTTTCTAGCTCTTGGACTTTATGTGGAAGCACTTTAAGTCCTAAGAGGCTAATTTTAGTTCAATCTATTTAGTTAACAATATTTCAGATCCTTAATTTTTAGTTTCCAGATGATCAGACTCCTCAGCTTGAAATGCAAGGGCATTATAGACTTCAAGCAAATTGCATGTGCATTAAGACTATCGAACTTGGGACGAGTAATCCTATAAAAGCAAAATCATTGCTGAAGCATTTTTGTAATCATGTATTCCTCCTGCATGTTCATTTGAAAATGTTCTCTTTTGGTGTGGAGGCAAATGAGCTGATTATATTGAGCTCCGTCCACCAATTTATTTATTTATCTAATAAACATTTTAATGAAGGGGTATCAGGCACGTTTATGTTTTACCCAAGAGACTTATTTAACAGTCATTCAACCATTTGGTCATTAATAGTGAAAAGGTCACAGGCTTTGGCATGAGGCAGGCCTGGGTTTGAAACAGATCTTCGCCATTTCCTAGAAGGGTTGTCTTAAGGCAAATTATTTTTTTAGACATGTTTTCAGTTTTTCTGTTAAAGGAAAAATTGTTTGTAAAGACTGCATTGTGACTGAGAAAGGGCACGCAAACTAGATGAGTTTAATCCTATCTCTCACTCCTGACTAACCTTATATGTATACACAAATACAAAATGCTCCAAGTTGGATGTGAAACAAATGGTGGTATAATACTCGCCCTTAAATATAATTGCAGATAGCCACAAAATATAAAACCATTTACGGATGTGAGAAAATTAGTATAATAAAGAAGAAAATACAGAATAACTTTTTCTTCTGTTATTTAACTGGTGTAAAATTAATTCCTTGACTCTCATATTTGTCAACAAATATGATAATGTATGTGGTGATGTACTGTTTTGCCTTGAGAAGGAAAAAATTATAGCCATAAAATATTTAAGAAAATTCTGGAAATAAGAGTAATAGAATTACTTTTTTCAGACATTTCCCAAATGTGTTTTAAATGGCTTTCCTGAAGGAGAAATAGAGAGGGAGAGAAAAAAAGAGAACATTTAGATATAATTACAGATAAGACCTATGCATAATATTAGTGGACTTAAAAATAATCATGCATATTCATAACTGAATTGCTAATTAACATTCTCAGAATTTTGTTTAATGTAAGCAAGTTATCCTAATAGGGTTAGGGCAAAAACAATATGATAAAGATTGAAATCTGTGGCTATTTAAAAGCACTGAAAACTTGACTAAATTGCCTCTCCCCCTCCCTTAGACATAAACACTTAAGCCTCATCATGTTGTTTTTTCTTCCCCGCCGCCCCCTCCCCCCACCCCACCCCAAGACAGAGTCTCACTACTCTGTGGCCCAGGCTGGAGTGCAATGGCGCCATCTTGGCTCACTGCAACCTCCGCCTTCTGAGTTCAAGCAATTCTCCTGCCTCAGCCTCCCGAGTAGCTGAGATTACAGGGGCCCACCACTGCAATCTCAAAAAATACAAAAACTAAAAATAATTTTTGTATTTTTAGTAGAGATAGGGTTTCCCCATATTGGCCAGGCTGGTCTCGAACTCCTGACCTCAGGTGATCCACCTGTCTCCACCTCCCAAAGTGCTGGGATTACAGGCGTGAGCCACCGTGCCCGGCCTCATCATGTTTTTTAAACAATAAAAAGGGCAAGTTTTAGAAGACAGTATCTTAAGGCTGGGTGCGGTGGCTCATGCCTGTAATCCCAGCACTTTGGGAGGCCAAAATGGGTGGATAACTTGAGGTCAGGAGTTCGGGAACAGCCTGACCAACATGGTGAAACCCTATCCCATCTCTGCTAAAAGCACAAATGAATTAGCCAGGCATGATGGCGGGTGCCCATAATCCCAGCTATTCGGGAGGCTGAGGCTGGAGAATCGCTTGAACCCAGGAAATGGAGGTTGCAGTGAGCCGAGATGGCGCCACTGCACTCCCGCCTGTGCGACAGAGCAAGACTCTGTCTCAAAAAAACAACAAAAAAGACATATTAAGATACAATAACACTTTGAGCCTTTGCTGATTGTTGATGAGTTTCAAACTCACAGAGGGTTTTGAAGAAAGGCTGGCAGAACTTGAAGGCAGAACACGTGGGCTGAAGTCCTGTCTATGCCTGTTACTAAATAGCAATGTGAGCTTCTGGAGGACTCTGAACTCTCTCAGCCTCTGTGAAATGGAGATAACATTTCCTGTGGAGCTGCGTCAGAGATGTTGGGGAAATCATATGGAAATCAAGTATAGCTGTCAACAAGTTTTGTGAATTGTAAATGACCTTAAGCATACGAAGTATTAGTCATCTATTCACTCATCACACATGGAGCATGCCTAGTGTTAGGAGGCACGTGGTGGGGTTGGCGGGGGTGTGGTCATTAACATGGTGAATGAGATCTTCAGAAGCAGTGTGTTCCCCTGGGTAAGGGCATGGGCTTTGGAGTTAAACCCACCTAGAGTAATTCAGGGCTCATCACTCCGTGACCTCCTGTCCTGAGACCTTAATTTGTCCAATGTTACATCATTGTAAATCCCAGTTTCTTTAACGCGGATATGAAAAAACACCATATATTTCACAGGGGAGTTATGAGGATGTGAGAACTATGATCAAGCACTTAACTTCACATGTTCAAAGTGCTCAATGACAGTTGGCAACTATCAATCAACTCTTCACACATTATATCTCTAATCAAGGAAAGCAGGCATTTGCACCAATAATGACAGAACAAAACAACATGGGGGAGAGTAGTAGTATAAACAACTTTGAGAGTTCATAGGTGGGCTGCCATACTTTCAGCTAGAGTGATAAGTAAAGACTTTGGAGACAGGTAAATATTAAGAATAAATCTTGAAGAACGAGTCATACCTCAATAGGAAGAGATATGATTGGTGGACAGCATTTTAGGTAGACAGAGAATAGAATGAGCTAAAGTGTAGAGATGAGAAATTTGAGTACTCCAGTTGTCTAGACTAGCACTGTCTGATAGAACTTTTGTCCATGAAGGCAATGTTGTATGAACGTTCTGTCCAATATGGTAGCCACTAGTGGCTGTTGAACACTTGACATGTGGATAGTGTGACTGAGGAGTTGAATTTTTTATTCTATTTAATTTTAATTAGTATACATTTTAAAACCACATCTGACGAGTGCCAGCTCAAATCATAGGATACACGGAGAGGAGTTTAGTGTGATAAGTTCCAAACAGATTGGCAAATTTCGAAGAACTTTACTGCTAGGCCAACAAGTTTAGATTCCAAAATAGAACAAACATATTTAGAAGCAGGCAAAACAAAAGAATACGTTTATGAAGGAGACCAAAAAGTTGCAGAGAGAGAAATAGGAAGGCCAGGAATCCAACAAGGAATGGGCATTGAAGAAAGACTTGCCTCGTACTGTTAGTTAGAAGCCAATGGATATGGGAAGAAAATTTGTTAGATTTGGTAATTCAGAGCTTCTTTGTGACTTTCAGAAAAAAAGTTTCCCCTGAGTGGTAGAGGTGAAGAGAGTATTGCAGGAAATTAGGAGTAAGGTATGCTGAATAGAGGCAACATGGAACAGCCTTTTTTTTTTTTTTTAAATGTTTGTATTCCTAGAGTTATAGGATAAAGCATTACACACTAAGTTAGTCTCAGCAAGTACTGTATATTTGCCAAGTAAGTGGAGTTCTTGCAGGCAAACTAGGTAGTTTCAATGCCAGGTGTGAAATTATAATGGTTTAGATAAAATTTTGAAGCAATTCTACAAATAAGTACTCTGAGTCATGACATTTTTAGGCCACATTGAAAACGCTAGCTGAAAGAATACAAACAATGTTGAAATCATATTTAAGCCCCTTGCTGAGTTTATATTCTGAGCTAAGGATAGATTAGCCTCATGCCCTTATATGATGAAAAATTGTTTTGTTTTTCTTGCACAGCACAGTTAGGTATCAGATAAAGGGGGAGGAGTATCCTCATGGATACCTCAAAAACAAGTAACCCATGGACGGAGGACAGAGAAATTTCATGCAAAGACAGATTTTCCTATCTCTTATGATTAAATTCTCTCAGTTTCCTCATTATGAAAATCATTTGGGATACCTGATAAATGTACAAAATCTTCTGCCTCAATTCATACTGGTCAATATAAATCTTAGCTTGGCGATCTGAATTTTTAATTAGCACCTGAGCGATTCTTAGTATCAGGCAATTTTAGGAAATGTTTATTTATTCATCCTTTGAACAAACACCAGTGGAGTGTTTTTTCCATATTGCAGACATTCAGATACTAGGACACAAAGATAATTAAGACATGGTTTCTAGTCTTAAGAAATTGTTCTAGGAGAGGAGACAGTAAATGCCATGTAAGAAATGGCTTGGTAGCTGTTGCAAAAGGACCACAGAGAAGGGCAGCTCAGCATTGAGGAGACCATGGAAAACTGTGCTTGGGGAAGGTAAAGTTTGAGTAGGGTATTCAAGGATAAGCCAACCAGATATACAGGGAGTGTGAGAGAAAAGCACTCTTTTCAGGATAAACGTCACATTAAAGACAAGAAGAGATTGTGTTGGGTCTATGAATACTACTGAATTCAACACAGCTGGAAAACAGGTTTTCCATGAGATAATGGCCTGTGTGGCAACAGACAAAGGCATTTTTTGTACCAGAGCACAAAAATAAGAGCCTAGTTATTTTCAAGGTAATGTGAAATCATTAAAGGGTAATCTGGGGTTGGTGAGATTGGAGATAGGGAGACCCATTAAAAACTTAATACATTAATTCAGGTGAGAGGTGATGGTGTCTGACCTAAGGCAATAACCACAGAGGTAGAATGGAAAGAACAGTTTTTGATAAATAGTTGGTGCTTTGTTGTGTATGACATAATCAGACGATAGTTCTTTTGATCCTTTTATTAATATTGTCTCAATGAAATGAACTGAATTGCTGAATAATTGATTTTGTAGATGGCTCACATATGGCTCACATGATACATTTAGCCATGATGGGGAACATATAATTGTTTGCTATTTATACCTATGGTGACTTCTTAAATTGGATTGCTATTGGACAAGATTTTCAGTATTTATCCCATTGATTTAAGGAGACACCAACACAGAGGATGGTCTCAGAGGTTTTCACAGTCGCTTCTGTGGGTATCCCAAACTCTTTGATATTATATAGGTGAGGAAGTATGTATTGCTTACTACTTTTTAAGTTCTTCCTAGTATTCTGGCCCTTTGACAGTTTATTCTGTTTGTTTGTTTTTCCTTCTTTGATTACTTACAGTTGTAATACCTTTTAAAGACATTTTATATCTCTTCCTTGACTTATTCCAAATTTAAATTAATACATAGAATATGTATATTTACAAAATATGTTAACTAAATGAATTATTTTTGAATTATTTTGAGACTTTCTAAAATAGTTTAAAGTATCTTGAGTCGTCATGAAACTAACTTTGAAAGGTGCTGATTTAAAGTGACAATATTTGTGGCCATGCAAGAAAAGAGGCACTGGACATTTTAATAAGCAGTTTAATAGAATTTAAATATATGACATCCAATTACCGACAGAATACAAAGCATCATAAAGTATGATTTGCAGACATATTTTATAAATTGGAACACCTTAAGGATTCATGGCATTTGTGTAAAATGTGTGGTCGTTAACACATTTTAATACATTGATTCTATTGTGGAAGGTCGTGTGACATGGAATGTTAAACAATTAAAATGGTCAAATGTACTTCCATGTTTATGTGATTTGCATTCACAGGAAGAAAATGGGTAATGCCGAAGGAACATTGGCCTAGAGAAGCTTACTGAAGCAAGGGAATTTGGAGTGAGACTTTCTCCCGCTGCGGCTTTCTGCCCCCACACCGCGGCTTTTGCAGCTTTTTGCCTCCGCTGCCGCGGCGTTTTGGTCCCCGCCGCCGCGGCTTTTTGTGGTTTTTTTGCCCCAGCTCCCACTGCTTTTTGTCCCCCCCGCCGCGGCTTTTTGCCCCCGCCCCGGCGGCTTTCTTCCGCCGCGGCTTTTTGCCCCGCCGCCGCGCATTTTTGCCGCCGCGGCTTTTTGCCCCCGCCGCCTAAGCTTTTTGCCTGCGCCGCCGCGGCTTTTTGCCCCCCGTCGCCGCGGCTTTTTGCCGCCGCGGCTTTCTGCTCCCGCCGCCACGGCTCTGAGGGCGGGAGCGGCAGACTCCGCTGCCAGCTCTACTGGCGTCCTGGCAAGGGCAGCGCCGAGGGGCGCTCCCGGTCCAGCTCTCCCGGCTCGGGGGTTCCTTGCCTAGGCGCCAGAGCCCCGGGCTCCCTGCCTCGGCCGCTGTGGCCTGCATAGAGCGGCACTGCGCGCGGAGGCGATGGGAGAGAAGAAGGAGGGCGGTGGCGGGGGTGATGCAGCGGCCGCTGAGGGTGGCGCAGGGGCCCCGGCCAGCCCGGGGCTGCAGCAGTGCAGACAGCTCCAGAAGCTCATCGGCATCTCCATTGGCAGCCTGCGCGGGCTGGGCACCAAGTGCGCTGTGTCCAACGACCTCACCGAGCAGGAGATACGGACCCTGGAGGTAAGGGGTTTGGGGACCCGGGCTGGGCTCGAGGAGCGGCCCGGACACCTCCCTTGAGGCCCCAGTTCACTCCTGGCCGAGTTGCATCCTTGAGCCCGCGTCGCGCCCTTGGAGGCTTCCCCTCCCTCCTGCACTCGCTGATGGGGCAGCCGAGAGACCCGGGACCAGCCCTCACCTTGGGCAGGATTTGTGGGGCGAGTGCTTGGTGGGAACTGGGATGGAGGCTCTAGGGTCCCGTGGGGCGGGGAGGGTGGGGGTGGGCTGCGCGCGGACATCCCCTTACCCCCGAATTTCCATCTGGTCCGGCCCTCTCATCTTGTAGGTGAGGAAACCAAAGGCCTGAGGGAGAACTGACTTGCCAGGAACCCCTGTTAAGGAGAATTACCAAAGTGTGGTTATTAAAGGAGAACTGAGTTGGGAGTCAGACCTGGAGTCCCACACCCTTGGTTAAGTCATTATACCACCTTGAGTCTGGCCTGTTGACTGAGGGTGAGCCACTCCATCCTCGTCTGATTGTGGGGTCTTGACCTCAAGGGGTTTCGTGCAGGAAGAAGCAAATGGGTTTGCTTTCCTAGCTCTGTCCAGTACCTTAGGGACCCTGAGGACTGAAGCGATTCTTGGAGAGCCATCTGGTGTATGTCATGCGTGGGCCTTTCTTGAAGGTCTATCTGCCCAGTGGGCTGGCTCAGCCCGAATGAACTGTCTTGAATCTTTGGAGTTGTCTGTGTACTTTTAAGGGCTTCTCATCCTTGCACCAAAAGATCCCCTGGAAATTAGGTGGGAAAACCTTACCTGTTGTGGGGCCTTGTGTTTGTCTTAAAAGTTCGTGCACATGACCAGGTGTGGTGGCTCACACCTGTTATCCTGTCCTGGATCCCTTGAGTCAAAGAGTTTGAGACCAACCTGGACAATACAGTGAGACCCCGTCTCTACAAAAGATAAAATATTAGCCAGGGGTGGCTGCGCGCATCTGTAGTCCCAGCTAGTACTGTGGCTGAGGCAGGAGGAGCACTTGAGCCTGCACTGAGCTGTGATCTCACCAGTGTACTCCAGCCTGGGCCACAGAGCAAGACCTTGACTCAAAAACAACAACAACAACAACAAAAATTCTTGAAGATTTTGCATTCTGTCCCACTATCCATTGGTTTTCATGTCAAGATAATGTGAGAAATTCTTTACAATTGCTTCCAGAAGGAATAGCCTTTTGATTTAGTGCACAGGTGTCCAGTCTTTTGGCTTCTCAGGCCCACATTGGAAGAAGAATGCTCCTGAGCCACACATAAAATACACTAATGCTAACAACAGCTGATGAGCTTAAAAAAAAAAAAAAAAAAAGGTTTGTGCAGAATTTTGATGATACCCACCACCAAAGATAGGCGGAAAAGTCCTTGTAGTCACAGGGTTGGACACGGCTGATCTAGTGTCTTGTCGTCCGTTTTGGCTTTCTCCCGGTTTCCAGAATGCAGGTAGAGATGTAGAGACGTGCTCTCAGGACAGATGTTGAGATAAAAAAATTCGTTGTCATTTATTCCCAAGGACAGCTGTTTGTCATTTGCATTGAAAAAGTCTCCATTCAAACTGCTGTCACATATAAAATCTATTTATATAAGTCTGTATTTTTCTGTTGTCTTGGCCTTTGTGGGCAGTAGTGTGTTTTAACCGAGCAAACTGTCCTTCCAAATAATGAAGCCGAAGTCAGCCTGCCTGCTTGCCATTTTTCTTCCCCTTCCATTTTTCTAACCCCAGGATAGTTGTAAGAATGAATTAAGATTTGTGTTTAAGGCCGGGCACAGTGTCTCAGGCCTGTAATCCCAGCACTTTGGGAGGCGGAGACGGATGTATCACTTGAGCTCAGGAGTCCAAGACCAGCCTGGGCAACATACTGAGACTCCGTCTTGTATAATTAAATTAAAATTTAAAAAAAGAAGAGAAAAAGACCTGTGCTTAAAATTTAAAAAAAGGGGGGAAAGTGTAATGCAAAATGTGGACTATGCCAGCCATGATTGGGAAAAATAATTTTTCATACAGCATTATCTGTAGACTTGTATTAGCAGCATACTGGTCATAAGCGTTTTGCTTTCCTCAAATATGATGAGGTAAGCTACTTTAAAGTGTGGTGGGGCTTTCTTCCATGTGGCTCCTGGAGGTGTTGAGTCCCAATTCAGCCAATTAATTTGGGTTTAGTTTTGATATGGATAAGGGAATCCAGCTTCATTCATGGTGCACACACAGTTTTGCCAATAAGGAAAAAAAAAAGCCACCTGAATGTTCCTACTCATTAGATGCTATCTGGAGAGCTCCTTCCCCACCCGCACCAAGGCCTGGGCCCTTAAAAAGACTCAGTGCAGCCTTTCTGTATCTCATACTGTATTCTGCAAGATGCTCCTGTGAAAGAAAGTTGTGCTGCACCAGCCATCTCCCTCCTGAAGATCCCTGCGGATGAGGATTTGTGTTTTAAAGGTTCTGAGAAGTCCTGCAACAACAGTTCTCAAACTTATTTGTCCAGGGGATCTTTTCTTCCACTGAACGTAGTTGGGGAGACACGGCCTTAAGCCTTGAGCAGAGAAAGAGACAAGAAACTGTTGGCTCACTTACAACCAAGTGTTGTGTTTATGTTTTAGGTTTTTATGAAACTGAGGTGCTGTTTGAGGTTCTAAATCAAACTGGGTGGTTGAAGAGAGGCTGGTATCCCTGTAGACTTAGCCAGCCATGAGAGGTTGCCTTTTGTTGAAGGAGGTGTTTTACAAAGGGAAATAGGGTGTCTCCTGGGCATCACATTAGCACTTAAATACATGTATCACTGAAATGAAATGAAATGATGAAATGATGAAATGATCAAATGAAGAAACGAAATGATGAAATGATGAAATGAAATGAAATGATGAAATGATGAAATGAAATGATGAGATGAGATGAAATGAAATGATGAGATGAAATGACATGATAAAATGATGAAATGAAATGATGAAATCGAATGATGAAATGAAATAATGAAATGATGAAACAAAATGGTGAAATGAAATGAGGAAATGAAATGAAATGATGAAATGAACTGATGAAGTGAAATAATGAAATGAAATGATGAAAAGAAAAGATGAAATGATGAAATGAAGAAATGATATGAAATGATGAAATGATGAAGTGAAACAATGAAATGAAAAGATGAAATGATGAAATGAACAAATGATATGAAATGATGAGATGAAATGTAATGAAGTGATGAAGTGAAATGATGAAATGATGAAATAATGAAATGAAATGATGAATTGATGACATGAAATGATGAAATGAAATGACGAGATTAAAAGGTGAAATGAAACGAAATGATTAAATGAAATGATGAGATGAAAAGATGAAATGATGAGATGAAATGAAATCATTAGATGAAATGATGAAATCATGAGATGAAGTGAAATGATGAAATGAAATGATAAGATGAAATGAGAAATGGAATGATGATGAAATGGTGAAATGAAGTGAAATGAAATGATGAAGAAATGATATGAAATGATGGAATGAAATGATGAAATGAAGTGAAATAATGAAATGATGAAATAAGGAAATGAAATGAATTGACAAAATGAAATGATGAAATGAATGACGAAATGAAAAGATGAAATGAAATAAATGAGATGAAAAGATGCTATAAATTGATGAGATGAAATGAAATCATGAGATGAAATGATGAGATGAAGTGAAATGATGAAATGATGAGATGAAATGATGAAATGAAATAATGAAAGGATGAAATGATGAGATGAAATGATGAAATGGAATGATGAAATGAAATGATGAAATGGTGAAATGAAATGAGGAAATGAAATGAAGAAATGAAGTGAAATGATGAAATGAAATGAAATGATGAAATGAAAAGATCAAATGATGAAATGAAGAAATGATATGAAATGATGAAGTGAAGTGAAATGATTAATGAAATAATGAAATGATGAATTGATGAAATGAAATGATGAGATGAAAAGATGAAATGAAATGATGAAATGAGATGAAAAGATGAAATGAAATGAGATGAAATGAAATCATGAGATGAAATGAAATCATGAGATGAAATTATGAAATGATGAGATGAAGTGAAATGATGAAATGAGGAAATGCAATGATGAGATGAAATGAAATGAAATAATGAAATGAAAGGATGAAATGAGATGAAATGATGAAAGGATGAAATGAAATGATGAAATGATGAAATGAAATGATAAGTCAAATGATGAAATGATGAAATGGAAAGATGAAATGATGAAATGATATGAAATGCAATGATGAAATGATATTAAATGATGAAATGATGAAATGAAGTCAAATGATGAAATGATGAAGTAAATGAAATGAATTGATGAAATAATGAAATGATGAGATGAAATGATGAAATGATGAAATGGAATGATGAAATGATGAAATGGTGAAATGAAATGAGGAAATGAAAGGAAGAAATGAAATGATGCAGTGAAATGATGAAATGAAATGAAATGAAAAGATCAAATGATGAAATGAAGAAATGATATGAAATGATGAAATGAAGTGAAATGATTAATGAAATGATGAAATGATGAATTGATGAAATGATGAGATGAAAAGATGAAATGATGAAATGAGATGAAAAGATGAAATGAGATGAAATGAAATCATGAGATGAAATCATGAGATGAAATTATGAAATGAGATGAAGTGAAATGATGAAATGAGGAAATGCAATGATGAAATGATGAAATGAAATAATGAAATGAAAGGATGAAATGAGATGAAATGATGAAAGGATGCAATGAAATGAAATGATGAAATGAGGAAATGAAATGATGAAATGAAATGATAAGTCAAATGATGAAATGATGAAATGGAAAGATGAAATGATGAAATGATATGAAATGATGAAATGATATTAAATGATGAAATGAAGTCAAATGATGAAAAGATGAAATGAAATAAGTGAAATGAAATGAATTGATGAAAAATGAATTGAGATGAAAAGATGCAATGATGAAATGAAATGACGAAAAGATGAAATAAAATGAGATGAAATGAAATGATGAGATGAAGTGAAATGATGAAATGTTGAGATGAAATGATGAAATGAAATGAAAGAATGAAATGAAATGATGAGATGAAATGATGCAATAAAATGATGAAAGGATGAAATAATGAAATGAGATGAAAAGATGAAATGAGATGAAAAGATGAAATGAGATGAAATGAAATCATGAGATGAAATGATGAAATGATGAGATGAAGTGAAATGATGAAATGAAATGTTGAGATGAAATGATGAAATGAAAGAATGAAATGAAATGATGAGATGAAATGATGAAATGAAATGATGCAACGAAATGATGAAAGGATGAAATGAAATGAGGAAATTAAATGAAATGATGAAATAGATGAACCAAAAATACTTATTCATTTTTTTTCTTGGCATCCTTCTAAGAGTATTTTAGTGAGGTTAATTTCTAAAACTAAATTGCTATTCAATGGCTTTACAGTTGGCCTTTGCACCACAGGGGTTTGAACTGTGCAGGTCCACTTAGCAAAACCAACAATTCTACATCCTTCTCCACACCCTGCCCATGAAAAGGATGAGGATGAAGACCTGTTTGATCATGTACTTCCATTTAATAACTAGTAAATATATTTTCCTTATGATTTTCTTTTTCTTTTCTCTGGCATGTTTGTTAAGAATACAGTATATAAGACATATAACATATTAAATATGTGTTAATTGACTGCTTGTGTTATTTGTAAGGCTTACAGTAGGCTATTAGTAGTTAAGTTTTGGGGGAGTCAAAGTTATAGTGGATTTTCTACTGTGTAGGGGGGCCAGCACCCCAACCTCTGTGTTGCTTAAGGGTCAACTGTACATGTTATTTCCTTTCCTGTAAGAGAAAAATGATGAGAAGGTCTTTTCTCCAATAAGTGTATTCAAAATGTAGCAGACTTGAAATGTGTTGGCGCCACCATTTTGCGTCTCACTTTGAAAACTTATTATTAAAAATCGTACTAAAGCCTTACTTTTCCAACCTTAGAAAAAATGTTACAAAGAAAAGGAGTGAAACCATGCTAGTTTGCCCTGAAATTTGAAATTATCTTGTAAAAATATATTTTTACATTAATTGCTTCCAAAATAGAGATCAGTTGCATACAAATGGCAGGTCACCCTAATCCACCCTATGACTGCACTTAGATTCATGAGGAATTGTGCCATCTAGAAAGGGCAGAGAAGAGGAGCCACATGCTTTGATTCTGTTGTCACTGTGTACTTACTGCTAGGAAGAGGGCATGTTTGTGTATTTTTATGCTAATTATTATGCAAGTTGTTAAGGATTTAGGCTTTCAGAACCATATAAAGGTTTTTTCCTTTCAGATATAAACTATCTTGCATTGTTCTTCTGATCATATGAGGGATAAATTTGCCTAAATATTCTTCAGACCATAATGTTATGTCCATATAAATGCCAGTAGCAAGAGTAGAATCAACCACAACTGCCTTTGTAATTATTAAAAGCATGTGTGCCTATAAGTAATTGGCATTTTATATAATCAAGAATCTTTGATATAATAATCTCTCAACTATTTGAAACATGGCTCACATATATTAATTTTATATGCAAATATATGTATAATATCATTGTATATGAAACTAAATTTTGGACTGTAGAACAGCTTCTTAGAATCTTGACTTAAATGTCCACAGTAATATTTGACTGAAAAAAATTTAGCACACTGTCACTATGATGAAAAAATTACTATAAAATTATTTTAAAAATTTTCCACCCTAACGTTTAGAACATTCTCACATTTGTGGTTAAAACCTATTGTGATTGTTCCTAGAATTTAGATAAAAAATGTTCCAGAAAGTTTGAAGAGAAGCACTTTAGTCAATTTGTATTTGTTCAAGCATGAAGAAATGGCATTTCATTGACATTTTAAAAACTATTCAGATTCCCTCTTTGAATTCAAGTGTTTCAAAGATATCTTATTTTTAAATACCAAAATAGGAATAGAATATGAAGGGCTGGTTATGAGTAATATGATACACTTTTATGAGAGGATGAGATTACAATAACAATACCTCCTCTCATAGAATAGCCAGCAAGTCTCCACTAAATAACAGTGCCTTGATTTTATAGATGTTTAATCTTGGATATTGAGTTAATGTGAACCATTTGTAGACACAGGAGTTTATTAAAGAGTTATATAATATCTTTCAAGTATTTAGAATAGTGTTGAAATTAAGCCTGCATCCCCACGATTTTCAGAGGTGCTGATGCCTAATAAACTCAACCCCTTGCATGCCAAAATTGGCTTAAAGCCCACCCGTTACCCAAGCTACACTTCAAGCATCAAGGCTCAAAAATGTAATTTTAAATATGCAAGAGTTTGAGGAATTCACTACTCACACTTTCTTGAACAGTCTATCCAAGTGCATCAAGCAAAATGTGAGTAAAGAAATTTTGACCAAAGGATTGATAGTAATGTTGAATACTTTTAATAGTAGATCTAAGATTAAAAGGTGAGAGTGAGGGTGAGAAGAGTGTATGAATGCTTTGTGTTCTGACAAAGAGAATGTAGCACCCATGTCCTACGTGCTCGGTTGCATTGCCAGTGCCCACGGTAGGCTATTTTATCCCAGTTTTTAGTTTTTTTTGTTTTGTTTTGTTTTTTTCTTTTCAGGAGAATTAGTCCAAGACCAATAACTCCATAACTGGTAGAATTGGAAGACTTCAATAGTGCTTAACATTTTGTACATAGCTTTATAACAGTTTTCTTTTTCTTTTTTTCTGAGAGATTCTTTTCAATATACCCAATCATGGTCGAACTCAAAGTCATTGCTTATTTAAAATCTACAACTGCTGACGTTTTGTATCCTTCACATTCCAGGTAATTGGTTTTTTTGTGCATTTTCTGTATTTTTCTCCATCAATCTGCCTAGATATTTGTTAGATTTAATATTTTAATATTTTTCTGAAAAAGTGAGCTTTTGCAGTTTTAAACATATACTCAGTTGTTTTAATTCTGCTTTTTCATGTACTATTTCCTCGTTTTTTTTTTTTTTTTTTGATACTATGTGGGAAGCCAAATAATTTAAAGGAAACTTGGATAGTAAGGACTCAGAGGAACGGAAGTTAGTTGGCTGATTCAGATGTTTGGTGGCATAAGACTCTGTTAGTAATCTAGGCAAGCAGTAATGACAGCATCAAGGGAGTGAGGATGGACTGATAGTGTAGAATTTAAGATATAAGGTAGAATTTGCTTCCTTAATGAGTTCAGGTTTGCGTGTGTTGGGTACAAAAGTTTGATGGGACATCCGTGAAGAGAATTCCAGCCATAAGTAGTTATAAAGGTCTGGAGATCAGGAGAAATCAGAGCTAAGGGTAGGTATTCGGAGCCATCAGTATTTAGGGAGAAATGGGGCTACCCAGAAAGAGTGAGTGGATTGAAACAGAGGCCATTGATTTCAGACCAAGGTAAACAGAAGTGTGCGCTTTGATTTTTACAGGGGGAGGAAAAACCCATAATTGGTGTTTGAGCCTGTGAGAACAGTACTGTGGGCTCCCAGCATGCTTTGCTGGGTTTGATCTGTTCTAGATGTTTTTATGCTGTCAGTCTGTGATTCTCCTTCCAGACGTGGGGTAGAGTGCATAGTCAGAATATAGCCAGAGCAGCTGACAGAGGTCAAGATTCATTTTTAAGCAAAGATTCAAGAAGTTAAAAACCACACACAAGTGTTTTACTGGGCATCCTTATCCAACTACCCTATATCTTCACTTTGAAAATAGTTTAAACATTGCCTGAGAGGACACAGAACTAATAGACTTTTGGAATTCTTCTTTGCAGGCCTGTAAATTACTCTCTGATGACTATGAACAAGTGCGCAGTGCTGCAGTCTAGCTTATCTGGGTTGTCAGTCAGCTCTATCCTGAAAGGTCAGTGCGGGTGTAAGCTGGCTTTTGTTGATTGTGAAGCCGTTTTCCTCTCCTCTCACCATGCAAAAAGCCCACTTCTAGAAAAGAAATGTTGGTTAGATTTTTGGAAGGCAATGGGGAGTAAGGGAAAAGCACAGGCCCTGAAAATCAGATTGCCTGGTCCTCATTTTTCATCTCTGATAGGAACTTTCTGTACACCTTCGGAAAGACACTTCTTTTGTCCTAATCTTCTCATCCATAAGTGAAGAAATTGGAATATCTTTCTTAAATGGTTTTCAGTACTTTACAATAAAATCTTTAAAATTGTTTGGGACCCATTTTAGTTTGGCTTGCGCCAAATGCCAAAGATACCAGATGAGTTTGAGAATAATGATCTCTTATGTAGTTTTCCTGGTTAAAAATATTTTCACAGCAATTAAATTAACCACAGTGATTCTTTGAGGAGGTAGGCAATATTATTTATTATATTTTGTAAGATAGAATATTATATTTATAAATATTTATCTTTTATTTATAAATATTTATAGAATATTTTATTTTTCCTTGTATAGGAAAAAGAGGTGTTTTTTCCTCTTCATTAAACTGCCAAAATTTGAAAACCAGAATGGATTAATAAACCTGTAGGAGTAGGCTCCATTTGTAGTAGACTCCATTTTAGGACTTAGACATATACAAAGAAAAGGGCTAAGTGGAAATTGTCTCTTCTTTTAGGACTGGATTGATAAGTAAGTTTTATATTGATTTATTCTGAGATTTAATGTATTTATAGAAGTTCAGTCTGGACACGGTGGTGCCTGTAATCCCAGCACTTTTGGAGGCCGAGGTGGGCGGATCACCTCGGGTCAGGAGTTCAAGACCAGCCTGGCCAGCATGGTGAAACCTCATCTCTACTGAAAATACAAAAATTAGCCGGGCATGGTGGCACACGCCTGTAATCCCAGCTACTAGGGAGGCTAAGGCAGGAGAATCGCTTGAACCCGGGAAGTGGAGATTGCAGTGAGCTGAGATCGCACCACTGCACTCCAGCCTGGGTCACAGAGCAAGACACTTTCTCTCAAAAAAAAAAAAGAAGAAGAAGAAGAATTTCAGTTACAGAAGATAATAAACTTAAGGATATGAAATATTCGGTGGAAGCTAGTTTTTGATAATTTCATAAATCTTTGAACCTTTGGTGGGTTACGTACTTTTTTTTTAAGGCAGGGTCTTGCTCTGTGGCCCAGGCTGCAGTGCAGTGATGTGATCTCGGCTTACTGCAACCTCCAACTCCTGGGTTGAAGCAATTCTCATGCCTGAGCCTCCCAAATAGCCGGAATTACAGTTGCGCCCCACCACACCCAGCTCATTTTTTGTATTTTTAGTAGAGATGAGGTTTTGCCATGTTGGGTAGGCTAGTCTTGAACCCCTGGCTTCAGGTAATCTGCCCACCTCAGTATCTCAGTGTGCTGGGATTACACGCCTGGCTGAACCTTTGGTGGGTTACACACTTTTATTCAATACATTGAAAATTTGCACCTGATTGCAGTGGCTCAGCCCTGTAATCCTAGCACTTTGGGAGGTGAGGCGGGCGGATTGCTTGATCTCAGGAGTTTGAGATCAACCTGGGC
Source organism: Homo sapiens (assembly GCF_000001405.40). NCBI lineage: Eukaryota > Metazoa > Chordata > Mammalia > Primates > Hominidae > Homo > Homo sapiens. Next base: position 65,151,946 of record NC_000007.14, read on the forward strand.
AACATGGTGAACCGTCTCTACTAAAAATATAAAAAATTAGCTGGGTGTGGTGGCATGCTTTTGTAGTCCCAGCTACTCAGAAGAGTGAACTGGGAGGATCACCTGAGCCCAGGAAGTTGACACTGCGGTGAGCAGTGCTCATGCCAACTGCACTCCAGCCTGGGTGACAGAAGTGAGACCCTGTCTCAAAAAAAAAGCATAATTTGCAATGCAACTGAAAGAGTTGGTTTGTACTCCTAGAGTGATTTGTTTATTTCAAACTGTATTTAATCATTCTAGGATTTGAACTATTCAATTATCATTTTTGTGTGTGTCAGTCTTCATTGACTGTTCTCAGTTTATTGAGCCTGCAGCCTTACTTACTTATGTATTTATTTGTTTATTATTATTATTATTATTATTATTATTATTATTATTATTATTATTTGAGATGGAGTCTCGCTCTGTTGCCCAGGCTGGAGTGTAGTGGCACTATCTCGGATCACTGCAACCTCCACCTTCCAGGTTCAAGCGATTCTCCTGCCTCAGCCTCCTGAGTAGCTGGGATTGCAGACATGTGTCACCGTGCCTGGCTAGCTTTTATATTTTCAGTAGAGAGGAGGTTTCACCATGTTGGCCAGGCTGGTCTCGAACTCTTGACCTCAAGTTATCCACCTGCCTCAGCCTCCCAAAGTGCTGGGATTACAGGCGTGAGCCATTGCACCCAGACTGTATTTATTTTTTGAGACAGGGTCTTGCTCCGTCATCCAGGCTGGAGTGCCGGGGTGTGATCTCAGCTCACTGCAACCTTCACCTCCAGAGCTAAAGTTATGTTCCCACTTCAGCCTCCCAAGTAGCTGGGACTATCAGCGCATGCCACCATGCCTAGCTAATTTTTGTATTTTTTTTGTAGAGATGAGGTTTTGCCATATTGCTCAGGTTGGTCTTGAACTCTTGGGCTCAAGCAATCTACCTGCCTGGGCCTCCCAAAGTGTTGGGATTATAGATGTGAGCCACTGTGCATGGCCTGAATCTGCAGACTTAGATTCATGTTTTGTTCTAAGTGATTTCATTTCTTTTCTTTTAATTTAGCATTGTCCCAATTCCTTCTTCTAATGAAGAAATACGCTTAGTTGATGATGCGTTTGGAAAAATTTGTCACATGGTCAGTGATGGCTCTTGGGTGGTTCATGTTCAGGCAGCAAAACTGTTGGTAAGTTATACTTTTTATGTATGTATGAATGCATGTATATATTTATTTGTTTTCTTTTCTGTAGAAATGAGGCCTGTGTGGCCCAGGTTGGTCTCAAACTCTTGGCCTCAAGCAGTCCTCCTGCCTCAGCCTCCCAAAAGACTGGGATTATAGGCTGGGTGCGGTGACTCACACCTGTAATTCCAGCACTTTGGGAGGCGAAGGCGGGTGGATCACGAGGTCAGGAGATTGAGACCATCCTGGCCAACATGGTAAAACCCCGTCTCTACTAAAAATACAAAAATTAGCTGGGGCATGGTGGCGCACGCCTGTAATCCCAGCTACTTGGGAGGCTGAGGCAGGAGAATCGCTTGAACCCGGAGGTGGAAGTTGCAGCGAGCCAAGATCACGCTGCTGGACTCCGGCCTGGTGACAAGGAGGAGACTCTCATCTTAAAAAAAAAAAAAAGGCTGGGATTATAGATGTGAGCCACTACACCCAGCCAATAATCCTTTTTTTAAATGAACACATTGCTTGTTAAGTTTTTACAAACATTTTGAGAAACTACAGATGGGGCAGTGTGACCTGAATTTAAAACCCCAGAATTTCTTTTTCTTTTTCTTTTCTTGAGACAGGGTCTTCCTCTGTTGCTCAGGCAGGAGTGCAATGGGGCAGTCACGGCTCACTGCAGCCTCGACCTGCCAGGCTCAAGCGATCCTTCCACCTCAGCCTCCTGAGTAGCTGGGACTACAGGCATGTGCCACCCTGCCTAGCTAATTTGTATTTTTTGTAGAGATGGGGTCTTGCTTTGTGCCCAGGCTGGTCTTGAATTCCTAGGCTCAAGTGATCCTTCTGCCTTGGCCTCCCAAATTGTTGGGATTACAGGTTTAAGCCACTACTCCCAGCCCCAGAATTTCTTAATATAGAAAGAAATAGTTCACTCTCCTGTTCACTTTTAGAACTAGAAAGAATCTTAAAACATAATTCTATTAACCCTACTAGGAATTAAGATAGCCGGAGCCTAGAGAAAAAGGAAAACAATAAAAAAAAAGTTTTTCCCATTTATTAAGCACTTGTTATGTCCTAGTTCAGGAGGCTCAAACCCCCAGGCTGTGGACCAGTCCTGGTCCATGGCTTGTTAGGAACCAGGCCACACAACAGGAGGTGAGTGGTAGATGAGCAAGTATTACTGCCTGAGTGCTGCCTGCTGTCAGATCAGCAGCTGCATTAGATTATCATAGGAGTGTGAACCCTATTGTGAACTGAGCATGTGTGGGATCTAGGTTTCATGCTCCTTGTGAGAGTCTAATTCCTGATGATCTGAGGTGGAACAGTTTCATCCTAAAACCACCCTGCTTCACCACCCTCTCTGGTTTCTTCAATGAAGCTGAACCCAGATGCCAAAAAGGTGGGGGACCACTATCTTAGATAATTTGAAGGAGGCCCCTTACATATATTTTCTCATTTTCTCTTTACAGTAATCCTGCAAGATAGATGCCATTATCCAGTTGGGGCATGGTGGCTCATGCCCATAATCCTAGCACTTTAGGAGGCCGAGGTGGGTGGGTCACTTGAGCCCAGGAGTTCAAGACCAGCCTGGGCAACACAGCTAGATCCCATCTCTATTTTTCAAAAAATAAAATTTTAAAAAATTTAAGAAAAATTTTTTTAAATGCTGTTATCATTTTCTAGATGAGAAAACTAAGGCTCTGAGGAGTTAAGTAAGTTATCCAGCTTATACAGACAGAAAATTGTAGAGTGAGGTCAGATCCTGATCTTGCATCTTTTAGCCTGGTACTTTTCTGTTTTCTTTTTGAGGACTCAGCACATTTATTGAAAATTTTTAACTTTTGTGGCTCACGCCTGTAATCCCAGTACTTTGGGAGGCCAAGGTGGGCGGATCACGAGGTCAAGAGATTGAGACCATCCTGGCCGACATGGTGAAACCCCGTCTCTACTAAAAATATAAAAATTAGCTGGGCGTGGTGGTGCACGCCTCTAGTCCTAGCTACTTGGGAAGCTGAGACAGGAGAATCGCTTGAACCCGGGAGGCAGAGGTTACCCGGGAGGCAGAGGTTACCCGGGAGGCAGAGGCGCAGTGGCTCACACCTATAATCCCAGCACTTTGGGAGGCCGAAGCGGGCAAATCACTTGAGGTCAGGAGTTCGAGACCAGCCTGGCCAACATGGTGAAACCCCATCTCTACTAAAAATACAAAAACTAGCCTGGTGTGATGACACACACCTGTAGTTCCAGCTATTCTGGAGGCTGAGGTGGGAGAATCACTTGAACCTGGGAGGCAGGGGTTGCAGTGAGCTGAGATTGTGCCATTGCACTCCAGCCTGTGCAAAAGAGCGAGACCCTGTCTCAAAAAAAAAATTGTTTAACTTTTAAGGGATAAAATTGTTTTGTAATAGAGTGTTGGCCTAATAGCCTTATTTTATATCTGTGTTACCTTGTATATGTCACTTGATATTAGTCTCAGTTTCCTCATCTGTTAAGTGGGGTTCTAATATCTCTCATATTTACCTGACAGTGTTGTCATGATGCTCAAATGAGATACAGTCTATGAAAATGTTTATAAACTAAAAAGTACTATACTATGTAGGGTGGATGGGGGCATAGTATATAACTATATGTGTGTGTAAGTATCTATAAAAATTTGTATACGTGTCACAGCAGGAAAATCTGTGATTCTTTTTGGACACTTCCCCTTTGAGTGCCCCCAGCCCTGCCACTCTTGGTGAGACTGTTGGCTGAATGCTTTGTTTCTGACTGTACTGGACACTGATCCAGTGATAGCTTTAGTCCTGTGACCAGTATTTATGGGAGTACTTGCTGAAACCTGTGTGAAGCATTTTCATGAGATATAGTAATGGATGATTGGAGTATTTCCACTCTTGTGCATATTAGAGTTAAACAAGCCAGCTGTTACTGATTTTATTTCTGAATTCATATTTTAAAACTTTCTTTTGGGTTATGAATGTTTTAAAATTCAGAACAGTCTAATCATTCATCAGATCCTTTCATTTGGCATTTACAGAGGATCTACAACGAACTCTAGGTGGGAGTGGGGAAGAGAAAGATGTTTTAGAGGAGTAAATTAATGATATATCTTTACCTGAATAGGCAGTTTTAAAAAGTAATCCTTAAAGTAAGAATCATTCAAAATTTTCAGTTTTGTACTCTATAGGATCTGAAATTTATTTGCATAAAGTTGTATGTATAACATATGGTACATTGAAAGGATTTCTACTTGAATGACTCTAACTTGAGTCACATGCCTTGTGTTATAATTCCATGTTAAATCCAAACAGCTTCAAATTATATAAGTAATTATGTTTGTATTCAGAAATAATAATCATTCTTACCTTGCTGATAATAATAATTACTACTATGTATAGAGTTCCTGGCCTACTAAATGAGGCATTTTTAGTCATACATACACACATAAATACACACATATTCACATATAAATATTAACCCACTTCTTTATATACAAGCACACATGCCTAACTCATTTGCATACTTTTGCAAGTAACTTTTAATCTTTTTAAACTCTCTGAGGTAAATGTATTACTTATAAATAACAAAATTAAAATTTAGGAATGTGGTATAATTTTTCTGAGACCACACAGATAGTAAATGATAGATGAGGACTTCAAACTTCATAATCTAAAGCCCATGTATAATCCTTTCCTGGTGAGTATCCAGTTACACATTGGGATTGGCCAGTTAAGGCCCTGCTGGTTTATTAGTATCTCTGTGCAAGCTAAGAGGTAAAGCTGCCCTACTCCAGCTCTCCAGTAGATGAACCTGTGATCAAGTGATTTGTGTATAATCTTTCATTAAAAATTAATTAATTTTTAAAAATTGACACATTGGTTGAACTAGTTTACAGTCCCACCAACAGTGTAAAAGTGTTCCTATTTCTCCACATCCTCTCCAGCACCTGTTGTTTCCTGACTTGTTAATGATCACCATTCTAACTGGTGTGAGATGGTATCTCATTATGGTTTTGATTTGCATTTCTCTGATGGCCAGGGATGATGAGCATGTTTTCCTGTGTCTTTTGGCTGCATAAATGTCTTCTTTTGAGAAGTGTCTGTTCATATCCTTTGCCCACTTTTTCATGGGGCTGTTTGTTTTCTTCTTGTAGATTTGTTTGAGTTCATTGTAGATTCTGGATATTAGCCCTTTGTCAGATGAGTAGATTGCAACAATTTTCTCCCATTCTGTAGGTTGCCTGTTCACTCTGATGGTAGTTTCTTTTGCTGTGCAGAAGCTCTTTAGTTTAATTAGATCCCATTTGTCAATTTTGGCCTTTGTTGCCATTGCTTTTGGTGTTTTAGATATGAAGTCCTTGCCCATGCCTGGGTCCTGAATGGTATTGCCTAGGTTTTCTTCTAGGGTTTTTATGGTTTTAGTTCTAACATGTAAGTCTTTCATCCATCTTGAATTAATTTTTGTCTAAGGTGTAAGGAAGGGATCCAGTTTCAGCTTTCTACATATGGCTAGCCAGTTTTCCCGTCACCATTTATTAAATAGGGAATCCTTTCCCCATTTCTTGTTTTTGTCAGATTTGTCAAAGATCAGATGGTTGTAGATATGCGGCATTATTTCTGAGGGCTCTGTTCTGTTCCATTGATCTATATCTCTGTTTTGGTACCTGTGGCGATTCCTCAGGGATCTTGAACTAGAAATACCATTTGACCCAGCAATCCCATTACTTGGTATATACCCAAAGGATTATAAATCACACTGCTATAAAGACACAAGCACACGTATGTTTATTGTGGCACTATTCACAATAGCAAAGACTTGGAACCAAGCCAAATGTCCAACAATGACAGACTGGATTAAGAAAATGTGGCACATATACACCATAGAATACTATGCAGCCATAAAAAAGGATGAGTTCATTTCCTTTGTAGGGACATGGATGAAGCTGGAAACCATCATTCTCAGCAAACTATCGCAAGGACAAAAAACCAAACACCGCATATTCTCACTCATAGGTGGGAATTGAACAATGAGAACACATGGACACAGGAAGGGGAACATCACACACCAGCGCCTGTTGTGGGGTGGGGGGAGGGGGAGGTATAGCACTAGGAGATATACCTAATGTTAAATGACGAGTTGATGGGTGCAGCACACCAACATGGCATATGTATACATATGTAACTAACCTGCACATTGTGCACATGTACCCTAAAACTTAAAGTATAATGAAACAAACAAACAAACAAACAAAAATTGACACATTGTATATATGGGGCACAAGTTGATGTTTTGATACACATCTATGTTGAATATTAATCCAATCAGGATAGTTAGTATAGTTATCACATCATACATTTATCATTTCTTTGCCATGAACTTTCAACAGCCTCTCTTACAGCTATAATATTGTATATTTTGTAATATACAATATTTTACTGTTAATCATAGTCACCTTTATGTGCAGTTGAACACCAGAATTTATTTCTCTTAATTGTGACTTTGTATCTGTTGTCCAGTCTCTTCCCATTCTCTCCTACTCCCTCCCCTCCCCAGTGTCTGCTAACCACTGTTATACTCTCTGCCTCTATGATATCAATTTTTTTCTGAATACTTTAAGTTCTGGGATACATGTGCAGAACGTGCAGGTTTGTGACATAGGTATACATGTGCCATGGTAGTTTGCTGCACCCGTCTACCTATCATCTACATTAGGTATTTCTCCTAATGCTGTTCCTCCCCGAGCCCCCCACCCTCTGACAGTCCCTGGTGTGTGATGTTTCCCTCCTTGTGTCCATGTGTTCACATTGTTCAACTCTCACTTATAAGTGAGAACATGTGGTATTTGGTTTTCTGTTCTTGTGTTAGTTTGCTGAGAATGATGGTTTCCAGCTTCATCCATGTCCCTGCACAGAACATGAACTCATCCTTTTTTATGGCTGCATGGTATTCCATGGTGTATATGCGCCACATTTTCTTTGTCCAGTCTATCATTGATGGGCCTTTGGGTTGGTTCCAAGTCTTTGCTGTTGTGAACAGTGCTGCAATAAACATACGTGTGCATGTGTTTTTATAGTAGAATGATTTATAATCCTTTGGGTATATACCCAGTAATGGGATTGCTGGGTCAAATGGTATTTCTGGTTCTAGATCCTTGAGGAATCGCCATGCTGTCTTCCACAATGGCTGAACTAATTTACACTCCCACCAACAGTGTGAAAGTGTTCCTGTTTCTCCACATCCTCTCCAGCACCTGTGGTTTTCTGTCTTTTTAATGATTGCCATTCTAACTGGTGTGAGATGGTATCTCATTGTGGTTTTGATTTGCATTTCTCTAATGACCAGTGATGATGAGCTTTCTTTCATATGTTTGTCGGTCACATAAATGTCTTCTTTTAAGAAGTGTCTGTTCATATCCTTCACCCACTTTTTGATGGGGTTTTGTTGTGTTTTTTTTTTTGTAAATTTGTTTAAGTTCTTTTTAGATTCTGGATATTAGCTCTTTGTCAGATGGATAGATTGCAAAAACTTTCTCCCATTCTGTAGGTTGCCTGTTCACTCTGATGATAGTTTCTTTTGCTGTGCAGAAGCTCTTTAGTTTAATTAGAACCTATTTCTCAATTTTGGCTTCGTTGCCATTGCTTTTGGTGTTTTAGTCATGAAGTCTTTGCCCATGCCTATGTCCTGAATGGTATTGCCTAGGTTTTCTTCTAGGGTTTTTATGGTTTTAGGTCTTATGTTTAAGTCTTAGATCAGGCAGTATTTGTCTTTCCATGTCTGGCTTATTTCACTTTACATGATGTCCTCCAGGTTAATCGATGTGGCAAATTACAAGATTTTATTCTTTTTTTATTTTCTTTAAGTCAGGGTCTTGCTCTGTTGCCTAGGCTGGAGTGCGGTTCCACGATTGCACAGTCATAGCTCACAGCAACCTCAAACTCCTGGGGACTCCATCCTGGACAACAGCAAAACTGTCCCTAAAAAAAATTAAAAACCAGATTGTTCTTCTTTTTTGATGTAGCCATTTATTGCTGTATACTTATCTCTTAGAACTGCTTTTGTTGCATACCATAGGTTTTGGTATATGTTTTGATTCTTGCTTGTGAAGCGTGTTTCTTCTAGGCAATGTATACTTAGATTTTGTGTTTTAATCTATTCAACCAATGTATACCTTTTTTTTTTTTCTTTCTTTGAGACAGGGTGTCTGTCTCTCTGTTGCCCAGGCTGTAGTGTACCTTTTAATTGAAGAACTTAATCCATTTATATTCAAGATTTTTTTCTACTTCTTCTTCTTCTTTTTTTTTTTTTTTTGTTTCTTTGAGACAGGGTCTCACTCCGTCACCTAGGCTGGAATGCACTGGTGTGATCTCAACTCACTGCAACCTTCACCTCCTGGGTTCAAGTGATTCTCGTGCCCCAACCTCCCCAGTACCGGGATTACAGGCATGTGCCACCATGCCCAACTAATTTTTTTGCATTTTTATTAGAGACGGGTTTTGCCATGTCGGCCATGCTGGTCTCAAACTCCTGGCCTCAAGTGATTCGCTTGCCTTGGCCTCCCAAGGTGCTGGGATTACAGGCATGAGCCACCATGTCCAGCTATATTCAAGATTGTTATTGATAGATAAGGTCTTATTCCTGCCATTTTGTTAATTACTTTTTGGTGGTTTTGGAGATCCTTTGTTCTTGTCTTCCTTTCTTGTTGTTTACCTCTGATTTAGTGGTTTTCTGTGGGGCCAAGCTTTGTTTTCATTCTCTTTCTTGTTTGTGTATCTGCTGTAACTTTTTTCTACATAGACTATAGAGTCTTCAGTTAGGCTGGTGTGGTGGCTCTTGCCTATTATCCCAGCACTTTGGGAGGCTGAGGCAGGCAGATCGCTTGAGCTCATGAGTTTGAGACCAGCCTGGGCAACATAGTGAGACCTCGTTTCTACTAAATAAAGAAAAAAGAAATCAGCCGGGCATGGTGGCACACACCTGTAGTCTCAGCTACCCAGGAGGCTGAGGTGGGAGGACCACTTGAGCCTGGAAGATTGAGGCTGCAGTGAGCCATGATCAGGCCACTATGCTCTAGCGTGGGCATCAGAGTAAGACTGTCTCAAAGGGGAAAAACAGTTACAATAGAATGTTTTAAGCTGATAGCAACTCAACTTTGGTTACATAAAAGGACCCTAGGTTTTTTCCCTCCCCCCTTCAATTTATATTTTTGTTGCCTTAATTTTCTTCTTCATCTGTTATGTGTTCCTTAGCTACTATTTGTAGCTGTTGTAGTTTTTGACCATTTTAAATTTAACCTTCATACTAGCAGATTGAATATTTTATATGACATATTGTATCACTGGGGTTTGATCTGTTTGATTTATGAGTTTACCTTTACTGGTGAGTTTTATACTTTTGTGTGTTGTTATGATAGTGATTATTGTCCTTTTGTTTCTAGTTGTAGCATTCAATACCTTGAATATATTAATTCTATCCCATTCTCTGCTGGTCTACAAGGTTTCTACTGAGAAATCTATTGATAGTAATGGAGATTCTCTTGACAATTTTCTCTTGCAGCTTTGAAAGTCTTACTCTTTGACTTTCGATAGTTTGATTATAATGCACCTTGGAGAGGATCTTTTTGGGTTGAATGTAATTGCGAACCTTTGAACTTCCTGAATCTGGATGTCCGTATTTCTCCCACTACTTGGCAAGTTTTCAGCTATCATTTCATCAAATAGGTTTTCTGCGCCTTTCTCTATCTCTTCTCCATCAGGCAGTCTTCAATGCAAGTATTTGTTTGCCTATTGATGTCCCATATGTTCCAAGGCTTTCTTTTTTATTCTTATTTGTTTTTTTTTTTCCCTCTTAATGGGTTATTTCAAAAGACCTGTCTTCAAGGTCAGAAATTCTTTCTTCTGCTTGATCCTAGTCTATTGTTGAAGCTCTCAACTGTATACTATTTTTATTTTTTTCATTGAATTCTTCAGTTCCAAGATTTCTGTTTGGTTCTTTTTTATGATATTGATTTTGTTGAATTTCTCATTCGGATCATGAATTGTTTTCCTGATTTCATTTAATTGTTTGTCTGTATTCTCTTGTATCTCACTGAGTTTCCTTTAGATCACTATTTTGAATTCCTTTTCAGGCATTTTGTAAGTGTCCTTTTCTTTGGGGTCTGTCATTGGAGACTTTTTTCCTTTTTTTTTTTTTTTTGAGACAGGGTCTTGCTCTGTCACCCAAGCTGAAGTGCAGTGGCATGATCTCAGCTCACTGCAACCTTCTCCTCCTGGGTTTAAGTGATCCTCCCACCTCAGCCTGCTGAGTAGCTAGGACTACAGGCGCATGCCACCACACCCGACTAATTTTTTTATATTTTGTAGAGACGGGTTTTGCCATGTTGCCCAGAATGGTCTTGAACTCCTGAGCTCATGCTATCTGGCTGTCTTGGCCTCCCAGAGTGCTGGGATTACAGATGTGAGCCACTGCCTCCAGCCAGGAGACTTAACCGTATTCCTTTGAGGGTGTCATGTTTCCTTGATTTTCATTTATCGTGTGCAAGATACTGGATGTTGATATGTGTGCATTTAGTAGCGTAGTTGCTCTTTTCAATTTTATTGAGTAGCTAGTATATAGTAACAGTCTTTTTCTGTAGATGGTTTTAGGGTATTAGCTGGGTATGGTGTGTTGCCTTTGGTTCTGGGTGGACTCAATGGGTGGTGTAATAATCCTTGTCAGCTTCAGCTGTAATCTTCAGCTATAATCCTAGTCATTGATGTTTGCAATTGCCTCAGTTGCCTAGGCTGTGGGAGTTTGTGATGGCAATGCTATAGATGAGGGTACCGAGCTGATTTTTGGCCAAGACATGTACAGGCTAAAATGGCTGCCGGGCTGTCTATCTGGTTTTCCAGGGAGGCGGTAGTTACTGCTGTGGTGGCTGTCGTGCTGGGCTCAGGCCTTTGCTGCAGCGGCCTGCTGGGCAGCTCTGTGGCTACGTAGGGAGATGGGGCTACTGCCTGGTTGGCTGTTGCTTTGGGCTAGGCTCAAATGCTTTTGTGCAGTGGGGCTGGGCAGTTTGGCAGCAGTCTATGGTAGGGGGCCAGGGCTACCACAGGACCAGTTGGACTGTGTGCTGTGGGACTGTGGGACTCTATTGTGGCCTGTTTTAGGGGACAGGACCACTGAATTGCCAGCTATCAGGCAGGGCGTGGGCAGGTGGTTCTGTGATGGGTTGTGAGGAAGTAGGGCTGCCGCAGGATTGGCTTTTTGGCTGAGTACTGGCGCATGCATACTTGGCAGCCCAGATGGTTGTATGGAACAGGGGTGTTGGGTAAAGCGCTGCCAGCTGTCTATTTGATGGCTTCCTTGCTGTGCAGGTCTGCCTGTTTTCTGGGTGGTTGGTAGCGCTGTGTGGGGTCTGATGCTGAAATCATCGTCACTCTGTTTGACCTAGACTCTATGTGGATGGGGTTATGGTGCTGCAGGCCATCGTGTGATCACGGTAAAATGATGGCTGGTTCTCAGGGATGAAGAGAGTCAGTTGCTACTGGTCCCCAGGGCAGGATGCACACTAGTAGTGAGTCTAGCTTCAACTTGGTGCCATGCTACAGCAGCTTAGGACAAGGTGGGCTCCCACTCTGAGGCAATACAGCTGAATGATCTCTTGGCTACTCTCCAGACTGGATTTGTGGCCACTGAGGACTTAAGGACTGTCCTTTATCAAGAATTGCTGGTGCCTGTGGCAGCAGTGGGGACCACTGATAGGTATCTCCAGCTTACTCTTTCCCTGTAAGAAGTTCCTCTGATTTTAAGCTGATTTTGGCAAGGGAGACAATGTGGCAGGTAGGAAGCCTCACCCTGTGGTGCTATCCTGAGGCTTCCATGTTCCACAGGGATTTTGCCCTTTCTCTGGTGCTCTGCAGCATATATCTACAGTCATTTTAGTTGAAATATAGTTATTTGTTATTTTGGTCTCTTTTGTTGTGGGTGATGTGTGCCAGGTAACTCTGGTGAGCCATTTTTTTTAAACAAATCTGCATACAGATTGAGTATCCCCTATCCAAAATGCTTGAGACCAGAAGTGTTTTGGATTTTGTTTTGTTTTGTTTTGTTTTTGGATTTTGGAATATTTTATTTGTATTAGACTTACTTGTTGGGCATCCCAAATCTGAAATATGCTCCAAAATCCAAAATCTGAAGTGCTCCAGTGAACATTTCCTTTGAGCATCATGTTGGTACTCAAAAAGTTTTGGATTTTGGAGCATTTTGGATTTCAGATTTTTGGAATTGGGATGTTCAACCTGTATAATCTTTAGATCACCTGTTCAGCAAATCGACAAACACCGAGGACAGTTTCTGTCTGCAACGAAGTTGACAGTCAGGTAGCCAGGGATAGCTAATCAGTGAATAACAATACCTGGTACTGGTAGGAAAGAGCACCAACCACAACCACAGAAGCCTTCTTGGAGGAGCTGATCTCTGAACTGAGTTTTGAAGGATGAGTAACTAGGTAGCAATGCAGAGAAAGAGAAAATATGAGCAGGGATATAAAAGCAGTACATTATCATGCATAGCAATATACTAAGCTGCAATATCATACTAAACTACAAGCAGTCTAGTGCTTTCTAGTTGGGGGGTAATGTTCAATATAGGGGATCTGTAATGAGGTAAGTTGGAGAGGAAAACAGAAGCCAGGTTCTGCAACAACTTAGCTTTGTAGCCTCGAGTCTATCTTGCTTAAAAAGTGAATAGTTTCCAATCCCTTTGGCTTATAGCGTATGAAAAATTTTCTGATATGTGTTATATCAGAAAATTCAAAACCATGTAAAAGAGGTTAGCTTTTACTTATTTATAACTGCCCTCTTTGTGGGGCAAAGAAACTTGAGGTCCCAGTAAGCAGATTCATGGGACTATTTAGAATACAATCACTACTTTTATAAGCCTTAAGAAGTCATTGACCTTGAAAATTACAACATTTTCAGACTGTTAGGTTATAGACTTTTATGCCTGTAAGTCTGCCCATGACTGGTCTTTCCCAGGGTAAATGCAGATATTCCTAGTTAGTGGCAGTTTTATGTCTGATGTACTTATCACCCAGTTGCATAGACTTATGTTATTTATACCAGTTGAGCAGTTTTTGCTCTTCAAGCAGGTGTGATAATTGTTAAATATCTTGTATCTAAATTTCACATACATTTAATAAGGCTCTCAAGTGAAATGGTTTTCTCAGTGTTAAGTAAGGTTTTCATAGCATTAACTACCTAAATTTAGGTTGTTAAGTAGTGCTAGTAGTACAGTTGGAGAGATTCCATCTTAATCTAAACATATTTGTCTTGGTTAAAGTATACCAGAATGTAGCTTTTTTTCTCATTGGTGAGGTGCACTTTATAATGAACTCATTATCTTTTTGGTCCAAATCTGTTTCTCTATGTTTTCGTAAGTGATACTATCATCTGCTAAGTCATGAACCAGAGGAATTTAGGAATAGTTTTTCTATGTCTTACATCCATTGAGTCACAACTCATATCAGTTCTTCCTTCTTGACATCCCCTAAATCCATCCCTTCTCCATTTCCACTGGTCCTGCAGTAATAGACATCTCACCATTTTTCAAGTGGATTACTATGCTATAGGACTCTGTGTCTGTGGACTTAAAATGGAAAGCTTCACCTATTCTTAGGTGACATTGAAAATTTATTTCAAGTAATGATATTTAATTTTGGGGGGCACAAATTTGCATAGTACTCCCTCTGTGCTGCTGTGTTGGTTGAGCGTGCAGCTGAGGGCATTGGAGGAGGGCACTGGGAATTATGGATGAAGCAACTTACTGTGAAGTCATGAAAACTTTTATTCTAGTAGAAAAAAGCCAACAGCTAATGCTGGTGGTAAAAGTAGAGAGAGATTTAGGAGGTCTTAAGCGTTTATAGTTCTTATTTATAAAATTGTTGTTGGGATTTAAAAAATGGATGTTAGATATGACATTGACTCAGATCTGTGTAACAAAAGAAAAAGTGGTTTTGAAACTACTTTAGTCAAAATAGTACAGCAGTTGTTTTTGTGGAATCATAGGAAAGGTGTTAACTTGAGTAAGGACATTCCCCAGGAACATGTCATTTTCTGTGAAAAATTTGGTTAGAGAAAAGATCTGAGCCTGTATAAGCATTTCCGCATTTATTAACTTAGGAATTAGAGAAGATCTCAGATAAATTTCTTAACGTCTAGGACCTGCTCCAACAGCCTCTGAAACTAGTCTTTTTGCTTTCATTTTGATTCCTTATGGTCCATTAGTCATACTGTTGCAAGATGGGCTTTATGAAATATAAATCTATGTTCTCCCTTACTTAAAATGAGTAAGTTGACTAATCTCAGCCTCGTTTGTCATCTAGAAAATGGGGATGAGAGGTATATGGGATTATTGGGAAGAATAAATTGGAAAAATATAAGTAAAATATTTTATACATTGTTAAGCTCATTAGATGTTTAACAGGGATTATGTAATAATTATTTATAAGGCAAACCCCTTACTATGGCAAATAAGGCTCTTTATTATCCTATCTCTACTGCCTCATTTTCAGGAGCCCTATCTTACGTTCCATTCGTAAAACCACTTAATATTTCCCACTTGGCATTTGCACTGTGATTTTCATTTCTCCAAGTATACCTCTCCCTGCCTGTACCTTAATACTGCTTGTTCTCTCCATTCCCGTGTCATCATTCATAGATGTGTATTACAGCATTGCATACCTTGTCAGTTTCCCTTACTAGTCTGTGAGATTGTTGAGTGTACAGCTGTTGTCTTTTTATTTTTGTATTCTTGTTCCTGGTAACTGTAGACATATAATTGAATGGTTGCTAAATATTTGTTTAATTGAATGCATGAATGAATGAACAGATGAATGGAAAGAAGAATGAAAAGGAGTGGAGAGTAGTCGTTAAGGGAAAGGATTTTGGAGGCTGGATTTATCTCCTAGCTCTGGAATTTATTCTTTGTGACCGTCAATATGTTATTTAATCTTTTTGTGTCTTTTCTCCATATATAAAATGGGACTAATATAGTATTTACTTCTCAGGGTTATAGTGAGGATTTAAATGAGTTAATATACGTCTAAAGCCCTTAGAATAGTACATGACACATAGTGGCCGGGCGTGGTGGCTCACGCCTGTAATCCCAGCACTTTGGGAGGCCGAGGCAGGCAGATCACCTGAGGTCAGGAGTTTGAGACTAGCCTGCTCAACGTGGTGAAACCCCGTCTCTACTAAAAATACAAAAAAATTAGCTGGACATGGTGGCGGGCACCTGTAATCCAGCTACTCAGGAGGCTGAGGCAGGAGAATTGCTTGAACCTGGGTGGCGGAGGTTGCAATGAGCTGAGATCATGCCACTGCACTCCAGCCTGGGTGACAAGAGCAAAACTCCATCTCAGGAAGAAAAAAAAGAAGAAAGAAAGCACAGTAGGTGACACATAGTAAGCTCTATTTAGGTGTTAGCTGCTGCTAATATTTTTATTTTCCTGCTGATTCAGAACCCATAGCATCTTTACTGTCATGAATAATATTATCTTTATGCACTTAAATTGGCTATAGACTGAATTTTAAGATAATGTTCAAATCATAAAAGTTGTTTTATATGCTCTGGATTTTTCTTTTTATAGGGCTCTATGGAGCAAGTCAGTTCTCATTTCTTGGAGCAGACCCTTGACAAGAAGCTGATGTCAGATCTGAGGGTACCTTTTATTCTTCGTTGTTTAAACTGGGTTTCTGTAACCAATGTAGGGGGGCAGTATTGTGAGTTGTGTTGATTTAACTTAGCAGCATTTGTTAAATTAACGTATGAGAACTGTATTACATTTTAATTTAAAATCTTAGTAAATTGAAGCAAATAACAAGTGACTTCATTAAATTTCGTATTATTGTAATGAAATACTTTGCACAGGTTATGCTTTACAAAAAAGAGGCAAGATTAATTTTCTAAGCCAGGTGCAGTGGCTCACACCTGTAATCCCAGCACTTTGGGAGGCTGAGGCAGGTAGATCACTTGCGGCCGGGAGTTTGAGACCAGTCCGGCCAACATGATGAACTCCGTCTCAACTAAAAAACAAAAATTAGCTAGGTGTGGTGGCATGTGCCTGTAGTCCCAGCTACTTGGGTGACTGAGGCAGAGAATCACTTGAACCCTGGAGACCAGAGGTTGCAGTGAGCCGAGATCGCACCACTGCACTCCAGCCTAGGCAACAGAGTGGGACTCTGTCTCAAAAAACAAAACCCAAAAAACAACAACAAAAAACCCCCAGAAAACCCCAAAAGATTAATTTTCTATTTGTTAGGAACTACAAAGGCCCATTCTCATTTTGTGAGATGGTATGACATTTTAGGACTCCTTTTCAGCAGCAGTTACCATGGAAGACTGAGTAAAGCCTTTCTCCAAACAGTAACAAAATACCCCCCACCCCACGCCATTTTTTCTTCTTTTTTTTTTGAAACTGGGTCTCACTCTGTTGCCCAGGCTGGAACGCAGTGGCACAATCATTACTCAATGCAACTTTGATCTCCTGGGCTCAAGCATTCCTCCCACCTCACCCTCCTGAGTAGCTGGGACTACAAGCATACCTCACCATGCCCAGCTAATTTTTTTTATCTTTAGTAGAGATGAGGTCTTGCTCTGTTCCTCATGTTGGTCTTGAACTCCTGAGCCCAGGCAGTCTTCTTGCCTCTGCCTCCCAAAGTGCTGGGATTACAGATGTGAGCCATTGTGCCCGGCCCCAAATGCCTCTTATGAAATGCCCTTAAGCTTTGATTGTGATGGTTCACTAACGTGGTTTGCAGAACCAAATTTGAGTCTGAGAAAATAATATGTACATTCATTGTTAGTACCTCAATTTTGAAATTATAAAAGTGATATTATAGAGTTGTAGAATTTTTGATAAGGGAAAGGAAAACAATTTACCCATATGCCTGCTACCCTAATATAATGACTTTGGTCATTTTGGTATATGTCTCTCAGCTCTTTTTCTGGTGCGTGGTTTTTTTGTTTGTTTGTTTGTTTTGTTTTGTTTTGTTTTGTTTTGTTTGAGACAGGGTCTCGCTCTGTCGCCCAGGCTGGAGTGCAGTGGTGCGATCTTGGTTCACTGCAACCTCTGCCTCCTGGGCTCAAGTGATCCTCTCACGTCGGCCTCCTGAGTAGCTGGGACTACAGGTGTGTACCACCACACCCGGCTAATTTTTTGTAGTTTTTTAGAGATGGGGTTTCATGAGAGGCTGATGTATAAAGCAGAGTGCCAGGTCATTCATTTGTGATGAGAACCATAACTGTCAAGTGGACTGGATACACTAACCGGTATATTCCACCTTAGGCAATCTCTGTGTAAAGTGAGTTTACTAGATTATTTAGTGACTGTACTGTAGCTGAAATAGAACGCAATGTTGCCAAATAGAAAAATACTTTTACTGGGACTGAAGATAATTTTTTTTTTTGAGGCAGAGTCTCACTCTGTCGCCAGGCTGGAGTGCAGTGGCATGATCTCGGCTCACTGCAACCTCCACCTCCTGAGTAGCTGGGACTACAGGCACGTGCCACCACGCCCAGCTAATTTTTGTACTTAGAGTAAAGATGGAGTTTCAACATGTTGGCCAGGATGGTCTCAATCTCCTGACCTCATGATCAGCCTGCCTTGGCCTCCCAAAGTGCTGGGATTACAGGTGTGAGCCACCTGCTCCCTGCCCGATAATTGTTTTCTTAGAGTCAATGTATTGTCTACCCAAGATGGTTTTTTGGAGGGGCACTGCCATTATTTGCCTCTCTGGCTCTCTCTTTTCCTATGTTGCTGCCACAGCAAACATAACCAACTTTCTTAACACATTCTTCAGCTATCTTTATCCTCTTTAATTAGGTACTTTCAGCTATTATAGACCAGCAAGGCTTTGGTTTCATTTTAAGTTGAATTTGCATTTCTCTTGTATGAACTACTGATAATTTTTACAAACGTAACTCTCAAAGAGCAGTTTTATTTTCTGCCTTCCCATGTTCTCAGGGTTCATCTTAGTGTTCCTTCATGAACCTCCTACAATTGGTAATTGTTGTTGTCCTCTGCAGAGGAAACGTACTGCACATGAGCGTGCCAAGGAACTTTACAGTTCAGGGGAGTTTTCCAGTGGCAGAAAGTGGGAAGATGATGCTCCCAAGGAAGAAGTAGATACCGGGGCTGTGAACTTGATTGAGTCAGGAGCTTGTGGAGCTTTTGTTCATGGGTTGGAAGATGAGATGTATGGTAAGTATGACTGTATAATAGCAATAGCACTCTTTAAGTGACTGCTGTGTGTCAGGCATTGTACTGGGTGATACACATGTATCGTTTCATTTAGTCCTCACAGTAACTCTGGGAAGTACTTACTATGCTTTTTATTTTACACACAGAAGAGACTGAGGCCCCAGTAGTATGAGACAATGGTAAAGAGCAAGAGATTTGGGTTCAGTCAATCTATATTTAAATTCCAGCATTTTTATAAAACAGGGATAATAATAACTATCTTTCTGAGTTGTGAGAATTAAATGAGGTTCTGTATACATAAAGCACTTGGCATAATACATGTGCCTATTTATAATAAGCACTTAATAATTGGTAATTAAAATTGATATTAATAAAAATAATAACTTGATATTACTTACCCAGCTAGTAAGAGACAGAGCAAGATTTAAACCTAGGTATGTCTGACTGCCAAACCTTTATATGACTGATGAATATTTTATTTCACCTTCATTTTTGAAAGATATTTTTGGGCCAGGCGTGGTGGCTCACACCTGTAATCCCAGCACTTTGGGAGGCTGAGGCTGGAGGATCACTTGAGGCCAGGAGTTCAAGACCAGCCTGGTTAACATGGTGAAACCCTGGATCTACTAAAAATACAAAAAATAGCTGGTATGGTGGCATGCACCTGTAATCTCAACTGCTAGAGAGGCTCAGACACAAGAATCACTTGAACTCAGGAGGCAGAGGTTGCAGTGAGCTGAGATCGTGCCACAGCACTCCAGCCTGGGCAAGCAACAGAGCAAAACTCTGTCTCAAAAAATAAATAAATAAATAAATAAATAAATATAGAAAGATATTTTTGTGGGAATCCAATTCTAGATTAATAAGTTTTTTTTTTCCAAGAGACTTTTTTGTTTTTTGAGACAGGGTCTCACTGTGTCACCCAGGCTAGAGTGTAGTGGTGTGATCACAGCTCACTGAAGCCTTGACTTCCTGGACCCAAGCAATCCTCCCACCTCAGCCTCTCGAGTAGCTGGGACCAGAAGCACATGTCACCATGCCCGGCTAATTTTTTAATTTTTTGCAGAGACAGGGCCTCCCTATATTGTCCAAGCCAGTCTTGAACTCCTGGGCTCAAGTGATCCTTTTGCCTTGGCCTCCTAAAGTGTTGAGATTGCGGGCGTGAGCCACTGTGCGTGGCCTCTACCAGTCTTTTAATGATATTGCTCCATAGTTTTCTGTTGAGAAATCTGCTGTCGTTTTTATCTTCCTCTGTATATAATGTGTCTTTTTATCTCAAGCTGCTTTTAAGATTTCTCTTTATCACTGGTTTTAAACAATTTGATTATGATATGCCTAGGTATAGTATAGTTCATGTCATGTTTCTTTTGTTTGGAGTTTGTTGAGCTTCTTGAATCAAATAGTTTTCATCACAGTTGGAAATTTTTTTTTGCTATTATTTCTTTCTCTCTCTTTTTTTTTCGGGGGGTGTGGCGGGGACAGAGTTTTGCCCAGGCTGAAGTGCAGTGGTGTGATCTTGGCTCACTGCAATCTCTGCATCCTGAGTTCAGGCAATTCTCGTGCTTCAGCCTCCCCAGTAGTTGGGACTGCAGGTGCCCACCACCACTCTCGGCTAATTTCTGTATTTTTAGTAGAGACGGGGTTTTGCCATGTTGCCGAGGCTGGTCTCAAACCCCTGAGCTCAACTTATCTGCGCGCTTCAGCCTCCCAAAGTGCCGGGATTACAGGTGTGAGCCACCATACCCAGCCACTATTATTTTTTTAAATTTCTCTGACTCTACAGGCCCTTTGGCGACTTTCATTACACATGCATTAGGATACTGACATTGTTTTGCAGCTCACTGATGTTCTATTCTTCCTTCCTTCCTTCCTTCCTTTCTTTCTCCAGTTTTTATTTTCTCTTTGTGTTTGATTTTGGATAGTATCTATTGCTTTGTCTTTGAGTGTTGCAAGATATAATCTGATGTTAATCCCACCCAGTATATTTTTCATCTCGGACATGTAGTTTCTGTCTCTAGAAGTTTGATTAGAATTTGGGTTTTTTCCACCCTGGACCACATAAGGAGACCCTATCTCTACAAAAAATTTAAAATTAGCCAGACATGGTTGTGCATTGCCTTTAGTCCCAGCTACTTGGGAGGCTGAGGCAGGAGGATTGCTTGAGCCCAGGAGTTAGAGGTTGCAGGGAGCCATGATCACACAAGTGCACTCCAGTCTGGGTGACAGAGCAAGACCCTGTCTCAAAAAAAAAAGAAGAAAGAGTTTGGGTCTTTTTAGTATCTACCATGTCTTTCTTAACATACTTAATCTTTCCTCTAGCTTTGTCAACAGATAATATGTTTATAATTGTCTTACTATCCTTGTTTACTAGGACTATTATTTCTGTGATTCCTAGGTTGGTTTTGATTGATTTTTTTTCCTCCAGTATTATATATTCATCCTGTGTATATTCCATCCTGTGTCTTTTCATGTCTGATAATTTTTAATTGGATGCCAGACATTATAGATTTCACTTTATTGGATACTGAACATTATTTTATTCCTATAAATATTTTTGAGCTTTGTTCTGGGATCCATTTTTTCAGGTCTTATACTTTGTTAGGCAGGATTAGAGTAGCATTTAGCCTACAGCTTACTTTTCTCCACTAGTGAAGCAAAAAACTCTTCTTTTTCACTACTTGAAGCACAAAACCTCTTCTTTTCTTTTTTCTCTCTCTCTTTTTTTTTTTTTTTTTTTGAGACAGGATCTTGCTCTGTTGCCCAGGCTGGAGTGCCAAGGTACAGTCACGGCTCGCTGCAGCCTTGACCTCCTGGGCTCAAACAACCTTCCCACCTCAGCCTCCTGAGTAACTAGGACCACAGGTGGGCACCACCACACCTGGCTAATTTTTGTATTTTTTGTAGAGATGAGTTTTGCCATGTTGCCCAGGCCAGGCTTGAAGTCCTGGCCTCAAGCAATCCGGCCACCTCGGCCTCCCAGAGTTTTAGGATGACAGACATAAGCCACCACACCTGGCTGCAAAATTCTTCTAAGTTAACTGTGGTTTTATAGGCCCTGTGTGACCTCTGGAGATTGTTTCCTCTCATTGTTTTGAGTGGTTCTTTTCCAGGCCTCAGATGGTCTCTGTCGCACAGATCAGAATTCAGCTGAAGACTTGAGGCGACCATCTGCAGATCTCCCAAGCTCTCTGTCTCTCTGTGTAGTTCTCTCCTTTCCAGAAATTTGCTCTATGAACTCTAGCCACATTGGACTTCCCAAACTCCTAGCTCAATCTTCTCAACTCAGGGAGAGAAGACCTAGTGCCTGGAGTCTCTCTAAACGGAATTGTAATCATTGAGATCACCTCATTTATTTCCCATCTCTCAGGGATTGCAGTCCTTTATTGCCAGATGCCCAGTGTCTGGAATGCTGTTGTTTCATATATTTTGTCTCTGTCTCATCCTTGGAGGATAAAGCCGGTCCTCATTACTCCATCTTGTAATAGACATCCTATAAAGCCCATGTGATTTCCATATGCTGTCTGTCTCACGTACATCTCAGAATTTCAGTGCTTTGAGATGATTGACTCCAGCCTCTTCATTATCAGCAAGGGTAACAGACCTGGTGAGGTAATGTTGATTGTCCACGTTTTACAGTAAATTTGTGCCAGAGACCTGTGCCAGGTCTTAAAAATGCCTATACAATCATACCTCAGGATAGAACTGCTTCTTAGAAGGGCAAGAATATTATTTTTGAAAGAAAGTTTTTCATCAGTAGATGTAAGAATTGGGTTATCCTATCATTTGTTCTAAAATGTTCCATATGTATAGAAAGTAAATCTACCTCTGCTTTTTGATTCTCTATGAACTTAAAATATGAATTACAATTTAAATAATATTGGATAATAAGGAAGTCCAGTTATTAAAACCTATTTTACTCTAAAATGAGTAACTGAAACCTATTTTGTTTCTGTTAGCATTTTTGCTTTGTTTTGTTTCTACAACTGAATTTCATCACTTTTAACATTTATATGATTTAGTTATACAGTTTTCAGTTTGCCATTAAGATTTTTTAAATACTTTTTTTTATACTTTTAAGTTCTGGGGTACATGTGCAGAACGTGCAGGTTTGTTACATAGGTATACACGTGCCATGGTGGTTTGCTGCACCCGTCAACCCATCATCTACGTTAGGTATTTCTCCTAATGCTATCCCTCCCCCAGCCCCCCACCCCCTAACAGGCCCCAGTGTGTGATGCCCCCCACCTGCAGTGTCCATGTGTTCTCATTGTTCACCTCCCACTTATGAGTGAGAACATGCGGTGTTTGGTCTTCTGTTCTTGTGCTAGTTTGCTGAGAATGATGGTTTCCAGCTTCATCCATGTCCTTGCAAATAACATGAACTCATCCTTTTTTATGGCTGCGTGGTATTCCATGGTGTATATGTGCCACGTTTTCTTTATCCAGTCTATCACTGATGGGCCTTTGGGTTGGTTCCAAGTCTTTACTATTGTGAATAGTGCTGCAATAAACATATGTGTGCATGTGTTTTTATAGTAGAATGATTTATAAGGCTTTGGGTATATGCCCAGTAATGGGATTGCTGGGTCAAATGGTATTTCTGGTTCTAGATCCTTGAGGAATCACTACACTGTCTTCCACAATGGCTGAACTAATTTACACTCCCACCAACAGTGTAAAAGTGTTCCTGTTTCTCCACATCTTCTCCAGCATCTGTTGTTTCCTGACTTTTTAATGATTGCCATTCTAACTGGTGTGAGATGGTATCTCACTGTGGTTTTGATTTGCATTTCTCTAATGACCAGTGATGATGAGCTTTTTTTAATATGTTTGTTGGTTGCATAAATGTCTTCTTTTGAGAAATGTCTGTTCGTATCATTTGCCCACTTTTTGATGGGGTCATGGTTTTTTTCTTTTTTGTGTGTGTGAATTTAAGTTCCTTGTAGATTCTGGATATTAGCTCTTTGTCAGATGGATAGGTTACAAAAATTTTCTCCCATTGTGTAGGTTGCCTGTTCACTCTGATGATAGTTTCTTTTGCTGTGCAGAAGCTCTTTAGTTTAATTAGATCCCAGTTGTCAATTTTGGCTTCGTTGCCGTTGCTTTTGGTGTTTTAGTCATGAAGTCTTTGCCAATGCCTGTGTCCTGAATGGTATTGCCTAGATTTTCTTCTAGGGTTTTTATGGTTTTAGGTCTTACATTTAAGCCTTTAATCCATCTTGAGTTAATTTTTGTATAAAGTATAAGGAAGGGATCCAGTTTCAGTTTTCTGCATATGGCTAGCCAGTTTTCCTAACACCATTTATTAAATAGAGAATCCTTTCCCTGTTGGTTGTTTTTGTCAGGTTTGTCAAAGATCAGATGGTTGTAGATGTGTGGTGTTATTTCTGAGGGCTCTGTTCTGTTCCATTGGTCTATATATCTGTTTTGGTACCAGTACTATGCTGTTTTGGTTACTGTAGCCTTGTAGTATAGTTTGAAGTCAGGTAGCGTGAGGCCTCCAGCTTTGTTCTTTTTGCTTAGAATTGTCTTGGCTATGTGGGCCCTTTTTTGGTTCCATACTAGTATATATATTTAAGGGGTACATGAGATGTTTTGATACAGGCATGAAATATGAAATAATCACATCATATAGATAGGTATCCATCTCCTCAAGGATTTATCCTTCGTGTTGCAAATGTTATTAAGATGTAATCAAATTAACTTAAGTTTAAAAAGTGAGTATACCATAACCAGGTATCAGGTATGACAGCTTTCTAATTTTATCACATTTATACAATTCTGGGAAAATTTGGGTTTTAGGGGTGCATTGCTGGGAATGAAATGGAGCCTTATTTCGCTGGCTGTTCACTCTAGTGTAGTGCCTCACATACTTCTAGTCTTCTAATTTATCCATCTTCTCTCTCCTTTTTGGGACTTTGTGCATGCAGCTTTTCTTCTAGAAAGGCCTTTTTCTTTCTTTTGGCTTAGCAGCTCTTTTAGTTATTGTTTTTAGGGATCACGTATTACAGAAAGCCACCTCTGATCCCATTGATTGGGCTATATTTCTTCATATGCATTTTCTTACATTCCCTGTGCTTTTCTTTTTTTTTTTTTTTTGAGACGGAGTCTCGCTCTGTCGCCCAGGCTGGAGTGCAGTGGGGCGATCTCGGCTCACTGCAAACTCCGCCTCCCGGGTTCACACCATTCTCCTGCCTCAGCCTCCCAAGTAGCTGGGACTACAGGCGCCCGCCACTACGCCCGGCTAATTTTTTGTATTTTTAGTAGAGATGGGGTTTCACCGTTTTAGCCGGGATGGTCTCCATCTCCTGACCTCGTGATCCTCCCGCCTCGGCCTCCCAAAGTGCTGGGATTACAGGCGTGAGCCACCGCGCCCGGCCTCCCTGTGCTTTTCCATGGCAACAGTCATCACTCTGTAATGCAATTAACTGTTCTTATTTGTAAGCCTGGGGGATAGTCTTGCTTTTGTTCATCTTTGTGTCTTTAGTACTAAGTACAAACCTAATAGGTAGCTAAGTCTGGACCCAATTATACATGTGCAGATGCTGAGGATCAGTCTTTTTTAAAATATAGTATAGTAGATTCCTTTTCTCTGCTCTGTACCCATGGGGAATCTGTGACATATTATTTATTTATTTTTAATTAACTTTTTTTATAGAGATGGGGTCTCACTATGTTGCCCAGGCTGGTGTTGAACTCCTGGGCTCAAGTGATCCTCCTGCCTTGGCCTCTCAAAGTGCTGGGATTACAGGCGTGACATGCCTGGCCGACATATCTTCAACATTCCAAAAAGTTCAGTGGAAAATGTCAATTTTCTTGCTTATAGTCTGGCCGTTCAGGCAAAGTAAAATACCACATTTCTTTGCTTCTGCTTGGAACTGTATCAGCTGAGGTCACACTGATTATCTCTTTCCGATCAGAAATTCCTTCCTGATTGCCTTGGTGGACTTGCAAACGTTACATATGAGTCAGTGTGGTGTAATGGTTAAAATTCTAGGAGGAAGAGCCAGCACTTAACATGTTTGGGTTTATCTCTAGCTTGCCTTATAATTAGCAATTTCATGTTGAAATTATATTATTGTGAAGTGAAGAAAATTGTTCTCTTCTGATGAAAAGGAGGAATTCATAACTACCAAGAAAAACCTGAATCATCTGTCTTTACTGTAGTAACTCTACTTTTAACATGTCTATAAAACCTTTCTTTATACAAAGAGGAAATTGTGTTTGTGAGTTTTAACCACAACTTTAGGTACTTATTGTTTTGTTTGTTTTGGAATAGTCCATTTTGTTACAGAAGCATATGGGAATCACTAGAAAAAAACAACCATGTATAGAAGTCTTGTGAGCATTTTCTGTGTCTTACTCATTTCTCATCTTTGTATCCTAGCCCTTAGTACTGCACCTAGCATATAGTATGTGTTCAGGACCCATTTATTAGTGAATGAAGAAAGGGCTTCCTCGGATCAGTGGCTTTATTGTTTACATGTTCTGAGCATGCCAAGGGGTGGAAAACATGCCTCTGTTTTCAGGGTGCTTACAGAACCCAAACCTATACCCTAGGTGATACTTACTGAGCCCTTAAAATATGCCAGGCAGAGTCCCTATGTGCTTTACCTGTATTATCTCATTTAGTCCTAACAACTCTGTAAGGAAATGAGTATTATGTCCATTTACCAGGTGAGAAATTTGAGGTGCCAGGAAGTTGAGTTACTTATTCAAGATCACCCTCCAACTTAGTGGAGGGATCATTCACTACAGTGTGCTCTGAGACCTCTATCATTCCAAGCATGTATCCTTAACCACTATATGATTTTAGCCTACAATCAACAGACCTGAGTATTGGTCCTATTCCTGCCCTCATTCACTTTGAGGCAAGTTAATCCACGTTGCTGAATCTTACCTGTAAAATTCGAACAATGATATTTAGTCTACTTTAATCTTAATAATAATGATAACATTATTTACTAACTGACTTTCTAAAAAGTACTGTGGTCGGAATACTGAGATAAGTAAGACAACTTAATTTTCAAGAAGTTAATGTAGACAGACATGTAGACAGACTCATCACATATATGTGGAGTCAGATTTAAGCCATAGTCCTTGTGATACTAAAGTCCATGTTCTTAGATCGACGTTAAGGTGGGTGGTATGTGAAACTGTGGGCATAGAGATCTCCCAGGGAGAGTTTATAGAATGAGAGGAGTAGAGAATAGAAGACAGCCTGAAGGAGAATGAATCCATCTTGGACTTTTCCCATGGCTCTTAATTTGATATGAGTTACTTTATATATATATAAAATATGGGGCTTCAGTGTGTTGCTCAGGCCGGCCTTGAACTCCTGAGCTCAAATGATCCTCCCACCTCAGCTTCCCGAGTAGCTGGGACTTTGGTGTATGGCACTGCACCTGGCTGATGTGCAGTTTTTGTTTTTTTTGTTTTTGGAGTTTTTTTTTTTTTTGAGACAGGGGCCCAGTCTGTCACCAGGACGGAGTGTAGTGGCACAATCATGGCTCACTGCAGCCTCAAACTCCTGGGCACAAGTGATCTTCCTGCCTCAGCCTCCCAAGTAGATGGGACTATAGGCGTGCGCCACCACACTTGGCTAATTTGTTTTTTGTGTGTTTTGTTTTGAGATAGGGTCTCGTTCTGTCACCAGGCTGGAGTGCAGTGGCACGACCTTGGCTAACTGTAATTTCTGCCTCCCAGGTTGAAGTGATCCTCCCATCTCAGCCTCCCAAGTAGCTGAGAGAACAGGCGCACACTACCACAGCCAGCTAATTTTTTAATATTTTTGGTAGAAACAGAGTTTTACCACATTGCATAGGCGGGCTCAAGTGGTCTGCCTACCTTGGCCTCCCAAAGTGTTGGGATTACAGGCATGAGCCACTGTGCCCAGCCTGATGTGCAATTTCATTTGTTCTTTTTTCTAGAGGTTCGTATTGCTGCTGTGGAGGCCCTCTGCATGTTGGCCCAGTCTTCACCCTCTTTTGCTGAGAAGTGCCTTGATTTCCTAGTTGACATGTTCAACGATGAAATTGAGGAAGTACGTCTGCAGTCCATACATACCATGAGAAAAATCTCTAACAACATCACCCTCCGAGAAGATCAGCTTGACACTGTCCTGGCTGTGCTAGAGGTGAGTGTTCCTAATTTGTTACTCATTTCTTCATCCCTCACCCCCCCCCCCCCCGTTAAAATCAGGTATTGGTGACAGAACAGTATATCGGGCAGCACAGTTCTGTTTTCTCACCATACCCCTCCCCTAAGATGGAAGAAATTGACTGTGAAACAGGAAATTTGAATAAGCTTGGTCTTTCTGTGATCAAGAAAGGATAGGATGCCTAGGGAATACATAGTGTCTAACCTGAATTGGCTGAGGTGAGGTTGGGAAGAAGGAGGAAGTGCTGTAGTGGACACTTGAAGGAGGAATAGGACTTAACTGGGCTTTTTTTTTTCCTTCTTCTTTTGAGACAGGGTCTCACTCTGTCACTCAAGCTGAAGTGCATCTTTTTTAAAGGAGAAGTGACACCGGTGGTAGGATGAAAGGGTACCAGACAGAGGGAACAATGTCTAAAGATGCAGAGATAAGACAGAATATGATAATTCAAGGAACTAAAAAGAGTTT
Source organism: Homo sapiens (assembly GCF_000001405.40). Lineage (NCBI taxonomy): Eukaryota > Metazoa > Chordata > Mammalia > Primates > Hominidae > Homo > Homo sapiens. The sequence goes on from NC_000007.14 coordinate 65,179,987, forward strand.
ATTATAATGATAGCGTAGAGTTGAAGAGATGGAAGAGTGGAAGAAGTGGCTATAGATAAGGTAGGGGCTAAATAATGAAGAGTTCTTTTCAACCTTTAATTTGATTTTATTCTTGTAGTGAATCATAGGCTGTTACAGCAGCAAGTGCTCTTAGGGATTGATTCATTCTACCCTGGGAATTTTATAGAGAAAAAATAAGTTGTCTGAGTTAGTGGCTGAACCAAAATGTAAACACAGAGTTGCTTCCCAGGCCGTACAGCTCTAGGTAGTTCTTGTATTATTTTTCTAAAATGTCTGGATTTTAATTGCAACTACTCAAGTTCTTCAGAGTATTCATAAATGGGGTTTGTCCTCTGGTTTCCTTTTTGGGGAAGATGGGGTTCAGATGTGAAAGGGATAGTAATTAGGTGCTTAGTTTTTAGAACACTTGTAACAGATTTCTACTGCATACTTTAAAGAATAGCTGGTGCTTTGGTTTTGAAGGTCCCTACCATTCTCTCAGCTGCTTAGCACTTCTACTAAGATTTTTCCTGAATTATAAATCTTTATAATTTTTTCATGTATTTTTTCCTAAAAATAAGTTTACATTCTATGTGTGGTTCTTCATAGGTGGCCTCATACATAGCCTAGCCACTCCTTTCCTTTTTAGCTTTCTTTTCCACCATTCCTCACCTTGAACTTTATGCTGAAGTCACTTTCCTACACATATGGCTTTTCCTCACAATTTTACCTTCAATGTAATTTCCCCCTCAGTTTGCAAAACTGCCACTTTAACCCAGGAGACGTCCACTTATTCCCACAGCCTATATTAGGTAACATATCCAGGAAGCCTTCCCTAACTGTTACTCCCAGCCCTGGGTGGGCTAAATGCCACCACTCTATTCCCATAGCACTCTGTGTATACTGCTCTAGCATTTTTCAGTAATTCTCTATTTCATAAGACTGTGAGCTCCTCAAGGTGTCTTGACTTTTCTTTTCTCTTTTGTTTTCCTTTCCTTTCCTTTTTCTTTTCCTTTTTCCTTTCCTTTCCTTTTTTTTTTGTTTTTTGTTTGTTTGTTTGTTTTTTGCTTTTTGAGGCTGAGTCTCGCTCTGTTCCCCAGGCTGGATTGCAGTGTCGCGATCTTGGCTTACTGCAACCTTCACCTCCTGGGTTCAAGCAATTCTCCTGCCTCAGTCTCCTGAGTAGCTGGGATTACAGGCACGCACTACAATACTAATTTTTATATATTTTTTTTAGTAGAGATGATGTTTCACCATATTGGCCAGGCTGGTCTCGAACTCCTGACCTCAAGTGATCCACCCACCTTGGCCTCCCAAAGTGCTGGGATTATGGTGTGAGCCACCGTGCCCAGCTGACTCTTCATTTTTTTATTACCAATGTCTTGCAGCAGTGTCTGGCACAATTAGGTGCTCGGCAAGTGTTTGCTGAGTAGCTGAGCTATGTTCCAAGCTATGTTTTGATGTACAGAATTGTTCACAGGTATGCTTATTTGTGAGTACTTATGTATATAACTCACAAAGAATCCTTGCTTTTTAATTCTTTTCAGGAGTTCAGACCCATATAAACTTACAGTAGACTATTCTTCCACCCTGCTGTGCACTGCTCCCTTATATTTTCTGTGTCACTGTGCTTCATTGCTTTGAGCCTTACCTTGCTGACCCTTCCAGGTGGAATTTGCCTTTTTTTTTTTTCCTGCTATGTCAAGATCCTACCCTGCCTAGAAAAACTCACTTCTTTATTCAACAAGCACTGTCTATGTATTAGAAATATAGGGATATCAAAACAGACAGGATCCCTGCTGTCATAAAACTTATATTCTAAAGAGAGGTGGAGTAAACAAACAAAATGATTTCAGATGGTGATAAATGTTTTGCAGAAGATAAACAGTATGATGGAGGAATGGGGAATTTCTCTGTAATTTGAGTGGTTAGTAAAGACTTTCTGAGGAGATGATGTTCAAGTTGAGTCTTGAATGGTAAACAGAAGCTAGCTATGTGAAGACTGGGAGAATAACTTCAGGTAGAGGCAACAGCTAGTGGGAAGGCTCTAAAATACAAGTGAGCTTTGTTGTGTTTGCAGAATAGAGAGAAAGCCAGTAGGAGTGAACCACAGTGAGAAAGTAGAAATGTGGCATGAAATGAAGTCTGAGAGGGGATTAGGGAGAGGTGGAGAGCCTTGTAGGCCATTTTAAGATGTCTGGATTTTATTCTAACATTATGGAAAACTGTTGCAGAATTTTATGGATAGGAGTGACATTTCGATTTGCCTCTCTTTTAATATTTCTCATTCTTGAAATCTTGAAATTCACTTCAGATAGATCGACTTTTCCCTCACTCCTCCATTTAGCACATACAGGTATACCTCTCTTTATTGGGCTTTGCAGATATTGTATTTTTTTAATAAATTGAGAGATTGCGGCAACCATGCATTGAGCAAGTCTATCAGTGCCATTTTTCCAATAGCATGTGCTCACTTTATGTCTGTGTCACATTTTGGTAATTCTTGCAATATTTCAAACTTTTTCATTATTACATCTGTTACAGTGATCTGTGATCCGTGATCTTTGATGTTACTGTTGTAATTGTTTTGGGATGCCACAAACTGTGCCTGTATAAGATGGCAAACTTAATAAGTGTGTGTGTTCTGAGTGTTCTGCTAACTGGCCATTCCCAGCCTCTCTCTTAGCCTTTCTTCTTAGCCTGTCCTTTTTCCTAGTTGCAAAAAGGCTCTTGTACCTTCAGCATCATGATTGAGTTCCAGATAGGATGGAAAAGGAAGGTTAAAGAAGAAAGGGGATAAAGCTACTGCCTCTGGTCCTTTATCAATAAAATGAAAGATATTTCAGGAATTTCAGCCAAAAAACTTCCACATACTTTGTTACATGGCCACCCCAGATGGGAAGGTGGCTGGGGAGAAGGGGATGGTAGATAGAGGCTGAGTCTGCTAACCAACAGTAACTACTATTATTATTACTTTTTTTTAAAAGGATTCATCCAGAGATATTCGAGAGGCTCTTCATGAACTCTTATGCTGTACTAATGTTTCAACCAAAGAAGGGATTCATCTTGCATTGGTGGAGCTGCTGAAAAATTTAACCAAGTACCCTACTGATAGGGACTCCATATGGAAGTAATGACTTTTTTGCCCATTTACTCACTGAGTCGCATAATGTGGTAAATGTACGATGCTGACATTTGTTCCGTCCTTATAGATTGAGGGTAGTACGGCCCTGAATTTTGCCTTTACTTTAGAAACCTGATTGAACTTAACCGCTCTCAGGAATCTGATTCCTAAGCTGAATATCACATTTTAGATTACTTACTAATTTGTGCATCTATCCACCTAGCAAATATTATGTGCCTGCTGTGTGCTGACTACGCACCAACCCTTGTGGTAGCTGTTACAAGTATAGAAATAAATTAATTAGATTTCCTCTTTCTCCTATATAGTGTTTTGTTTTGTTACTTTTTTTTTTGAGATGGAGTCTCGCTCTGTCACCCTGACTAGAATGCAGTGGCGTGATCTCAGCTCACTGCAACTTCCGCCTCCTGGGTTCAAGCGATTCTCCTGCCTCAGCCTCTCGAGTAACTGGGATTATAGGTGCACGCCACCATACCCAACTATTTTTTGTTTTTTTTTTTTTTTAGTAGAGATGGGGTTTTACCATGTTGGTTAGGCTGGTCTTGAACTCCTGACCTCAGGTGATCCACCTGCCCTGGCCTCCCAAAGTGCTGGGATTACAGGCATGAGCCACTGTGCCCGGCCTTATTATTTTTTATTCATTAAGTTCTGGTTTAGAAGGTGCACTTAATTGGCTGGGTGCAGTGGCTCACGCCTATAATCCCGGCACTTTGGGAGGCTGGGGCGGGTGGATCACCTGAGGTCAGGAGTTCAAGACCAGCCTGGCCAACATGGTGAAACCTCATCTCTACTAAAAATGCAAAAATCTGCTGGGCGTAGTGGCACGTGCCTGTAATCCCAGCTACTCGGGAGGCAAAGGCAGGAGAATCGCTTGAACCCTGGAAGCAGAGGTTGCAGTGAGCCGAGATTGTGCCACTGCATGCCAGCCTGGGCAACAGAGCAAGACTCAGTCTCAAAAAAAAAAAAAACCATAAACAATAATAAAAATATATAATTACCTTGCTTGTATAGTTCCTTATAGTTTATAAAGGGCCCTCAGGTAGTTATAATAGCTAACATTGAGTTCTTACTATGTGACAGACACTTCGCTGAGTACTTTATGTTAGTTATTTAATGCATATAGCAACTCTATGAAGTAATGACTTTTAATCTCATTTTGTAGATGAAAAAATTTACTTGCATAAGGCTACTTAGTTTCAGACAGATCTGTGATTTCAGGACTTCACCCAGGATATCAATTAGAATGTTTTTGCCCACAAGTAAAAAAGACAATCTGATTAAAAATATCTTAGCCAATAAGTCTGTTTTTTCATAACGAGGTCAGAAGGTTGGTTTCAGGATTGGTCATTCAACAGGTTACCAGGGCTCTCTTTGGTTTCTCTGCAGTTCTCTTGGCTCTTTTTTTTTTTTTTTTTTTTGAGACAGAGTCTCTCTTTATCGCCAGGGTGGAGTGCATTGGCATAATATCGGCTCACTGAACCTCCGCCTCCCAGGTTCAAGCGATTCTCCTGCCTCAGCCTCCCGAGTAGCTGGGACTACAGGCCCGTGCCGCCATGCCCAGCTAATTTTTGTATTTTTAGCAGAGATGGGGTTTCACCATGTTGGCCAGGATGGTCTTGATCTTTGACCTCCTGATCCAGCCATCTTGGCCTCACAAAGTGTTGGGATTATAGGCATGAGGCACCGCACCCGGCCGGCTTTCTTCTCATGGTTGTAAGATGGCTGCCTCATAAGATAATATCTCAAGACAGAAAGGAAGGGTCATTCCCTTTCATGCATTGCTCTTTTGATTTGCAAAAACATCCCTGAGAAGCTCCCCAGCCAGCATAGTCTCGTGCTCCATTGTCTAGAACTGGCTTACTTGCGTACCAGCAAACCAGTCACTGGAAAATGGGAATGGGATTGCCATGATGGGTTTAGACCAATAGTGGTTCAGCTCTTGGGCTGGACCTGCCTTTTCCGAGCACTTTGCTGCCTGCCTGATACCTGAGTAAAATCAGGGCTCTCTCAGGAAGAAAGATGGGGGAAATGGCTGTTGGTTAAATAAACAGTTCTTTTATCTTTATAATAACCAGTTTTTTTAGATGAATTAACCAAGTTCCAGAATAACTGGGTGACTTATCTGAAGTCATAGAGTTAGCAAAAGTATATGGTTGAGAATTTCCAATTCCAGTTCAGGTTTTCTGATTCCAGTTCCTAGTACTTTTCAAAGGACTAACTTTACTAATTTGTTGATGTGCATTCTTATTTGTTTGTTTCAGGTGCTTGAAGTTTCTGGGAAGTCGGCATCCAACCCTGGTGCTTCCCTTGGTGCCAGAGCTTCTGAGCACCCACCCATTTTTTGACACAGCTGAACCAGACATGGATGATCCAGCTTGTATCCTCTGTGCTTAGGATGGGCCCTGATGTGTTGGCAGGCAGCTTTGGCATCTCCTTCTGCAGTGTAGCTAGGGTGGTCTGAGTTTTCTTTTCTTTGCTTTTCTTTCCTTTTTTTTTTTTTGAAGACAGAGTCTCATTCTGTCACCCAGGCTGGAGTGCAGTGGCCTGATCTCGGCTCACTGAAACCTCTGCCTCCCGGGTTCAAGCAATTCTCCAGCCTCAGCCTCCTGAGTAGCTGGGATTATAGGTGCCCGCTACCACACCCAGCTAATTTTTGTATTTTTAGTAGAGACAGGGTATCACCATGTTGGCCAGGCTGGTCTCAAATTCCTAACCTGTTGCTTGGGCTGGAGTGCAGTGGCACCACCCCAGCTCACTGCAACCTCCGCCTCCCAGATTCAAATGATTCTCCTGCCTCAGCCTCCCAAGTAGCTGGGATTACAGGTGCCTGCCACCACTCCCGGCTAATTTTTGTATTTTTAGTAGAGACGGGGTTTTACCTTGTTGCCCAGGCTGGTCTCAAACTCCTGACCTCAACTGATCCACCCGCCTCAGCCTCCCAAAGTGTTGGTATTACAGGCGTGAGCCACCATGCCTGGCCAGTATGTACTTTGATAGGCTAGGCAATATAGTTGCTTACTTTATAGGCAAAATCATTTCCATTTTCTTGTATTCTTGGCAGTCTCTGGCATTTTTAAAAACCTTTGGTAATTGGGGGTGTGGGTGGAGTAGGGGAATGTATTTTGTTGTTTGTATTTGCATTTCTTTGATTATTAGAAAATCATAGTCTCTTGATGGAGATTTTGGAGGTGGAAAGTGAGAGTGCCAGAATCTGGCCAACCTTTTATACTTCCAAGTTTACTTAACCCAGTGATCTATCAGATATTGCAGTTTTGGTACTTATTTTCAATGCTGCTAAAACCTGTCCAACAATGCGAGCATTGTTCTCAGGCACTATGCCTACCTCCGAGACAGTCTTTCTCATCTTGTTCCTGCCTTGAGGGTATGTTGAAAACATCTGTTGTCCTTGTTTTTATTTTGCACGGGGTAGGGGTATTTGTGTTCATGTTTTCCTTTGAGATGGGGGTCTTGTTATGTTGCCCAGAGGGGTCTCAAACTCCTGGGCTTAAGCCATCCTCCTGGCTCAGCCTCCCAAGTCGCTGTGATTACAGGTGAGCACCACTGTGTGCAGCTTGTTTTTGGCTTTTTATTTTTTGTGCTTTGTGGTTATTAAATAGTAGAAAGCAGTCCATATATTCTCTGAAAACTTGTTTGTTCATTCTCCTTCTCTCTTGGGCTCTTTGCCATTGTTTTATACTTTTGCTTTTGTATCCTTTACCTTTTAAGATGATTCATTTTTTTTGGTGTCCCTGGATTATTGATATTAGGCAAGAAGAAAGGAACCTGGAACAATAGATTATATTTTAGATCAAGAATTTAAATTGTTATATATATATATATTTTTTTTATTATTATTACCTTTTGAGACGAAGTCTCGCTGTGTCACCCAGGCTGAAGTGCAGTGGCGCGATCTCGGCTCACTGCAAGCTCTGCCTCCCAGGTTCACTCCATTCTCCTGCCTCAGCCTCCCGAGTAGCTGGGACTACAGGCACCTGCCACCACACCCGGCTAATTTTTTGTATTTTTTAGTAGAGACGGGGTTTCGCCGTGTTAGCCAGGATGGTCTTGATCTCCTGACCTCGTGATCTGCCTGCCTCGGCCTCCCAAAGTGCTGGGATTACAGGTGTGAGCCACCACACCCAGCCTAAATTGTTATATTTTAACTATTACATATAGCCATGATTCTCCACAAGTGCTTATTTTTTTTTTTTTTTTTTTTTTTGAGACGTAGTCTCGCTCTGTCGCCCAGGCTGGAGTGCAGTGGCGGGATCTCGGCTCACTGCAAGCTCCGCCTCCCGGGTTCACGCCATTCTCCTGCCTCAGCCTCCCAAGTAGCTGGGACTACAGGCGCCCGCCACTACGCCCGGCTAATTTTTTGTATTTTTAGTAGAGACGGGGTTTCACCGTTTTAGCCGGGATGGTCTCGATCTCCTGACCTCGTGATCCACCCGCCTCGGCCTCCCAAAGTGCTGGGATTACAGGCGTGAGCCACCGCGCCCGGCCCACAAGTGCTTATTTTTTAAAAATAAAACCTTTACTATTTTTAAAACCTAGAGATATAAAGAAGAAAATTTAAAAATGGATCATAATAATAATAGCAAAGACTTTGTGAATGCTGTGGCCCAGGTACTCTTCCAATCTCTCTATTTGCATTAACTCATCCCTGCTTGGGTGACTCCAAATCACTTTATTTGGAGTAATATACAAAATGAGGCCAGGTGCGGTGGCTCATGCCTGTAATCTAAGCATTTTGGGAGGCTGAGGCGGGTGGATCATCTGAGGACAGGAGTTCACGACCAGCCTGGCCAACATGGTGAAACCTCATCTCTACTAAAAATACAAAAATTAACTGGACATGGTGTTGGGCACCTGTAGTCCCAGCTACTCGGGAAGCTGTGGCAAGAGAATTGCTTGAACCCAGGAGGCAGAGGTTGCAATGAGCCAAGGTTGTGCCACTGCACTCCAGCCTGAGCGACAGAGTGAGACTCCATCTCAAAAAAAAACAAAAAACAAGTAGATACAAAATGAAAAATGAAATACTCTTTGCTCTCTCCTCCCCATCCATCTTAAAAGGTAACCACTTTTAACAGTAAGAATAAGTATATCTGAAGGGCTAGGCCAAAAATAAAAAAAAATTATTCTCATGAAAAAATTGTATGCTATATAAGTTTATTTGGGAATAAATCATTACTCTTCCTTCAAGTGAAAGATAAGATAGTGTTTTAAAGATAAATGTGGCCGGGTGCAGTGGCTCACGCCTGTAATCCCAGCAGTCTGGGTGGCTGAGGCAGGCGGATCACCTGTGGTCAGGAGTTCGAGACCAGCCTGACCAACATGGAGAAACCCTGTCTCTACTAAAAATACAAAATTAGCTGGGTCTGGGGGCGGCCACCTCTAATCCCAGCTACTCAGGAGGCTGAGGCAAGAGAATCGCTTGAACCTGGGAGGTGGAGTTTGCAGTGAGCCGAGATGGTACCATTGCACTCTAGGCAACAAGAGTGAAACTCTGTCTAAAAAAAAAAAGATGTAGCAACAGTTTAATTTTTAGTCTCCTTCCTATGGTTGGCCCATTTATTTCAGTTAACAATAGAAAATATTATACCTTTTCTGTTTTTCTCCTGGCAGCTGTGGCTGTATTGGGTAGACCATGTTTGCATTTTGTCTCTTTCTCTTTAACTCCCAATTGTTGCTGAGGAAGGGGAGAAATGTTATTTATAGAATCTCCTAGCCTTTTTTCCCCTTTGTTTTGTTTAGCTCACATTTTTAATGTGCTTTTATGTGTTTGTGTGTGTGTTACCAAAAGCTGAGCCACCAAACTTAATGACTCTATAATCCCACTGTGTTTGCTTAGTTGCCAGGTAGAAAACTGGTGTCATCAGCTGTTTCTCCCAGCATCATACCTCAAGAGGATCCTTCGCAGCAGCTCCTGCAGCAGAGCCTTGAAGGAGTGTGTAGTCTTCAGCACTTGGACCCTCAGGGAGCCCAGGAGCTGCTGGAATTCACCATCAGGTAGGGTAATCATCCCTTCATCTGACAGAGTTAGTGCCGTTACACTCAGCTTGACTGTTCTGAATTCTGGTGTTGGTTACTAGGCTTGATATTCTGACTCTATTGGTCTACATTCACACACGGTTTTATGGTCTGTTTATATTTGGATTAGATTGTGGTTTGAACATATTTTTTAAAAGAGCTCTTTATATTCATGACTCGATTGATGATTAGTACACAACAGAAATAGTTACAAAGAACCTGTTTTTAGTTTTTTAATTTTATATATTAGGATGAGTGACCAAAATGCAAAGTAACAGTGGCTAAAACAGGAGCAAAGTTTAATTCTTCCTCATAGGCAGGACAGGGCTGAGATGACCATCAAGGATCTAGGCTTGCTCATTCTTTTTTTTTTTTTTTTGAGACAGGGTCTCACCCTGTCACCCAGGCTGGAGTGCAGTGGCATAATATCAGCTCACTGCAACTGCAGCCTCCTGGGCTCAAGTGATTCTCCCACTTCAGCCTCCCAAGTAGCTGGGACCACAGGCATATGCCACCACACCCGGCTAATTTTGGCTTTTTTTTTTTTTTTGTAGAGTTGAGGTTTCACCATGGTGGCCAGGCCAGTCTCAAACTCCTGAGCTCAAGTGATCCTCCCGCCTCGGCCTCCCAAAGTGCTGGAATTACAGGCGTGAGCCACTGTGCCCGGCCTAGGCTCATTCTTTCTTGTGTCTTCATCTTCTGCATCAAGCAGCTCTGCTTAACAATTCAGAATCTAACTGTCCCCCCTGTATTCCATCCTGTGGGGAAAAGGAAACGGGGAGAGAAAGGTATCATCTCCACCCTGTGGTTTGTTTAAAGACACTTCCCAAAAGTTGTACACTCTAATTTTACTTGCATTCCATTGACTAGAACTTAAGTCACATGGCCATCTCTCACTTCAAGGAGCGAGGACATGCAGTCTTTATTCTGGGTGACTAATGCCTGGTTTACATGCGATGACTCTAATACTCAGGAAGAATGGGAGAAAGATATTGGGGAACAACCAAAAGGCTCTGCCAGACCTTCCTCAAAATGGCCTGAATGATATGAAAAGAATTTAAACTCATTTGCTTTTAGCAAAAGCAGTATTGTTTGCTCTTAAAAGATTAAAAAATCATGTATTTTAAGAGCAAACAGTACTGCTTTTGCTAAAAGCAAATGAGTTTAAATTCTTTATTGTTTGCTCTTAAAAGAGAAAAATATTATATCGGCCAGGTGCAGTGGCTCATGCCTGTAATCCCAGCACTTTGGGAGACCGAGGCGGGAGGATCACTTGAGGCTAGGAGTTCAAGACCAGCCCCACTGAGTGAAACCCCGTCTCTACTAAAAATAGTAGCCTGTAATCCCAGCTACTTGGGAGATTGAGGCACAAGAATCGCTTGAACTCGGGAGGCGGAGCTTGCAGTGAGCCAAGATCACGCCACTGTACTCCAGTCTGGGCAACAGAGTGAGACTCCATCTCAAAACAAAAAAGAAAGAAAGAAAAATATTATATTATATCATTTGTATCTTGGTTGAGATCTCTTTTGATCTGCCCGGAAGAGTATTTGGCACCAGCCACATTCAACTAATAATTTTTAGTGGATGATTTCATTCCATACACTAAGAAACAAGCTCTGTGCTAGATACAGATCAGCTAGCTAGGATTCTGCCCTTAGAGAGCCCATGTAGACAAGATGGATATAGACAAAGACTTATGATGGTGGATAACAGCGCTTTGTACTTTGTTCATGCTTTCCTGTCCATTATTGCATCTTAACATGTTATAAAGCTGGCCAACTGAACCATCCTCCAAGTTATGTTTTCCCATTACATTAGGTCATTCATTCACTTAGCAGCATTAACTATTTGTTTATTCTAATAAGCCAGTTGCTGAGGGTAGAGAGAAATAAGAAATGACATTTGTTCTTAAGGTACTCACTGTTTATTACAGGACGCAGAAATCATCAATTTGATAAATGATACAGTGAAGAGAAGCATAGATGCTGTGGAAAAACAGATGAAAGGCCCTGACCCATCACAGTAGTAGTGGTGAGGGATGCTTCACAAAGGAGAAGATCCTTTAGCTAGTATGAAATGATAACTGAGCATGTCAGTTTCGTAGTCCATATGCAGAAGAGAATTCCAACTTCAGCAGACATTAGAAGAGCTGGGAGACCTGAGGGAGAACAGCCTCCCAGAACTGCAGTGGTGTAGTATAGAGATTGAGTGAATGGAGCTTTGAAGGCAGACTCATTTTGGTTAACGTCTGAGCTAATACAGTCATGCACTAAATAACAACGTTGTGGTGGTCCCATGATTATATTTTTACTGTACCTTTTTTATGTTTAGATATACAGATATTTACCATTGTTTACCATATTTACCAATATTTACCATTGTAACCAGTGTTACAGTTGCCTACAGTCTTTAGTACAGTAACATGCTGTACAGATTTGTAGCCTAGGAGCAACAGACTATCCCATATAGCCTAGGTGTGTAGTAGGCTATACCATTTGGATTTGTGTAAATATACTCTATGATGTTTGTGAGACAAAATCACATAACAGCGTATGTCTCAGAATGTATCTCCATCGTTAAACAACGCATGACTTGTAGTTGTTTGATCTTAGTCAAGTTTATTGCTCAGGGTTCATTTGCAGAAAACAAAAGAGGCTTTTAACTAATTTAAGCAGAAAGAAATTTATTACAGAATGTTACATGGCTCACAGAGTTGTTGGGAAGGCTAAAGAAACAGACTAGGTGGAATATCCAGGAATGATTTCCAGAGCCACACAATGAGTGGGCCACCAAGGAGGCTGATGTTCCTGCTATTATCAGGAAAGCTGCCTATTGAGTCAGGATGCTACCAATAAAGCTGCTGGCTCCAGAACCGTGTCTTGCATTCTGCCTTTCTTCCGACTTAACATTGTTCCCTATACAAAACTCATGCGAATGTGTTTGATTGACTGATAATAAATCACGTCTGGAACCTAGCTCAAGGGAATCTGAGAAATGCAGTTTTTAACTTTGCAGCTTATGTAGTCCAGGAAGATACAGTAGATGAAGATAGGAATACCACGTGTGAGTGAGCCAAATCCAGTATATGCCGTAAGTACCAACTGCTGTTAGCTCCAGTTTACTCACCTGGGGGACTTGGTGACTTGCTGGGTGCAGGGGTGGGAGTGAGGAACTGAGAGATAAATGGGTGGTCTGATACTCTAGTAATCCACTAAAAAGTTGAGGGTGTCCTGGGCTCCCCTGGGAGTGCCGTGGGCTTGGGCTGGACAGGTCGTGGGGAGAATGCTGGGTAGGTGGGTGCAGCTGCAGCCACAGGGGAGCCAGAGTGTGCAGCATGTGTCCAGCGTGAGCCTCCCGAGCTTCCACCTGGGTCACATAGTCTTTGTGCCCCTGGGAAGCCTCTAGAAGCCACACAGAGGCCCATAGCAACTCTCATGCCCTGGAGTGTCTCACCAGCCACTCCAGTGATGGGCCCTCCAGTGGCTCTGGGACCCAAACAGGGATGATTCACAAAGTCCCTACCGAGCACAGGCCTTCACAGTTCAACAAGAAAATCCTACTGTTGACTGGATTTTTAAAAATCAGTGGAGGAGGCCGGGCGCGGTGGCTCACGCCTGTAATCCCAGCACTTTGGGAGGCCGAGGCGGGTGGATCATGAGGTCAGGAGATCGAGACCATCCTGGCTAACAAGGTGAAACCCCGTCTCTACTAAAAATACAAAAAATTAGCCGGGCGCGGTGGCGGGCGCCTGTAGTCCCAGCTACTCGGGAGGCTGAGGCAGGAGAATGGCGTGAACCCGGGAAGCGGAGCTTGCAGTGAGCCGAGATTGCGCCACTGCAGTCCGCAGTCTGGCCTGGGCGACAGAGCGAGACTCCGTCTCAAAAAAAAAAAAAAAAAAAATCAGTGGAGGAGATCACACTAGAAATGATAGATACTGCAAGAAACAAAGCTTGAGTGAAAGCTTGTTACCGTAATGAATGGACTCACACATATCACTGCTTTGCAGTGATAGCATCAGCCAAAAGGGCTGCGAACATGAATCATTAACAAGTTGAAATATGTCAAAGATGGCTGTGTGGTGTGAAGAAGCTGCATCAGCTGCACAGGCTAAGCCTAAATGATATTCCAAATGGCAGAGTGTCCACCTGAATACCATCACTGTAATCAGTAACAATAAAAGATAGGGAAAACTGAATTATTTTTAAGGTTGAAATGATTTTAGCATGACAGTTTGTTCTCTTGCCACCGTACATTGAATCATATACTTGATGTTTATTGTGTGCCTGTGATGTGCCAGTAACAGTACTCTCAACTAGGAGTCACCAAACTACAGCCTGTGGACCAAAGCTGGCCTGTTGCCTGCTTTTGTATGTAAGATCTGATTGAAGCACAGCCACGCTCATTTGTTTAGGTATTGTCTATAGTTGCTTTCATGCTACAATCACAGAGCTGAGTAGTTGCCACAGAGACCATAAAGTTACTATTTTACCTTTTACAGAAAAAATTTGCTGACCCTGCTGTAAGTTCTGGGCAGTCCACAGCTCTGTAAGCGGAGATTCCAGTCCTTTCTATATCTCTTGTGGAGCGATTTCTCTTCTCCCTCAACAAAGTGTTTAGTTTTGGAGGCCACTGAATGAGGTTGTTGGCCCTGAGCCCAGTAAAATAAAGTCTACTTCCTGACTCATCCCCACGTAAATAAACATTTAGATTTTGTCCTTGACAGTTTTATCCTGTTGGCACTAAAGCAAGTGCAAAAGGCACAAAAGCTAGCCAATTTGGTGATCAGCTGCAGTGCTGGCTCTTAGAAGGTACTCGCCTTCATGGTCTGGGTTTCCTGAGATGATAGTCTTGCTAGGCAGTGGCCGGCCAGATCACTGTCCTAAGTTCGGGGCTCTGTGTTTCTAGCTTGAGTGTGTATTCAGGAGCACAGGCAGAATGGTGAAAAATCTGGAAAGGGAAGCAGATGGACCATAGCAGTGCGGGCACCTGCGACGCTTTACAACCATCATTGCAGACATGAAGTAATTTGCTAAGAAGAGGCAGAACGAGGATTTGAGTTCAGCTTTGTCAACTCTAAAATCCATATTCTGTGATGTGCAGTGATTTACAGGGGATTCCTGTATCACATGAGATTAGATCAGTTGACCCCTGGGGTTCTCCACAACTTACACTTTCTGAGTTGTTATGGAGTGAAATGTTAGCCTTTCATACAGAAGGTTCTCTGATGAGGACTGGAGCCATGTATTTGTTAGTATGAGTGTAAAACAAATTTCACTGTCATACACAGTGCCCTGTTTTGTAATCCAAACAGCCATTTAACCCAATGAAGAGCTCACCTATGAGCCAGATGCTGTGGCTTGCACCTGTAGAATTGTTGTGAAGATGATTGTAATGATATGTGGTAAAAGCATTTTGAGAATATCAGTTACATAGATAATAGTTGGACATTTATGGCTGTTTGCTTTAAAATTTAAACTAACTGGCCGGGCGCGGTGGCTCACGCCTGTAATCCCAGCACTTTGGGAGGCCGAGGTGGGCGGATCACGAACTCAGGAGATGGAGACCATCCTGGCTAACACGATGAAACCCTGTCTCTACTAAAAATACAAAAAATTAGCCAGGCGTGGTGGCGGGCGCCTGTGGTCCCAGCTACTCGGGAGGCTGAGGCAGGAGAATGGTGCGAACCTGGGAGGCAGAGCTTGTGGTGAGCAGAGATCACACCACTGCACTGCAGCCTGGGCGACAGAGCGAGACTCCATCTCAAAAAAAAAAAAAAAAAAATTTAAACTAACTATGGTTTATTTAACATACTGGACATGCTCTTGACATTTTGTAACTAAATCAAATTTTATAAATGTAATCATGTTTAAACTCACTAGCAGGGTTGAAGGGGATTGTCTTTTAAGGAATGCTGCAGTCATTTGTCTGCTATTTCTCAGTATGAATAGTGACCTCCTGTTTTTCAAAGTTTACATTTTTGTGTTAAGTCCATGAAAGTGCTGTTGCTATACACACTGTTGTTTCAGGAACCATATCACCTTAGAAGTGTTCCATAATAGAGAATTGTTCTTTTGGAGTAAAATAGCTCATTATAACCTGAAACAGAAGGGGCTTCATTTATCAGAGATAGAAAGAAATGTACTACTTTTCTTATGGGAATTCTTTTACACACTAACCATTGAAGAACATGGGATTTTTTAGTTGAATTCTTTAAAATCCTCTTTTTGCTTTGAAACTTTTATTGTCTTTAGGGAGAGTGCCTATTGTGTAGTATTGGAACTGGTCTAGTAATTAAAGAGTAGAAATACACGTTTGTAATCTGTCATCATCTAGGTGCAGGAATAAAGATGGCGTTTTAGAAGTCACCAAGACTTTGTATTTATTTTGTATTTCCTAACATTCCTTTTTGCTCTACTAAGCTACTAAGAGACATAATTATAAATTTGATTTTTAGAGATTCTAAGAGATTGAAAAAAATAAACTGCATTTGATTTGCACATCCAGAATCTTTTTGACTATCTTTAATAGTGATTTAAATAATTAATTCAGCCTATTGTGTAAGCTTAAAAAGAATCACTCTATGTAAATGTGTTTACACATAGTGGCATAGTGGCATCATATAGATTGCTAATGTGTGTGTTCCTGGGAGGAACTGTTTTGCTCTGCCTGATAGCATCTAAAGAAAAGTGGCCCAGTGTATCCAGTTGTTGTTTTTTTTTTTGGAGATGGAGTCTCCCTCTGTCGTTCAGGCTGGAGTGCAGTGGTGCGATCTCGGTTCACGGCAACCTCTGCCTCCGAGGTTCAAGCAATTCTCCTGCCCCAGCATCCCGAATAGCTGGGACTACAGGCGCGCTCCACCAGGCCTGGCTAATTTTTTGTATTTTAGTAGAGATGGGGTTTCACTGTGTTGCCCAGGCTGGTCTCGAACTCCTGAGCTCAGGCAATCCACCCACCTTGGCCTCCTAAAGTGCTAGGATTACAGGTGTGAGCCACCGCGCCTAGCCGTATCTAGTTTTAAATTAGTTTTGGTCTCATCTGTGTTTGATGTAATTAATAAATAAATGAAAAGAGTTTAATAGCAAATAAATAAATGAGATGCAATATGATATGGTTAAAAAAATACTTTTGGAGTCAGAGCTGACTCTGTCTAGTTCATGTCGTTTTGTTGTTTATTCTGTGACCTTAGGCAAGCCACTTAAATTCTGATCTTTAGTTTCCTGTTCAGTGAAATAGGATTAATTGCAATTCATATTGTGAGGATTAAGTGAGCTCAAGTAAGGAAACAGCTAGCACAGTACAGTGCACATAGAATGTGCTCAGTGTACCTTTCTCATTAGAGCCCGTAGTCTCCTGATGGATGTCTAGACTGAGGCTTCCTAAGAATTGTGAGCATAAAGTGACAAAGAGAGGAAACACTGGGACACAGGATTTTTCCCAGAGCTAACAAGTTTCCATTTTTGTTTGTACAGAAGTTCAGATTTCTTATGGCTAATTGTGTTGGATTGGGTTACATCTTGTTCTGTGCACTTCAGAACAACTGCTACAATTCTGGGGCAGGGGAATAAAATAACATTTGGAATCAGTTAGTTAATGTACAGTCAGTTGGTCTGTATTCTGTATAATTGTCGTAGAAGGCAGAATCTTCCTGGAGAGGAAACACAAATGCTTCTGAAGTAGAATACTTCAGGGCTGTCTCTTACAAGAGAAAAATCAGAGAAGTGAAAGGAAGAGACCATCTGGCCACCAAACTCATACTTCACAGTTGGGCTTAGCTAGTCTATGGTCTTGGCTTTCATTGTGCTGGGTTCCCATGCTTTGGGTAGGCCCTCCAGGACCAGTTCAAGCAACCCAAATGAATAAGAAGTGATATATATCATACATTAATTCTTCAATCACTTTGAGAGTAATTTACTCTTTGCCCCTTTGTAGGCATCTCCTTCTTGATGTCAAAGTCCCCAGGAGGCATCGTTAACTATCATAACGTTACCCACCAAGCATGAGATGGGAGGAAGTGGCATAGTCCAGTGGACAGTTTTTTCCAGGCTACTGTGAAACCTGATGTGTTATGCCGGCTCTGAAACAGACAGCTTCCCAAGTGACTCAGACCTTAAGGTTTCCCACAGTTTCCATTTCTATTCAGAATTTAATGTTGCTATTAAAAAGTAATGAGGCAGCTTTCTATGAATGCTGAGATGGTTAGGTAATACACAAACACACACACACTCACATTCCTCCCCTAAAAAAGAAGAAAGCAAAGAAAACCAGTACTTTTTGTAAATGCATGGCATATCTCAAAATTCAAAAGAAACTGGTAATAGTAGTTGCCTCTGGGAAGGTATACAGGGTGGCAGGGCTACAGGGCACAGGCGTAGGAAGGGGGACTAATTTAATTTAATTTAATTGTATATCCTTTGAATGCTATACCTTAAGTATGTATTAACTATTCAAAAAAACTAAATTTTTTTTTAAAGAACATCTGTTCTTTAAAGTCATAGAACATTTTCATCACTCCAAGAAGTTCCTTCTTGCCCCTTTGCAAAGTTGTTTGGCTTTTCCAAGCCTCTGTGAAACCCCAGGAATTCAAGGAGGCCATGGAGAAGAATCCACTTTTCTATAGTAGCAAAATATGGTGAGGAAAGAGAAGTGATTACTCCTAAAAAGAACACATAATTGTTGGTTATTCAATGACAAGGAGTGACAGTGTAGGTAAGGGGCCCAGAGCCAGAACCCAAGGCAAGTGTGTTTAATAACAGGAAAAAAGCTAAATAACTTTTGGTACAGCTACCTAGCAGTATATTCTGCAGTCATTAATTCTTTATGAAGAATTATACAACAACATGACAAAATACTTAGGGTGTAATGTTATGTACCGAAAAGAAGGGGAGCCAATCATAATCCCAAAAGATAGTCCAGAACATCATAGTCCTAAACTGTTTAAATTCCAAAAGACTAAAATCCCTAAAGTCTAAAATCCGAAAACCACAGCCCAGAAAATATCAAAATCCCCAAAATATAATTATGGAAGAAATAGTTTTAAAAACTTAAAGATATTTATTTTTTAAAGGGGAACTTATTTGAGAAACATAAAAACACAACAGAATACTTTATACACCACTTAATATAATAAAACAGACAATAATAACATACATTTTTGCAAGCATAAACACTCAGGTTACTAATAACATTTGGGTGGGTCTAACAGTTATGAGCAGATGAGCCATATTTATAAAGAAATTGGTCATAAAGGGAAAGGTATAAATGCATATCCCTTTGGTTGTTAATTGTGTATACCCAGCTTTTTAACTCTGGTCATCTGAAATACTGTGCCCAACAACCTCAAGTCTTTTGATGAGATTGATGGAAACTGTGCTGGGTCACCACTGCATATGCAGTCACCCAAAGAGCTGAGATCTCAAGAAATTTTATCTTTCACAAATGCAGATGTACGAAAAGGATATCTCATTTATCGAGGAAGTTTCAACATTTTATGTACACACTCAATGCTTATACACAAAGTCAGTATTGTGATAATGCACTTTCATGGAGTCAGATTTCTGATATCCAAGCAGCAGAACCCAGAGAGTCCGTTTTGCTATTTTGCGTTTTTTTTTTTTTTTTTTTTTTTTGAGACAGAGTCTCAGCTTATCACCCAGGCTGAATACAGTGGCTTGATCTTGGCTCACTGCTGCGACCTCTGCCTCTTGGGTTCAAGCAATTCTCCTGTCTCAGCCTCCCAAGTAGCTGGGATTACAGGTGTGCACCACCACGCCTGGCTAATTTTTGTATTTTTAGCAGAGACAGGGTTTTGCCATGTTGGTCAGGCTGGTCTCGAACCCCTGACCTCAGGTCATCCACCCACCTCGACCTTCCAAAGTGCTAGGATTACAGGCATGAGCCACCGATCCCAGCCCATTTTGTCTTAAGTATTTGTTCTCTCCTGGCCACTGGCTGATTGGATGGTGCCCGCCAACATTGAGGGCAGATAGTCTCCACCTAGTACACTCAGATTTATACACTAATCTCTTCGGAAACACTCTCATAGACACACCCTCAATGTGTAAAACAAAATAATGTTTTACCAGGTTTCTGATATTCCTTAATCTGGTCAAGCTGATACCTAAAATTAGGTCCACAAGTCCACCCCTTGTCAGCTTGGCACTCATACGCATCTCCTTAAGCCATATTTAATTTCCAAATAAAGACAATAACATGGTAATAGTTGTGCCTAACATGATACAACTGACATGATGCAACTATCCTGCATGCAAGCCAAAACACACTAATCACTTCCCCAGAATTTGGATGTCAGGATTTCAACATTTGTGATTGTATGTTTTGGGATTATGATCTAATCCCCAAACTTAATTCTGCTTTCTGACTACAACTGTCAAAAAACATGCATAGAAGAAATGATTAGAAGTAAATATTCCAGAAATTCCTATAGTTTATCTGTAGTTGAGACCTACCACTGTTTGATAGCCACCAGATACATGGGACTCTTGAGCACTTGAAAAGTTGTTAGTCCAAACTGAGATGTGTTATTAAGTGCAAAATACACACTGGATTTCTCAGACTTAGTATGAAAAGAAAATGTAAACTATCTAATTAATAATTTAAAAAATACTGCGTGGTGAAATGTTAATATCTTGGATATACTGGGTTAAATAAACTTTTTTAAAAAATTAGTCTTTGTATCTTCAAAATTAACTTACATCTTTGTAATTTAAAAACTGTGGCTATGAGAATATTTAAAATTATATATAGCTCATGTTATATTTCTATTGGACAGTGTTAGTCTAGGTTTTCTGTAATGTCATTTGATTACATCTGTAATTCAGAAGGACTGAGAAAATAAGAGGCTGTCACAGAAGTTTGTGCAAGAGATGAGGTCATGTGGATGGATAGGTGAGGAGAGAGATGGAAGGTAAAATCGTGGCTCTTAGTGGTGGTTTTGAATGTAGAAGATTGAAAGAGGGAGAAATCTAGGAAAGCTGCTTGATTTCTAGTTGAATATGTTGGTAAAGTGGTTGGGGCTTATAACATAATGAGCATAGGGGAAAAGAAAAAAGAACCACAGTCAAGGAAGAAGTATCTAGGTGGCTTGGGTTAGTCCAGTGGCTCTGGGAACAAGGAGTGCCTAGAGCCCAGAAGGAAGCTGGCTTGCCTGCGCATTCTGGTGAAGGTTTCATGGTTCCTGTCCTCTGCTTCCAGAAGCACTGATCTGGGACACAGAGCCTTTGGGCCAAGAATTGGATCAAATGGATGGGAATTCATTTAGCCCAAACCATTAGTCTCATCTTTCTCCATAATAGATACAGCTTATTGGGTTAAAAGAATAAGATTAATTGAGAAGTCCTGTTCATGGTAGACTTTCAAAGGAAAACAAAAATGTAAATTCCAAATGATATGCCAGTCTTTGTGACGTCGGTATTCTGTTCCCTCCTGATTTGTCTGTGTAGGCCTTGCAGGAAAAGTCGTGGAATGTAGCTGCCCCTTCGTATTTGAAGCAGAGTGATTTGGCCTCAGCAGCAGCGAAACAGGTAAGCTTATTCAGACCTTCCCTTCAAACAGGTCTCTGTCCAGGAATTGTCTGGTCCAAGGCGGAGCCAGAGGCCTTCCTGTAGCTCTGTACCTCTGCTGTGGCCTCCCTAATTTTAGGCTATGACAGAAGTTAGTGATATGAGAAGGAGCATAACTAGGGGACGCAGCACTCACTGTGGACTCAGGGGACCTGGGTCCTAGTCCCAGGTCTTCCTCTGATTTGCTGAGTGATATTGAGCAAGTTACTTAAATTCCCTAGATTTTTTCTCTTCTATAAAATGTGGCAGTTGGGCCAGGTGCGGTGGCTCACACCTGTAATCCCAGCACTTTGGGAGGCTGAGATGGGCGCATCACTTAAGGTTAGGAGTTTGAGACCAGCCTGGCCAACATGGTGAAACGCTGTCGCTACTGTCATGAATCTTTCATCTGAAAATGTAGCCCAACTCAGTTAAGGTTGTTTATATCTTTAGCCTGTACCATCTCTTCAACGTTAAAAGGTCCTGGGTAGTTCATTAAGTAGGCTTTAATTTTATTTGTCTCTAGTTTATTTCTTTTTAGCTTTGAGCCGTTCCCCTTTGCACCTAAGTATTGAGACTTGGTGATCTCTTGCAGGTCAAGTCTTCCAAATAGGAAGTCTGTAAATGACCCAGGAGAAAGCTAATGATGGTGACTGTTATTGTTACATTACAGTTCACTAAATGATTTCAAGTCTATTAGCTTAATTAACCCTCATAATAATCCCATTAGATAGGAATAAGTATTAAGTCTATTTTAGAGATGAGGCAGTTAAGGCTCAGCAAGGTTAAATTCATAGAGCTATAGGTAATACAGTCAGGACTTGAGACCAGATCCTCTGATACCCAGAATCTGTTTTCTACTACAGTGCTGAACTCTTATCTGATCCAGACTCTTTCTCAGACCTGGTATGTGGCTTATTGTAGAAGAGTAGCATTTAATGACTAGAACCCGATAATTGAGCCACATTGGAAGGATGGGACCAGGGAGCAATAATTTGGAAGGAAAAGAGGAAAGGAATTACCATTGCTGTATACCAGATACTGTGATAAACACATTGCATGCTCCATTTGATACTTGAAACTTCATGATATTGGTACTGTTTCTTCCCTGTTTACAGAAAGGGATTGAGACAGTCATGTAATTTAACTTGTCTTATTGCCAATTGTAAGAGAGTCTGGAGTCGTTTCCGTGACCCTAGAGTGTTCACTGGGAGGCAAGCACAGAAGAAAAAGAGAAGCATCATTTTGATGAAAATCGCTTATTTGGATGGAACCAAGCAAGATCGGGGACTTGATCTGGGGTCATAGACAATGTTTTCTTGCACTTATTTCCGTCCCAAACTCCCTCAGACCAGGCCCATGGAACAGTCTGTCAGGATAACTAACATATGGTTAATAGTTCCTGATGCTTAATTCTTGAGGACTTTGTGGGGATTGGGTTTCCATACATAATATATATTAATTTGTTCCCACAGCAGAGTGGGCTTCATTTAGGGTAAGAAGCAGTGCTTTCAGTGCTTTGCAGTTTGCTTAGTGATTAAACTTTCTTATCTTCACATCATCAACTAAGATGATTTTATTACCAGGTCAGTCTTCTTTTTAAATAGGCAAAATAATTTATTCTCTTTTTACAAGGCATACTATACTAATTTCTTTCCACACTTAAAAGCATAGGGATGTAAAATCTCAGTTAAGAGTTTCACCTAAGGTCATTTAACAGTAGAATTCTATGCTGCTCTCAAGTAAGACTATGATATTTTTATTGATTGTTAATTATCTTTTCTTTATCGATTATGGAAGAGACCTACAAAATGGAATTCATGTAGAGTGGTGTGGAGAATAAGCAGGTGGTGATTATACATCACATGAGGCTGCAGGCCAAAGCTTTGCAACTTATAATAACAGCACGAACTACACGAGGGTAAGATGTGGGGTTGGCCAAAATATGTGGCATGTTCCTTTCAAAGATACTTCGAATGCATTCAGACATCACACGAAAGTTAATGATAAGTAAAATGAAATTTAGGAAAGACTAGCTAAGGAATGTGTGATCTATTCATTTTTTTCAGATATTACAAATTCTGTTGTTGGATCAGATTAGACCCTTGGAAATCCAATTGTGCGTCTCCCTTGCTGAAAACCCTCTGGTGACTCTCCATTACATATAGCACAACACTGGACTTTATCTGGCAATAAGGACATTCTGTATCCTCCTACTTGATAGATTTCCTCAAGAATTTAGTGCCAGGGACCACTTTTTCTGTTCTGAAGGGACTAATAAGCTTTTTCTCAGGCAATAAGGATAAATTAAGAGGATGTACTGGGAAGTCAGACTACTTTGTTCAAATCTTGTCTTTTCTACTTACTAGTTGTTTGGTTATGAACCTTTCTGTACCTTGTTTCCCTGTACAAAATGAAAATGAAGACAGCATCTACCTCATGGCATTTCTATGAAGAATAAATGAGATAATACAATATAAAAACACTTAGCATGGTACTTGATACGTAATAAGAGCTCAGTATAATTATAGCTGTAAGACTTTCAGATAACTGGAATTGCCACATTTCATTGATTCCAAGATACACATTTTTTATTATTGTAACTTCTCTGAAATCAGATATTTTGATGGTGTTCCATAGTGTTTTTTGTTTCTTACTATTTCATAAAATAAAGGTGCATCTTAAGAATGATGGCATCATAGATTTGATACAAAAAAGTACTTAGGTGACTCATTGCCAGCTCACAGACATGTTTGATGCTCAGTCCAGCTGCTGTGTCAAAAAAAAGTGGCATAGAGATATAAATATGAATGTTTAAACACAGAAACATACTAGGTCAGAAATAACATCCTGAAAAATAAAATATTTTATTTCTTCACTTATCTTGATAGTGACCTCATAAAGTCAAAGAATCATTTAATCGTAAAGATATTCATATGTGGCCGGGTGCGGTGGCTCACACCTGTAATCCCAGCACTTTGGGAGGCCAAGGTGGGCAGATCACGAGGTCAGGAGATCAAGAGCATCCTAGCTAACATGGTGAAACCCTGTCTCTACTAAAAATACATAAAATTAGCTGGGCGTGGTGGCATGCACCAGTAGTCCCAGCTACTCGGGAGGCTGAGGCAGGAGAATCTCTAGAACCCGGGAGATGGAGGTTGCAGTGAGCCGAAATCACATCACTGCACTCCAGCCTGGGCAACAGAGCAAGACTCCATCTTTATAAAAAAAAAAAAAAGATATTCATATATTCATTTAACAAATGTTTAATCCCTACTATGTGCCAGTTATAGCTGAAAAAACAAAAGTGCTTGTGATGGCATCTATACTGTTTTTTAAAAAAGATTTTTTTTAGTTTATATATAATTGTTACAAAAATTAAAATATTACAGGGTAAGTGAAGGTTCTCTGGTAATTTACCACTTCGAAAACAGCTGCCAACATTTCATGTGTATACTTCCAGATTTTCCCAAACCGTATAAACATAGGTTATAAAGATGTGTACAATAACATAAAGGGGATCATACCATACTTTGCTGTTCTGCCTCCTATTCCTTTCACCCAACATTATAATATGCTTATCTTGTCGTGTCATTATATAAAGATACTAATGTTTTTAGGTCTTTATTCATGCTATAATATTTTATATTTTTCTTTTTTTTTTTCTTTTAGACAAAGTCTCGCTCTGTCGCCCAGGCTGGAGTGCAGTGGTCCAATCTCAGCTCACTGTAACCTCTGCCTCCTGGGTTCAAGCGATTCTCCTGCCTCAGCCTCCCAAGTAGCTGGGATTACAGGCATGCAACACCATGCCCGGCTAATTTTGTATTTTCAGTAGAGACGGGTTTCACCATGTTAGCCAGGCTGGTCTCGAACTTCTGAACTCAGGTGATCCACCCGACTCGGCCTCCCAAAGTGCTGGGATTACAGGCGTGAGCCACCGAGCCCAGCCTATATTTTTCATTTGTATGCGTTCCTGTTTTTTTCTTTTTTTTCTTTCTTAAGTTTTGCTAGATTGTTTTCTTTTGTCCTCCAGGGGTTTGAAAGTTATGCACCGTAATTCTAAACACTTCAAGTGAGAGGCAGTAGAACATACTGGTTAAGAGGGCTGTGGTGCCACACTGCTTGGGTTCACATCTTGACTTTACCATTTGCAAACTGAGTAACCCTTGGACAAGTTACTTAACACTTCTTGGCCTCAGTTTGTTCCCATAAGTTAAACTGAGATAATAGTAGTACCTGTCTCTTCCTCACAGGGGTATTGTAAGGGTTATTGAATTATTATATGCAAAACCATTTATTTATTTTATTTATTTATGAGACAGAGTCTTGCTCTATCACCCAGGCTGGAGTGCAGTGGCACGATCTCAACTCACTGCAACCTCTCGTTCCCGGTCCAAGCAACTCTCATGCCTCAGCCTCCCAAGTAGCTGGGACTACAGGCCCATGTCACCACACTCAGCTAATTTTTTTATTTTTAGGAGAGATGGGGTTTCACCATGTTGGCCATGCTGGTCTCAAACTCCTGGCCTCAAGTGATCCACCTGCCTCGGCCTCCCAAAGTGCTGGGATTCCAGGCGTGAGCTACTGTGCCTGGCTGGATTATTATATGCAAAGCCTTTAAAATAGTGTCTGTCACATCCATTATAAATACTTGATACATGTTAACTAATATTAGTTTTAGTAATACTGTTATTACTTATATTTTTAATGAACATATTGAACTTATATTTATCAGCATAAAAAGTTAAACAGAATTTATGGTCACCTCTCTAAGATCAAGGTGATCTAAGAGATCAAGATGATCTAAGATGAAGATGAAGATTTTAGTATGCTTTTGTTTGTCTCTTACTGCTTAAGTAATTTGGGCCAGTTGGCTGGGTGCAGTGGCTCACGCCTGTAATCCCATCACTTTGGGAGGCCAAGACAGGTGGATCACGAGGTCAGGAGTTCAAGACCAGCCTGGCCAAGATGGTGAAACCCCATCTCTACTAAAAATACAAAAAATTAGCCCGGCGTGGTGGTGGGCGTCTGTAATCCCAGCTACTCGGGAGGCTGAGGCAGAAAACTGCTTGAACCCAGGAGGCGGAGGTTGCAGTGAGCCGAAATCGTGCCACTGCACTCCAGCCTGGGTGACAGAGTGAGACTCCATCTCAAATAATAATAATAATAATAATAATAATAATAATAATAATAATTCAGGCCAGTTAAGGTCTCTTACTGAGCAAAAAATAATAATAGCAATTTGGGCTAGATGCAGTGGCTCATGCCTGTAATCCCAGACTTTAGGAGGCGAAAGCAGGAGGATCGCTTGAGCCCAGCCAGGAGTTTGACCCCAGCCTAAGCAACATAGTGAGACCCTGTCTCTAAAAAATAAAAATCAAAAATTAGCTGGACATGGGTGGTGTGCACCTGTGGTCCTAGTTACTTGGGAGGCTGAGGTGGGAGGATCCCTTGAGCCCAGGAGTTCGAGGCTGCAATGAGCTATGATCATGCCATTGCACTCCAACTTGGGCAACAGAACAAGACCCTATGTCTTAAAAATAATAATATGGCTGGGTGCGGTGGCTAACGCCTGTAACCCCAGCACTTTGGGAGGCTGAATCGGGTGGATCACGAGGTCAGGAGATCGAGACCATCCTGGCTAACATGGTGAAACCCCGGCTCTACTAAAAATAAAAAAAAAATTAGCCGGGCGTGGTGGCAGGTGCCTGTAATCCCAGCTATTCGGGAGGCTGAGGCAGGAGAATGGCATGAACCCAGGAGGTGAAGCTCGCAGTGAGCTGAGATCCCACCACTGCACTCCAGCCTGGGTGACAGAGTGAGACTCCGTCTCAAAAAAATAATAATAATAATAATTAATAACTTGGAGGTTTGTTTCAGCTGATTATGTTTTTATAATGTAGCTTATATTAATTTTTATGTTTATAAATATAATCTTTTAAAGTTATAAGTACATAATCCTTGTATATCCTTGTTTATTTTTATTTTTAATTTTTTTATAAAATATTTTTTATTTTTAAAAATAGTAGAAACATGGTTTCACTGTGTTGCCCAGACCAGTCTTGAACTCCTGAACTCAAAGTATCCTCCCACCTCGGCCTCCCAAAGTGCTAGGATTACAGACGTGAGCCACCACTTATAATCTTTATAAGTTTAGCTCCAACTTTGCCACCACTGTTCTCTGTCACCTTTTAAATTCCTTTGCTCTCATACATAAATGGAATTCTTTTCCAATATTTCCATATTGCTATGGTGCCTTTATTTATTTATTTTATTGGGCAACCCCCGCCAAACCAGAATAGGTTCATAGAGACTCTCTGCCTTTGCTATGTTCCCTTTTAGTATTTAATGTTACAGTTGAATGTTTTATGTCAGTCTGGTTCTCTTCCCTACAGCTTATTTTTCATGCTCAAACCTTTAAAATTTTCTTTCTTTCTTTAATTTCACCAGGATATATCTAGGTATGTGTTTTCTTTCAATATTCTTGCTGACCTTCGGTGGGAGTTTGAAGTATCAGCTGTTTTTAGCTCGGGGATTTTTTTTTTCTCCATTATTTCTTTACTTCTTCTATACACTCTAGTCTGTCATACTAAATGTTGGATTTTCTGGATCTATTTTTCCTATACCTTTTCTTTTGTAATTTCAATTTCTTTGTTTTTCTATTCTATATTCTGAGTAAATTCTTTTTTTTTTTTTTTTTTTTTTTTTTTTTTTTTTTTTTTTTGAGATGGAGTTTTGCTGTTGATGCCCAGGCTGGAGTGTAATGGCACAATCTCAACAATCTCAGCTCCCTGCAACCTCCACCTCCCTGGTTCAAGCGATTCTCCTGCCTCAGCCTCCCAAGTAGCTGGGATTACAGGCATGTGCCACTGCACCCGGCTAATTTTGTATTTTTGTAGAGACAGGGTTTCTCCATGTTTGGTCAGGCTGGTCTTGAACTTCTGATCTCGGGTGATCCGCCTGCCTCAGCCTCCCAAAGTGTTGGAATTACAAGCATGAGCCACTGTGCCTGGCCAGTAAATTCTTTAATATGCTCTTTTTAGTTTATCATTTCAGTTTACATTGTTGTTGATTCCACTGTTCTTAACTGTTGAGTTTGATTTCATTATTATGTGTTTTATTTCCAAGTGTGCTTCTCTACTATTTTTTTCCTTTTTTTTCTGCTGTATAGTTTCTCTTCTTGTCATCTGCTGTTTCTGTAGCAGTTTCTCTTGCTTTGTCAATGTAATATCCTTTTAAATCCCTGTTAACTCTCACTGAGGTTGTTGATTAGAATTTTTTAAAAAGTTTTCTGTGCTTTCTTGCCTTGACTTAACTCTTTTTGAGGACTGCTTGGTCTCCTTTACAGCTCCTGATTGTCATTTATAACACCTAGTCATTTTCCATTGTCTTTGCCTACTTACAGTGAAAGTCTAGACTAGTTTAAATTGGTAATTTGTATTCTTTAATGATTGTTAGCCCCCGAGTGAGCCTCACTTTCATAGCTTTCCTTCCCTCACACCAAAGGAAAAGTAGGAGATCTTAGTATTAGAGGCCTACTTCATGTATATGGCCTGTTGATGAGGATGCCTGCTCTTTTTTGACATCTGGGGAGAGTTCCCAAATCTTTTTGTATTTTACTTCCTGGAGTCTCTCCAAGATGATTCTCTATATAATCAGGCAAACAAATGAGGAAATGTCACTGCTTGGCCAAATTGCTTTCCTTTGTGCCCTTGCTTGGCTGGAATTCTCCCTTCTAGCCCTCTCACTCCTTGTGGTGTTTGGTGGGTAACCTCACTATGAAATTTCACTTCCATTTCTGGTAGAAGATTAGTTTAAAAACTTTCAAGTGCTACTTTTTTTTGTTGTTTTTTTTTTTCAGGAAAAGAATTAGAATGAATGTTGCTTCCAGAGTAGGTTTCCATTTGCCATCTACCCCCGGCCCCATTTTTTGTTCATTCAGCAAATACTTATTGAATGCTGCCTGTGCTAGGAAATATATGATGAAGAATACAAAGTCTACTCGTGGAGACTATATTTTAATAAAAAGACGAAACTTTGACATCATTCTCTTACATATTTTTACATAAGGAAAGAGTATTTGTTTTATCTTGGTGGGAAATTTTATTCCTCCAATGAATAATATATTAAAGAAAACAAGTGGGAAATTTCATGCAGAAATTACATACAAGAAATAGGAAGAAAATATACAAAGGTCAAAACTTAGTAAGTCACATTGACCTAGCATGTTGCCTGGATTATTTAGGTATGCAATAACTTTTTACTGAAATGGAATGTTCTCAAGTACTGTGAGGCCAAGTAATTCAAGATAGAGAGGAAGGAACACCATCCATGTCTGTCGGCAAAATAGTAGCAAAACCTTTTCCCCTCTTGCATAGGAATTTAGTTAACTTTTTAGGTATGTTTCTTGGAGCCCTTACAGTATCAACTACATTAGTAGGCTATACCGCTATGGAAAAAATGATCTCTGAGTAAATTGCATGTAGACCAGAAGGAAATATAAATGAACTAGTTTCCAGATGCCGATACAATGGCTGTAGGCTTCATTGAGTGCAGTGATTCTTGAAACTGGGTAGATCTTGCAGCAGTCCACACAGCTATCTGGGAGCTTTCATCCCAATGCTGACAGCTCATGTGCAAGGAGATGAGATCTAAATCAGATAGGTATAGAGACCATGCTAGCTGAGATGCTAATGAAGCAAGGACTCCTGAAGAAGGGGAACTTGACACTGTGCTGCCCACATGCTATGCTTCTCTTCTGTATTCGTAGTGAGTCTAGTGCCAAGTGTAGCCTCTGATAGTCTTTGATTTTTAATATTCTTTGAGCTTAATGGGCACTGCAGTGGTTTAATCAGGTCTTGGGATCCCGACAGGTGTTTCCCCCAGGTCCATTAGGAGTCTTCTGTTACTTTTAGAGATCGTTTTTATAGTGTAATATACTAATTTTCCTTTAATTTAGGCTCAGGTTTCTGGGACTTTTGGTCCTCCTCAGTTTGCAGATTTCACAAGCAAATTATTTTACGTTTCTTTTCTACAGACTTTACCCCTTATTTGGGATGTGTGAAAAATTTTTACAGGAAGTAGACTTTTTTCAGAGGTAAGTATTTTATAACTCTTCCGGCTTATAAAATCTTGGTTACACGGAGTATAGCACTTGCAGGCAATAGGAACAATCACAAATCACATTCCTTGGTTTAGCTTGTACAGCCAGGCTATCATCTGTGGCCATGTCGTTAACCTTAAATTAGGAAAAAAAAAACTAATTTGGTTTTTTTCTTAATATTATAGAAACTTCTTTGAAGTTGGAGCTTCAAAACTAAACCTACCAGGAATCACTTGCATTTAGCACTCAGCTAGGCCATAAAAACACAAGTAATATGAAGAAAACGTGTAAATACGTTTGTTGAAAAAAATCATTAGTCATCTGTTTTTTTAATACTGTTCGTTCACACCATTCTTATTTATTTATTTATTTATTTATTTATTTATTTATTTATTTATTTGAGACAGAGTCTTGCTCTGTCACCCAGGCTGGAGTGCAGTGGCGCAGTCTTGGCTCACTGCAGCCTCTGCCTCCTGGGTTCAAGTGATTCTTCTGCCTCAGCCTCCCAAGTAGTTGGGACTACAGGTGCCTACCACCACACCTGGCTAATTTTTGTATTTTTAGTAGAGACGGGGTTTCATCATGTTGGCCAGGCTGGTCTCTAACTCCTGACCTCAAGTGATCTGCCTGCCTTGGCCTCCCAAACTGCTGGGATTACAGGCATGAGCCACCACCGCGTCTGACCTCATTATTATTTTTTGAGACAGGGTCTCACTCTGTCACCCAGACTGGCACAGCTCACTGCACCCTTGAATTCCTGGGCTAAAGCTATCATCCTACTTCAGACTCCTGAGTAGCTAGGACTACAGGCATGTGCCACCATGACTGGATAATTTTTAATATTTTTTTTTAGAGATGGGGTCTTGCTGTGTTGCTCAGGCTGTTCTCAAACTCCTGGCTTCAAGAGATCCTCCTGCCTCTGCCTCCCAAAGTATTGGGATTACAGGTGTGAACCACTGCACCAGGCCCACACTGTTCTTATACTTGCATATTTCTCTGTAATCTACAATTGTTTTGTAATTCTGTAGGTAAATTTTATTTTGTAGAATACATATATTTTTTCAGAGTTTTATATGGAATGAATCTGTTAAAGCACATGCAGTAGTTGAATGGAAAGCTTGATGAAGAAATAGGAGTCAAGGGAGTGACCAGACTTCTGGTATGCTGGTAGAATAATACTGGGAGAAGACATAGGATCTTAAAGCACTGATGAAGTCTGTTTCATTTCTTCCGCTCATTGTCTCTGCCCTCATGAAGTTCACCAAACCTGAGGTTTTTGTGACTCTGTACTTGTCATTGGGGTGATGATAGCTTCTTACAGGGCTGAGTTGCAACGCTACCTTCACCAGCAGGTAATGCTGTCTAGCAAACTGTACCATCTAGCTTGGCTTTTTAAGATCCTAGTTTTGAGGCTGGGCGCGGTGGCTCACGCCTGTAATCCCAGCACTTTGGGAGGCCGAGGCAGGTGGATCATGAGGTCAGGAGTTCGAGACCAGCCTGGCCAACATAATGAAACCCCGTCTCTACTAAAAAATACAAAAAATTAGTAGGGCGTGGTGGTGGGCAGCTGTAATCCCAGCTACTCGGGAGGCTGAGGCAGGAGAATTGCTTGAACCCAGAAGGCGGGGTTCCAGTGAGCCGAGATCACGCCATTGCACACCAGCCTGGGCAATAGTGCGAGACTCCTTCTCAAAAAGAAAATAAAAAATAAATTCTAGTTTTGAATCTGAAATAAGTTCATGCCTTACTTTTGGCTTTAGATTCTTTAAAGTAGAGAGTCTGTTTTTGCACAGTTGGGTTGAAAAGATTTTTGGGAAGATGATAGCTCTGAATCCCCAAAGTTCTTCATCTGATGTTCTTAATTCATCCTTTGAGTTCCTGCACAGATATCACCTCCTCAGTGAGATATTTTTTGACTATCCACTGGCACGAGGCCCAAAATTGGATCAGTCTGAGCCAGGAGTAACGTACTTAACTTTTCTGAGCCTCAGTGAGGCATCATCCCCTCTGAGTCTCAGTGTTTTCTGCCACTTGAATGTAAGCTCCATTGAAGCAATCGTTTTGTTCTCTTTTGTTCACTGTGTTTCCAGAACCTAAAATAGTGCTTGGTGCTTCGTAGGTCTTAAAAATGTATTTGTTAAAATAATTAATGAATCTATAATATGAAAATAAAAATTCTAATGATGCTTAGGATTGCTGGGAGTTAAATAAGATCATGTAAAACACTTAAGAGTATGCCTG
This sequence comes from Homo sapiens, assembly GCF_000001405.40. Classification (NCBI taxonomy): domain Eukaryota; kingdom Metazoa; phylum Chordata; class Mammalia; order Primates; family Hominidae; genus Homo; species Homo sapiens. The sequence goes on from NC_000007.14 coordinate 65,212,061, forward strand.
GCACATAATGGTTATCAATAAACAGAGGCCTTTCTGATGATCATGTGACTGAGGCATGATTGTATAGGTACCAGTCTATCTTGGTCGTAAATTGCAAGCTCTTCTCACTTCATCATTCTTCCTACTTCAGGGTTTGGTAGGTGTCTGGGGCCCAGCCTGTGGTGAACGTGTGCACAGTTGAATGAGTCAGTTGCTTCTGTTTGTTCCTCCAGGTATTTCATCGCTGATTTGCCCCACTTGCAGGACAGCTTTGTGGACAAACTCCTTGACCTTATGCCCCGATTCATGACATCCAAACCTGCAGAAGTGGTCAAAATTCTACAGACCATGCTGCGACAGAGTGCCTTTCTGCATCTCCCACTTCCAGAGCAGGTCAGGGTCTATTTGGCCCCTGTAGGCCAAATCTGTCCAGACGGTCAAAAATCTTTACCTTGGTGATCTTCTTTGACCAATGGAGCAGCTGGGCTAGGCTCTTCCTCTGAGTGGCTCCCACATGCCCACTCATTAGATAAGGAGACAGAAAAAAGATGTGTTTTCTTGTCCAGGAATGACCTGGCTTTAGAATCATAGGATTTTCCTCTTGCTTACAGATCCACAAAGCCTCAGCCACCATCATTGAGCCAGCAGGCGAGTCAGACAACCCTTTGCGGTTTACCTCTGGGTTGGTGGTTGCCCTGGATGTTGATGCAACCCTGGAGCATGTGCAGGATCCTCAGAACACTGTTAAGGTCCAGGTCTGTCGGGTTTGGGTCCTCGTGGAGCTTCTAGACTGACCTTGTGTTGAAGTATTTAATGTTAGTACCCCTGTAGTCTCTACTTGAGGGACAGAAACTGGGACAGGAGAAGAAATGAGCTTCTGTGGGAAAGAACCTAGGCTTGAATCTCAACTACTGCTGAGTGTGGTTTGGAGCAAGTTACTTTAAACTCTGAGTCTCAGATTCTACAACTGACAAATAGGAGGAGTTGACATAAAGAGATAATGTATTTAAAGCCCCCAGGACCCAGTAAGCGTTCAGTAAATGATAAGACCTTTTCTAATCTTGTAATGTGACGTTAAGATTTGGTCTTTTGTTACAGAAAACTATAATAAACAAGTTCCTTTCAGGCTGTGAGTCAGTCAGCTGGCAGATAAAATTTATGGATGGGAAAAAGCGATTACTAGGAAATATTCTTTCCCAAGTTACATAGATGTAATAGAGACACATGAGAAATGTAGTAGAGACACTAATCAATTCAGACAGTGCAGTTAAGCCCCACAAAGAGTACTACTCCTTCATTCATCCATCTGTCCACTCATTCATCCTTCCTTCCATCCATCTGTGCAATCGTGTTTACTCTATTGCATGCACTAAGTGCTGTGGTTGCCAAGGTAAATATGTCACAGTTCTTCCTCTCAGGGTGTGCACAGTTTCACTGAGAGACATACAAATGGGCAGGCAATTATAAAACAGGGTTTGGTGAGTAGACATGCACAGGATGGGTCATCTCCTAGACTGTCTCCTAAAAAACCCTTTCAAAGCACCTCTATCACATGCAGGGCTAAACCTTTTAGAGTATTCAATTTGGAGTGTGGTGGAGGCTCAGGAAAGGAAAGGAGAAGGGCACAAGGGATATGAGAGAAGGGCCAAAGGGATATGAGTCAAAGCAGGGATGCAAGCACTGGCAGGAAGTACAATAAGGGGACAGAAAAATAGGCTGGAACAGGCAGAGAAGGCTTCCTGGAGGAGGTAAGGATGAATCAGGCCTTGAAGATTACGCTTTTCGGCTATGGTGACAATAAAGGACTGGGCCTTCTGGCTTCCAAGCAGAAATTATTATAAATTATGAGACCTGCAGAGAACTAGTTCTGAGCTAGCTGTGAAGTTGTATTGCATATTGGAGTGTTTTTGTTTTGTTTTGTTTTTTTCCACATTAGTGGTTGTCCACCTTCACTGCACTTTAGGATTACTCAGAAAGCATTAAGAACAGATGAATAGGTGTCAGCCTACATTAATTAAATCAAAATCCTGAGAATAGGGCCTATGGACACTAGTGTTTAAGAGTTCATAGGTGATTCTAATACGTAGTCAGTGATACCAGCAGAACTACTGTTTTACCTTGTCCCTGAAAAAAAACTTCACTGATCACCTGAGTGTAAAGGAGATTGTGGGCAGGTTACTTAAGGGTCATCTCCTAGACTGTCTCCTAAACCCCCTTCAAAGCACATCTACCACACGCAAGGCTAAACCTTTTAGATACCTTATAGGTAGAGGGACAGGAAACTCACTGCCCCATCGTGGGACAGGTCCAGTGCTTTGAAAGTGCCATCCAGTCCAGTCACCACACCCTGAGTCATTCCTCTGTTCCAGGCACTACTTCAGGTGCTCGATAGAGATATAGCAGTAAACATGCCTCAGAGATGACACTGAGATTACATTCCCCATTAAAATACTGTAGATCTGTTCTTTAAAGCAAAGCCTGCAGAACTCCATTCATTAACTATTTATTTTATTTTATTTTATTTTATTTTATTTTATTTTATTTTATTATTATTATACTTTAAGTTTTAGGGTACATGTGTACAATGTGCAGGTTTGTTACATATGTATACATGTGCCATGTTGGTGTGCTGCACCCATTAACTCGTCACTTAGCATTGGGTATATCTCCAAATGCTATCCCTCCCCCCTCCCCCCACCCCACAACAGTCCCCGGGGTGTGATGTTCCCCTTCCAGTGTCCATGTGTTCTCATTGTTCAATTCCCACCTATGAGTGAGAACATGCGGTGTTTGGTTTTTTGTCCTTGTGATAGTTTGCTGAGAATGATAGTTTCCAGTTTCATCATGTTTTATGGCTGCATAGTATTCCATGGTGTATAAGTGCCACATTTTCTTAATCCAGTCTATCGTTGTTGGGCATTTGGGTTGGTCCCAAGTCTTTGCTATTGTGAATGGTGCCGCAATAAACATACGTGTGCATGTGTCTTTATAGCAGCATGATTTATAGTCCTTTGGGTATATACCCAGTAATGGGATGGCTGGGTCAAATGGTATTTCTAGTTCTAGATCCCTGAGGAATCGCCACACTGACATCCACAATGGTTGAACTAGTTTAGAGTCCCAACAACAGTGTAAAAGTGTTCCTATTTCTCCACATCCTCTCCAGCACCTGTTGTTTCCTGACTTTTTAATGATCGCCATTCTAACTGGTGTGAGATGGTATCTCATTGTGGTTTTGATTTGCATTTCTCTGATGGCCAGTGATGATGAGCATTTTTTCATGTGTTTTTTGGCTGCATAAATGTCTTCTTTTGAGAAGTGTCTGTTCATATCCTCCGCCCACTTTTTGATGGGGTTGTTTGTTTTTTTCTTGTAAATTTATTTGAGTTCATTGTAGATTCTGGATATTTGTCCTGTGTCAGGTGAGTAGGTTGCGAAAATTTTCTCCCATTTTGTAGGTTGCCTGTTCAGTCTGATGGTAGTTTCTTTTGCTGTGCAGAAGCTCTTTAGTTTAATTAGATCCCGTTTGTCAATTTTGGCTTTTGTTGCCATTGCTTTTGGTGTTTTAGACATGAAGTCCTTGCCCATGCCTATGTCCTGAATGGTATTGCCTAGGTTTTCTTCTAGGGTTTTTATGGTTTTAGTTCTAACATGTAAGTCTTTAATCCATCTTGAATTAATTTTTGTATAAGGCGTAAGGAAGGGATCCAGTTTCAGCTTTCTACATATGACTAGCCAGTTTTCCCAGCACCATTTATTAAATAGGGAATCCTTTCCCCACTGCTTGTTTTTGTCAGGTTTGTCAAAGATCAGATGGTTGTAGATATGTGGTGTTATTTCTGAGGACTCTGTTCTGTTCCATTGATCTATATCTCTGTTTTGGTACCAGTACCATGCTGTTTTGGTTATTGTAGCCTTGTAGTATAGTTTGAAGTCAGGTAGCATGATGCCTCTGGCTTTGTTCTTTTGGCTTAGGATTGACTTGGCGATGCGGGCTCTTTTTTGTTCCATATGAACTTTAAAGTAGTTTTTTCCAATTCTGTGAAGAAAGTCATTGGTAGCTTGATGGGGATGGCATTGAATCTATAAATTACTTTGGGCAGTATGGCCATTTTCACGATATTGATTCTTCCAACCCATGAGCATGGAATGTTGTTCCATTTGTTTGTATTCTCTTTTATTTCACTGAGCAGTGGTTTGTAGTTCTCCTTAACATCTGTTAAGGAGATTAATTAACATCTGTTAATGAGAACTTTCCTCGATTAAATATTCTGTCATTGGAGATTGGTACATTTCTTTGTCAAGGGCAACAGTTTTTAAGCCATTCACATACACACGTTCCTGGGAGAAGTGACACTGGGGAGATTTTTTTTTAACCCCTGAAAATGAACATATTGGAGAATACATTCATGATCTCTCCACAGGCTCTAATAAAGGGGGGGAGACCTGGGTTCTGCACCTGGCCTTGTTGTCGTGGTTACGGTTGCTTTCAGGCAATGGCACCTGTTCTCCAGGTGTGTCTGGACTTGTACTTGCTTTAGCCATATATGGCCACCAGGGGGAGGAGTCACCCCACAGTTGCCTGGAGCGCCCTCGCTCTCCAAATTCACAGCTTGAAATGTCACCTGTGGCCGTCCTGCGGTCATCCACGGTTTTCTTTCTTACCTTTTCTTTCTTTCCTTCCTTCCTTCCTCCCTCTCTCCCTCCTTTTTCCTTCGTTCCTTCCTTTTTCTTTTTTTCTTTCTCTTTTCTTTCTTTCTTTCCCCCTCTCTCTCCCTTCCTTCTTTCTTTCTGTCTTTCTTTCTATCCTTCCTTCCTTCTCCCCTCCCCTCCCCTCCTCTCCCCTTCCCGACAGAGTTTCGCTCTTGTTGCCCAGGCTGGAGTGCAGTGATGTGATCTCAGCTCGCTGCAACCTCTGCCTCCTGGGTTCAAGCAATTCTCCTGCCTCAGCCTCCCAAGCAGCTGGGATGACAGGTGCCCACCATCAAGCCTGGCTAATTTTGTATTTTTAGTAGAGACGGGGCTTCCCCATGTTGGCCAGGCTGGTCTTGAACCCCTGACCTCCGGTGATCCATCCTCCTCGGCCTCCCAAAGTGCTGGGATTACAGGCGTGAGCCACCACAGCTGGCCATCCATGGCTATTTTCACCATGCCTCGCTTTCCCCTGTTGGTTCAGTCACCCTCAAAGGACAGAGCCTCTGTGCTATAGGCCTCCCCCCCGGATCTGTGCATTGCCTAATATGACTGGACCCTCCTCCCCACCCCCCATCCTGCCCCAGCTCCTCTGATGACATCATCGGCTCTGGAGCCACCACTCAGCTTTTTGCAGGAGGGTCCCCTCCCTCCAACCCCACTGGCCCCTCAGGACCCCACATCCCCCGGCACCGTCTGGTGCAGGGACTCTTTTTTCTCCTATACCCCACGTACTGTAGAATCTAAGGTAGGGTCTATATCCTTCATGGTTCCTGTGGTCGTGTCCAAGACCTTTCTCTTTCAAAGGCAGCGGAGTCACCTGCTGTCCCTCTCAGTGACTGCTGTCTGCTGGTCTTCCGCTTGCACCTCGTCATCCATTGAGGACTTGTGTTCCTGGCTGACTGCATTCTCATCCTTCTTGCCGTCTTGTAGAGCAGCAACCCCTCTACATTCCCCCAGCAGGTTTGCAACAGTGATTTCATACAAGACGTTGGTGTCGTCACCCACGTGGACAGGCCAGGCTACTCCCCGTCTCTCTGGGCACTTAGACTGCTGAAGCTCCAGTGAGCTTTTCCAACTTGCCTCTCAGCCACCACTCCCTGCCTGCGGTCACACCTGGGACCCTCCATCACCCAGAAAGGAGACTTCAGACAGCTCTCTGCTGACCTCTCTTCTCTTGCTCCAGAACTCTCCACTTGGCCTCCCCACCTCATTGTCACTCTCTCTGTGGTCATTGCCTTCCTTAATCATGGTTCATAATTAAAATCAACTCCTGCAGGGCGAGGTGGTTCACGCCTGTAATCCCAGCACTTTGGGAGGCCGAAGTGGGTGGATCACTTGAGGTCAGGAGTTCGAGACCAGCCTGGCCAAAATGGCAAAACCCCTGTCTCTACTGAAAATACAAAAATTAGCTGGGTGTGGTGGCAGGCGCCTGTAATCCTAGCTACTAGGGAGGCTGAGGCAGGAAAAATCGCTTGAATCCGGGAGGTGGAGGTTGCAGTGAGCCGAGATCACACCACTACACTCCAGCCTAGGCGACAGAGGGAGACTCCATCTCAAAAAAAGAAGAAAAAAAACCTCCTTTTTCTCTCTCTCTCCTGACATTGTTCCCCTGGGCAAGGGTGACATGAACAGGCTGGATCTCTTGCATCTGCATCTGGACAGCCAAGCATCACTGGGAAAGCACACACTCAGCTGCACTTTCACTTTATTTATTCATCTATTTATTCATTTACTTATTTATTTATTTATTTATTTTAGTGACAGGGTCTCACTCTGTCACCCAGGCTGGAGTGCAGTGGTGTGATCAGAGCTCACTGCAGCCTCCACCTCCTGAAGCGATCCTCCCATCTCAGGTTCTGTGGGAGCTGGGATCACAGGCGTGCACCACACCATGCCCATCTAATTTTCTAATTTTCTATAGAGATAAGGTCTCGCCATGTTGCCTAGGCTGCTCTTGAACTCCTGGCCTCAAGCAATCCTCCTCACCTCAACACCCCCAAAGTACTGGGATTACAGGTGTGAGCCACCATGTTTGGCTGTACTTTGACTTTTTTTTTTTTTTTTTTGAGACGGAGTTTTGCTCTTGTCGCCCATGCTGGAGTGCAGTGGCGCAATCTCAGCTCACTGCAACCTCTGTCTCCCGGGTTCAAGCAATTCTCCCACCTCAGCCTCCTGAGTAGCTGGGATTACAGGTGCCCACAACCCTGCCCAGCTAATTTTTATATTTTAAGTAGAGATGGAGTTTCACCATGTTGGCCAGGCTGGTCATGAACTCCTGGCCTCAGGTGATCCACCCATTTCAGCCTCTCAAAGTGCTGGGATTACAGGCGTGAGCCACCGCGCCTGGCCTGGCTGGACTTTCACTTTAAATTCAGACTTCAAGTGGGCTTCCTGGAAACCCCTCTACATTCCCCCAGGAGGTGAAGGGCCTGAACATCCCTTTTCTGCCAAAGGTGCGGCAAGAGCCTCTCCCTACCAACATCTCTCTTCAGTTCCAAGGATGAAACAGATAGTGGCCATAAAAAGAGCAGAGGACAGCAGGAATAAAATTACCTCAGGTACTGAGGTTACAAGCACTGCTGGCCACCAGTTGCTCACCTTTCTTCAAGAGATTAGACATGAACAAAGAATGATGAGGTCACAGGATAAGCAAACTCTATGTCTTTAGATCTGTACACAGTATAGGCCTCCAATGTTTAGAAACAGAGAAAATAGAAAAAGGCAAACTCATGTTGCTATTTGGCCTCGGCCCTAATGGTCAGGCTGTGGTTTTCTGTTTTCTCCTGTTGTATGTGGTGCTGTGTGAGTATAATCACCAATCACATGTATACATGTCCACATGTATTTCTGCATTTCTCAACATTATCTTACAAGACATTCAACTTTAAATCAGGGGGAAAAAATTAGTACTTTTAGGGTGCCCACTATTAGAAGGTAACTAGTAATCAGGCTGTCATTGAAGCCTGGCATCTTATCTGCACTGGGTGCATGTATTAGTTAGCTGTTACAGTGTAACAAACCATCCAAAACTTATTAGCATCATAATTGAGATGGTCAGGCATTTAGGCTGGGCTCAGTGGGACCATTCTTCTGGTCTCAACTGAGCTCTTTCAGACATGTATTATCAGCTGCTTGTTGACTAAGCAGCTGTGCTTCTGGGAGTGAGCTTCTGCTTCTGGGGCTGTCAACAGAGGCAACTTGCTTCTCCTCCCCATGGTATCTTGTCTGGCTTACATGGGCTTTTTTTCATAGAGATGGCAGCATTCTGAAAGAAAAACAGAAGGATTCAATACCTTTTGAGCCTACGCCTCAAACTAGCACACTGTCATGTTCACAGGTTTCCACTGCCCTGAGCAAATAAGGCCAGCCAGATCCAGGGATTGGAAAACAGATTCTGGATCTCAATGGGAACAGCTGTAAAAGCACCTGGCAATGGGCATGGATACAGGAGGGATAAAAAATTGCTACCATTTTTGCAATAAGCATCATTCTGCCTTTTTTTGCGCATGTAGTTTATAGAACTCTTCCACATCAATAAATTGTCCAAAGACCCACAGCTACTAAGTGGCTGGGCTGGGACTCAGGATCAACTCCGTGTGACCCTTGAAATCCTGGAGAGTGACATTTCTAAAATAGAAGTCAGATTTCTTTTAGATTTGTGCCCATATAGTACTGTTTATTATTAGAATAATCTTAAAATGGCTGGGCATGGTGGTTCACACTTGTAATCCCAGCACTTTGGGAGGCCGAGGCAGGCAGATCACGAGGTCGGGAATTTGAGACCCAGCCTAACCAACATGGTGAAACCCCGTCTCTACTGAAAATACCAAAAAAATTAGCCAGGCTTAGTGGTGGGTATCTGTAGTCCCAGCTAGTTGGGAGGCTGAGGCAGGAAAATCTCTTGAACCTGGGAGGCAGAGGTTGCAGTGAGCAGAGATCACGCCACTGCACTCCAGCCTGGGTGAAAATAAATAAATAAATAATCTTAAGGAATTGCAGAAACACATGGCGGCTCACACCTGTAATCCTAGCACTTTGGCAGTCTGAGATGGGAGAATCACTTGCACTCAGGAGCTCAAGTGCAGCCTGGGCAACATAGTAAGATCCTGTCTCCATAAAAATTTTTTTTAAAAAATTAGCCAGGCATGATGAGGCATGCCTGTAGTTCCAGCTCCTCAGATAGCAGAGGTAGGAGGATTACTTTACTTGAGCCTAGAAGGTCAAGGCTGCAGTAATCCATGATTGGTTACACAACTGCACTGTAGCCTGGGTTATAGAGTCAGACCCTGTCTCAAAAAAAAAAAAAAAAAAAAAAAAAGAAGAAGAAGAAGAAGCAGAAAAAGAAAGAAATTGCAGGAGCATTTGAAAAGGACATAGAATAATTTGGAAAAAGTAGCTAAAGGATGAGTTGAGAAAATCAAAGCCAAAACCACACATGACTTATTTTTTATCATAGAAAAAAATTGAAAATTAAAAAAAAAACTCTAGAGAAATTAAATGTTACAGAGTTTAATTGAACAAAGAATGATTTGCAAATCAGGCAGCCTGTGGAGCCAGAGTAGGCTCAGAGAAACTCCAGCACAGCCACATGGTAAGAAAATATTGATGAACAGAAAAAGCAAAGTGACACACAGAAAATGAAAGTGAGGTACAGAAACAGCCAGATTGGTTATAGCTTGGGATTCGCCTTATTTAAACACGGTTTGAAGATTTGATATCCTTTTAGTGGGAAAATCACAGTGGTTAGTACAGGAATGCGTTACAGTTAGGTTTCAGTTTACTATGTACAAAAAGAAAAAAAAAACTATTGACCAAAATTAAATGAAAGGGGACAGCTTCAGGCTATAACTAATTTAACAATTTCTCGCTTTTGGTTATCTTCTCAAGTTTGAGAGACAGACCAAAACTTTATACATTATATTCTGCCATCATCAAAGATATACTTATTTAGTCTCAAATCTCACTGTGAAATAGCAGAACTGTGAGTTTTGTAAAGTGGAAATGAGAACTTGAGGATATTAATTTTTTAAAGAATTACAGTAGAGGGGACCTCTTTATGTTAAAATTTGCTGCTTACAGAATAAAAACAAAACCTGGCCTGTTTTAGCATCTACCTATTTTCTTAAATTTTTAGTTTGAGTATGTCATATTTAGCATGAGTGACTCCATTTTGGTTTGGTTTGGTTTTGTCTGTTTGGGCCTGGTGCGTAAGCTCAGTCCAGAATAATAGCCTCCAATAATTTCTTTTAAAAATTCCCCCGTTTTGGTTAAGTTTTCACATACGTCAGAGTGTGACCAAAACTTAGGGCCTTAGTGCCTCTCTCAGTTTCCATTATTTTGGGTTTTTGTTCTTATCATGTCATTTATAGGTTATGGTGTCCTCATGGTCGCATATATCTTTGAGTTTTCATCATTCCCATTAAAGAGAGACCATTTGACATTCTAGAGATGACTGCATGCAAACATTTATAACTTTTGAGAGAATACAGTGCAATAGGGAGACTACTATTTTGACTATCAGGAGGATAACACCAAGAGTTTGAAGTATGCTTTTTAACCAGGGTCCCCATGAACAAACCAACTAAAATTAAATAGATCAAATAATTAGCTAAATAATTGGTCTACTCATTTCAACCAAGGAGTCTGTTTCTTTTTTCTTTTCTTTTTTTTTTTTTTTTTTTTTTTTTTGAGATGGAGTCTCACTCTGTTGCCCAGGCTGGAGTGCAGTGGCAAGATCTTGGCTCACTGCAAACCTCTGCCTCCCGGGTTCAAGTGATTCTCCTGAACACTAAACACAAAAATTAGCTGGGCATGGTAGCGCATGCCTGTAGTCCCAGCTACTAGGGAGGCTGAGGCAGGAGAATCGCTTGAACCTGGGAGGCGGGGGTTGCAGTGACCTGAGATCATGCCACTGCACTCCAGCCTGGTGACAAAGTGAGACTCGTGAGACTCTGTGTCAAAAAAAAAAAAGACCAAAAAAAAAAAATTATGTCGTCTTACATACCAGGACTTTTTCTCCAATTTATGTGCATAGCACTGATAACTGAGTGGTTCTCATAGGTAATTTTACTTGGACCACAGAGTTTATTTAAAGAGCACATTTAAAAAATTTCAGTACTTGCTGATTTAGCGTAAAAATGTGGCAGAGTATTTTTCTGATATTCAATTAATTTTTGTCTTGCCTGGGCTCACAGTTTTATGAATCCGTCTTTTCATGGGAATGCTCATGATCCTTACCCAGTTCAAACAATATGATCCTAAAATTATCAGAAACAGGACTCAACTTGTCTGGTCACTTTCCATCTTTTCATGAACCTCCTAAAGACACAATACTCTGGGATTTTGTGTGCTTTTGAGGTTTTTAGAAACTAAATAAGAATTAAACCATTAACTGTGAAAATTACTTAAATGGTTATGAAAAAACAAATAAAAAATTGATTATATCTGTTGCCTATATTTGTTCATAATAAACATAATTATGACTAATAGCATATAAAGAGATATATATTAGATTTTTAGAAATTCTATAAAATTTTGGAATAAATATTAATAACATATTCATTAAAATATAAGTTGAAGGAGGTCAAACATCATTTTTTTTTTTTTTGAGATCGAGTCTCACCCTATCGCCCAGGCTGGAGTGCAATGGCATGCTCTCGGCTCACTGCAACCTCCACCTCCTGGGTTCAAGTGATTCTCCTGGCTCAGCCTCCCAAGTAGCTGGGATTTACAGGCATGTGCCACCATGTCCAGGTAATTTTTTGTATCTTTGATAGAGACGGGGTTTCATCATGTTGGCCAGGCTGGTCACGAACTCCTGACCTTGTGATCCACCTGCCTCAGCCTCCCAAAGTGCTAGGATTACAGGTGTGAGCCACCGCGCCTGACCCAAACATCATTTTTAATTTGACCGTGCTTCCCATGCAATTTAACATATCAAATAATCCTGTTTATCACTCTCTTGGATGTTGCATTGGCTCTCTGTAGCATCTAAAAGTTAGGGGTCAAAAACCAATAATTTTAAGGTTGGGCATCGTGGCTCATGCCTGTAATCCCAGTACTTGGGGAGGCCGAGGCCAGCGGATCACTCGAGGTCAGAAGTTCGAGACTGGCCTGGCCAACATGGTGAAACGCCATCTCTACTAAAAGTACAAAAATTAGCCGGTCATGGTGGCACACGTCTGTAATCCCAACTACTTGGGAGGCTGAGGCAGGAGAATCTCTTGAACCCAGGAGGTGGAGGCTGCAGTGAGCTGAGATCAGGCCACTGTACTCCGGCCTGGGCAACAGAGCAAGACTTTGTCAAAAAAAAAAAAAAAGTCTTTTTTAAACAATTTCACTCTTGTTGCCGAGGCTGGAGTGCAGTGGCGTGATCTTGGGTCACTACAACCTCTGCCTCCTAGTTTCAAGTAATTTTCCTGCCCTAGCCTCCTGAGTAGCTGGGATTACAGGTGTTTGTCACCATGACCAGCTAATTTTTTGTATTTTTAGTAGAGATGGGGTTTTACCATGTTGCCCAGGCTGGTCTCAAACTCCTGACCTCAGGAGATCCACCCATCTCGGCCTTCCAAAGTGCTGGGATTACAGGTGTCAGCCACCATGCCCGGCCACAAAAAGACAATTTTTAAGCTGAAATTTGATTTTAGAAAGACTGTCAAATATGTCAGAGGGTTAAAATACTTGACCAAAATAGGATCACAGGTCACCGTAAAATAATAGTCATTCATTTAGCCAAAGTGATGATTAAAAGATTTTTAAAAACAAAACATTTTACTGTTTGATGCAGGAGATTAAGTTTTTCAATCAAAAATCTGAAAAAAGGCAGTATGAGAAAAATTCTACCTCTCTTTTAAAATTTATTCAAAAGGTAAACAAAAATACATTACTGTGTCATATTAATAATAATACATAAAATTTTGTTCAAAAGAAAATCAGCTTTTACTTTTGTATTAGTATATTATCAATACTAAAGTTAATTTTGGTGAAACTTTAAAAATAAATCCATCAAATATATTATTTTTGTCCACTCTAGATTTCTGTACATATTTTATAATATTTTTAACTTCTAATATTTTAATCTACATTCATCTTATTTTTTCAATTTGAGACAACCTTTAAGTAATTTCAAACTAGACAAAATGTTTCTAACTTTCTTCATGAAAGCATGCTTTGTTTTTGTTTATACACTCTCTATACCAAATTGTTATTCCTTAAATCTAGTAGTTTTAAATATACATATTAATTACATTAACTCTGAGCAACCAAATTTTTAGTGAAATTTCCAGGAAGTAATTTTGAATGTTTTGTACCATTATTTTTAGATAAAAACCATTTTGTATTTTAATAAAAATATTTTCTCAAATTTTCTGTTAACTAACAGATCTAAATATATTTAACTTTTCTATATCATGTAAAAATAAGATTCTAGTCATGCATGGTAGCTCATGCTTGCAATCCTAGCACTTTAAAAAGCCAAGACATAAAGACTGTTTAAATCCAGGAATATGAGACCAGCCTGAGCAACATGGCAAAACCATATGTCTACACATAATACAAAAATTATTTGGGCATGGTGGCCTGCACCTGTAATACCAACTATTCAGGAGGCTGAGGAAGGAGAATTGCCTGAGCCCGGAAGGCTGAGGCTGCAGCAAGCCATGATCAAGCTACTACACTCCATCCTGGGTGACAGAGGGAGATCCTTTCTGGGAAAAAAAAAAAAAATTGGCCAAAACATATAAACTTAAACTTAGGGAGTTGTTTGTGTTTTTTGTTTTTATCATTATTATTTCAAAAGAGGTGGTGTTTGGTTACATGAATAAGTTCTTTTGTGGTGATTTGTGAGATTTTGGTGCATCATCTCCCCAGCAGTGTATGCTGTACCCAATGTGTAGTCTTTTATCCCTCACCACCCCCCGCCCTTTCCCCAAGTTTCCAGAGTCCATTATGTTACATAATTCTTATGCCTTTACATCCTCTAGTTTAGCCCCCACTAAAAAGTGAGAACATACAACGCTTGGTTTTCCATTCCTGAGTTACTTCACTTAGCATAATGATCTCCAACTTTATCTAGATTGCTGTGAGTGCCATCGTTTTCTTCCTTTTCATGGCTGGGTAGTATTCCATAGTATATATACATATACCCTATTTTCTTTATCCAGTCGGTTGATGGGCATTTAGGCTGTTTCCATATTTTTACTATTGCAAATTGCGCTGTTATAAACATGCGTGTGCAAGTGTCTTTTTCATATAATGACTTATTTTCCTCTGTGTAGATACCCAGTACTGAGATTGCTGGATCAAATGGTAGTCCAACTTTTAGTTCTTTAAGGAATCGCCATGCTGTTCTCCATATTTATTGCACCAGTTAACATTCACATCAGCAGTGGAAAAGTGTTCCTTTTCATCACATCTATACCAACTTTTTTTCAATTATATATAAATATATATAATATGTAATATATATTTTTATATATATTATATAAATATATTATATTTATATATTATATTTATATATTATATTCATATATTATATTCACATATTATATTTGTATATTATATAAATACATATTATATATTATATATTATATTTATTATATAAATACATATATATTATATTTATATATTATATAAATACTTATATTTATATAACATAAATACATATATATTATATTTATATGACATATAAATACATATTATATATTATATTTATATAACATAAATACATATTATATATTATATTTATATAACATATAAATACATATATATTACATTTATATAACAAATACATATATATTATATAACATAAATACATATATATTATATAACATAAATACATATTGTATATATTTCTATAATATATACATATTGTATATTATATTTATATAGTATATACATATTGTATATTGTATTTCTATATTATATACATATTGTATATTTATATATTATATAAATACATATATATTTATATATTATATAAATACATATCATATATATTAATATATAAATACATATCATATATATTATATTTATATGTATTAATATATATCATATATATTATATTTATATGTATTAATATATATCATATATATTATATTTATATATTATATTAATATATATCATATATATTATATATTATATAACTATCATATATTTACATATTACATAACTATATATCATATATTTATATATTACGTAACTATATATCATATATTATATTTGTATATTATGTAACTATATATATTATATTTGTATATTATGTAACTATATATTATATATATTATATTTATATATTATATAAATATACATTTATATATAATATATAAATGTATATTTATATATTACATAAATTATATATTTATATATTACATAAATTATATATTTATATATTATATATTACATATTTATATATTATATAAATATGTAATTTATATATATTACATATTTATATAATATATAAATATATATTATATATTAATATATAATATATATTATATATTAATATATAATATATAAATATATATTATATATTAACATATAATATATAAATATATATTATAATACATAATATATATAATATATAAATTTTATATATATTATAATATATATTATATTTATATTATATATTTATATTATATTATTATATAAATATTTATGTAATTATACATTATATATTATATATTATACAATTATATAAATATACATTATATATTATATAAGTATACATTATATATTATATAAATGTACATTATATATTATATAAATATACATTATATATTGTATATTATATAATATACATTATATTTATATAATATATACATTATATTATATATTATATAATATATATTATATATATTATATAAATATATAATATAATGTATATATTATATAAGTATATTATATATTATATATCATATAACTATATATTATATATTATATAATATACATTATATTTATATAATATATACATTATATTTATATATTATATAATATATGATATATATTATATAATATATAATATAATGTTTATATATTATATAAGTATATTATATATTATATTATATATCATATAACTATATATTATATATTATATATTACATATTTATTATAAACATGTTATATAGTATATGTTATATATTATATATTTATTATATAAATAATATATATTATATAAGATATATTATATATAATATATAATATATTTATTATATATTATATAATATATTTATTATATATGTTATATATTATATTATATAAATATATATTATATATATTATATACTTATTATATAATATATATTTATTACATATATTATATATTTATATATAAATTATGTTTTATAAATTTATATAAAATATTTATGTAATTTATCATATTTATAAATATATAATTATTATATAATTTATTATATATTTATAAATATATAATAAATTTATTATGTAATTTATTATATATTTATAAATATGAATATATATTTTCATATATAATCTTATATATTATATATTATATTTTATATATATTTATTATATAATATATTATATATAGTTATTATATATTATATATATATTATATAAGATATATATAATTATATCTTATTATTATATATAATATATTATTATATATATTATATATGTAAAATATATATACTATATATTATATAATATATATATTATATAATATATATTTATTATATATTATATATTTATTATATATAAGTATATATAATATATATTTATATAATATGTAATATAATATATAATAAATATATATAACATATAATATATAATATATATTTATATAACATATATAATATATAATTAATATATGTTATGTGTATTATATATAATATATATTATGTATTATATATTATGTAATATATATTATGTATTATATATGTTATATATTATGTATTATATATTATAATTAACATATTATATATTATATGTTATATATTTATTGTATATTATATATTTCTTATATAATATATATTTATTATATATTATATATTTAATATATTATATATTTAATATATAATATATTATGTATTTATTATATGATATATATTTATTATATAATATATATTAATGTTATGTATTTATTATATATGTTATATATTATATATATGATATATATTATATGATATATTATATATGATTATATATTATGATATATATTATATATGATTATATATTATATGATATATATTATATATTATGATATATTGTGTGATATATTATATATTATATATGGTATATATTATATGATATATATTATAGATAATGTAATATATATATTATATATAATATATATTATACATATTTATTATGTATAATATATATTTATTACATATATTATATTTTTATTATGTATATTATATATTATGTTATGTATATTACATAATTATATTATAATAAATATATATTTATTATATTTATATTATATATATTATTTATATTTATGTATATTGAGAAGGAGTCTCACTCTGTCACCCAGGCTGGAGTCCAGTGGCAAAATCTTGGCTCGCTGCAACCTCTTCCTCCCAGGTTCAAGCAATTCTCCTGCCTCAGCCTCCCAAGTAGCTGGGACTACAGGTGCACGCCACGTCGCCTGGCTATTTTTGCATTTTTAGTAGAGATGGGATTTCACCATGCTGGCCAGACTAGTCTCAAACTCCTGGCCTCAGATGATCTGCCCACCTCAGCCTCCCAAAGTGCTGGGATTACAGGCGTGAGCCACTACACCCAGCCTGATTTTTTAATCATAGCCATTCTTTCAGGAGTAAGGTGGTATCACATTGTGTGTTTTTTCTGTTTTTTGTTTTTTGTTATTTGTTTGTTTTGTTTTTTGAGACAGAGTCTCGCTCTGTACCCGAGTCTAGAGTGCAGCAGTGCAATCTCAGCTCACTGCTACCTCCGCCTCCCAGGTTCAAGCGATTCTCCTGCCTTAGCCTCCCGAGTAGCTGGGACTACAAGCGCCTGCCACCACACTCGGCTATTCTTTGGTAATTTTAGTAGAGATGGGGTTTCACCGTGTGAGCTAGGATGGTCTCCATCTCCTGACCTCGTGATCCACCCGCCTGGGCTTCCCAAAGTGCTGGGATTACAGGCGTGAGCCACCACGCCCGGCCCACATTGTTTTGATTTGTATTTCCCTGATAATTAGTAATGTTGAGCATTTTTTCATACATTTTTTGGCCATTTGTATATCTTCTTTTGAGAATTGTCTATTTATGTACTTAGCCCACTTTTTAATGTGATTATTTGTTTTTTTCTTGCTGATTTGTTTGAGTTTCTTGCAGATTCTGGGTATTAGTCCTTTGTTGGATGGATAGTTCGTGAATATTTTTTTCCCTCTCTGTGGGTTGTCTGTTTAATCTTCAGATTATTTCTTTTGCTGTGCTTTTTAGTTTAATTAAGTCACATTTATTTATCTTTGTTTTTGTTGCATTTGGTTTTGGGAACTTGGTCATAAACTCTTTGCCTAAGCCAATGTCTAGAAGAGTTTTTTCTATATTATCTTCTAAAATTTGTATAGTTTCACATATTAGATTTAAGTCTTCAATCCATCTTGAGTTGATTTTTCTTTAATGTAAGTTTTTTTTAGACAGAGTCTCATTCTGTCACCCAGGGTGGAGTGCAGTGGTGGTATCTCAGCTCAATGCAGCCTCTGCCTCCAGGGTTCAAGAGATTCTCATGACTCAGCCTCCTGAGTAGTTGGGATTACAAGCATGTGCCACCACATCCGTCTAATTTTTGTATTTTTTTTTCTTCAGATGGAATCTTACTCTGTCACCCAGGCTGGAGTGCAGTGGTGTGATCTTGGCTAACTGCAAACTCCCACTCCTGGGCTCAAGCACTTTTCCCTGCCTCAGCCTCCTGAGTAGCTGGAATTACAGGTGCCCACCACCACGCCCAACTAATTTTTGTATTTTTAGTAGAGACTGAGTTTCTCCATGTTGGTCAGGCTGGTCTCGAACTCCCAACCTGGTTCAGGTGATCCACCCGCCTCGGCCTCCCAAAGTGCTGGGATTACAGGCGTGAGCCACCATGACCAGCCATTCCTGAGGTTTTAATAACCTGATGTTTCTCTCCTGTTGGAGACAACCCTGAAGATCAGTTTTTACCCCAGAGGACTGACCAACAAGAGGTCAAGGTGTGCTTGAAAAAGCTGGTGTAGGAGTTGGTTCAGGAAAGGTCAGGCTGTCCAAGCATTCAGGAATACCTGTGTGACTCTCCTTGTAATTAGCACTCAGGTCCCAGAGAGCTACTCACTGCATGTGTCTTTGACCTGCTGTTGATTCATCTCCTCTGCTAAGAAGGTGGCTGATGGCTGGGCTATTTACACCTAGGAGGGTGTTCCAGGCCAGGCCCCAGGGAGCCTAAAATAATCAAAAAGGTCAGAATCTAATTTGAAAATAATGTCTTCAAAGTAAAATATTGAGGGTGGCCACAAGGAGAATAGATTTAAGTTGACCTGAATATACATTTCAATTAACAACTGTTAAAAGTGGGTATTTTTGAAAAAAACAACAAGGCAGTTTCTAAGTTGTTTACCAATAATTTACATTGAATTCATAAGCTATTGATTGGCTACATGTTTTTCTTTGTTTTACAAATTCCCAGAAAGAGAAATAATGGGTGAGACAGCTAGTCCAAAATGAAACTTTTTAAAGCAATTGTCCCTGGGCACAGGTGTGGGGTGAGACTGAAGTCCCATACTTTCATTTCTGTGTGCTTGATAAATTTTGCAGCCCTCACAGACCTGAGACTGTTCTGAGATATTTTTCTTCTCTCACCTCCTTGTTCAGGACACATGAACCATTAACAAGAAAAATATTTAAATAAGAAACTCACCAAGCCAGGAGAATAATGAATACCTGGATGTGCCCCCTAGGAATCTGGATCTCTTCTCTTTTCCCCACCCTGCCCTCAACTCCCCTTACATACATACAGCCTGGATCACAAGACCCAAGAAAACCATTCCACCAGCTGCTGAGAGAAGAGCCACAAAAGGACCCAGAACTTCTCCATGGCTACCTTAGAGCACCCTAAAATGTGCTAACAGCCATTGTTAGCATTCAGGAGCTGTTTATTCCCATTTTCACACTACACTAAAGAATTTTAAACAATCACAAGATAGACTGGCTGGAAGTTGGTGCTTGGAACATCCCACGTCACCTAAAAGCACAGTGCTGCAATCTCAGGTACACATCTGCCCATCTGCTACCCAAATAAAACAATTGTTATCAAGAAACCAGAGCCCATGCAATGGCGATGCATCAGCTGGGTGTGGTAGTGGCCAGCTAGCAGGGCCTTGGCTGTGTGAACTAAAGGGTATCTAAGACAGGTCTCAATCAATTTAAAAAGTTTTTTTTGCCAGGGTTAAAGACATGCCTGTGACACAGCCTCAGAAGGTCCTGATGACATGTGCACAAGGTGGTCGATGTAGAGCTTGCTTTCATATATTTTAGGAAGACATGAGACATTAATCAATATGTGTAAGAGGTACATTGGTTCGATCTGGTAAGGTGGGACAACTGCAGTTGGGGGCTTCCAGGTCATAAGTAGATAAGAGACAAAAGATTACATTATTTTGAGTCCTTGATAAGCCCTTCACTGAATACAAAATTGTCTGCCTCAGTGAATCTGCATTTTTACATAAACAATAGGGCAGAGGAAGAAATCAGATATGCATTTGTCTCAGATGAGCCTCAGAGGGATGACTTTGAGTTCTGTCTGCCCTTTGTTGACAAGGAATTTCTTTATGGGCAAATTGTGAGGAAAATATGTAGCTTTTTATATTTGTAGCTATCTTATTTAGAAATAAAATAGGAGGCAGGTTTGCCTGACATAGTTTCCAGCTTGACTTTTCCATTGGCTTAGTGATTTGGGGGTCCAGAGGTTTATTTTTCTTTCACAGTGGGGACCACTTTTATTATCTAGTGTATATGTTTAAACTAGACAGAATAAAACATGATATATATTCATAAGTAATAAATATAGGTTAATAAAAAACTTGTAAACGCAAATGTAACTAATGCTACGCCTTTCAGAATAGCCCATCCTAATTCTTCCATTTCTCATTGACTATAATTCCAATAGACTTTTCCCATAATGTTGTAGTGGATCTTAATGTCAGAGGCATTCAAACGATAGGGACAGGAGGCAGAGAAATTTGGGGAGGGCAGATCCCTGGTAAGGGCCCCACCCTCATGCCAAAAAGCCTGATAGCACTGCTCAAAGTGAAAATTTACATCTCTGTTTTCCCGCTTGAATGTTGCCTTTTCCAAAACCACCCATGTCCCACCCCACCCTGCTTCTTGTGCCCACAGAAACCCCAGGCTCAGCCAGCAGAGAGAGGAGAAGCAGCTGGACATTGGAGACTATGATTGGACATTAGAGAGAAGGAGCTTGACTTCACAGAGAAAGCATGATGGAATAATTTCAGAGAAAAGTCTGGCCAGGGATGACCAGACTTCAGGGGAAGATAATCTTGCTCAATATCCTTTTCTGCTCCCCTTCCTGCTGAGAGTCACTTTGATTGGCAATAAAATATCTCACATTTACCATCTTCAATTTGTTCTTGCAACCTCATTCCTCCTGGATGCCAGACAAGAACTCAGGTGCCATGAGTATGGGTGCAAAAGGCTATCACACTGTCCCTCCACTGAGCTGTTAACACTTAAGCTATCCATGGACAGCAAAGCTAAAAGGGCACTGTAAGAGTCCTTCTGGGGTTTCAGAAGTCATGAGCATCCCCCAGATGCTGCCATGGGGCCAGTACAGAGTTTGCTCCTGCCAGAGTCCAAAAATGTCTCAGCTCCTGCACCCAGTCACCTGCATGCTCCCCCTCCCACAAGTGGTGGAGCACAGTGGGCTGAGTGAGTGGAGTTTGCCCCTGCCAGCACCCGTGCACTCCAGTTCCCACCTGTGAAGGTGTCAGAGAGATATTCTGCTTAAAAATCAGAGTGACTCCATCTTAAATAGCAGCTGGGTGAGATAAGGCTGAGACCTACTGGGCTGCATTCCCAGGAGGTTAGGCATTCTAACCTTCTATCAGGATGAGATAGAAGGCCAGCATAAGATATAGGTCACGAAGACTCTGCTGATAAAACAGGATGTGGTTTAAATAAATGCCAGCCAGAACCCACCAAAACCAAGATGGTGATGCTCATTCTCACTGCTCATTATATGCCAGTATAATGCATTTGCATGCAAAAAGACTCTACCACCAGTGCCATGACAGCTTACAGATGCCATGGCAAGATCTGGAAGTTACCCTGTAGCCTCTAAAATGGGGAAGAACCCTCAGTTCTGGA